>NC_000016.10:74562500-74865530 GCF_000001405.40 Homo sapiens | reverse complement strand
GGTGGCTCACGCCTGTAATCCCAGCACTTTGGGAGGCCGAGGTGGGTGGATCACGAGGTCAGGAGTTCCAGACCAGCCTGGCCGAGATGGTGAAACCCTATCTCTACTAAAAATACAAAAATTAGCCAGGCACAGTGGCAGGCGCCTGTAATCCCAGCTACTCGGGAGGCTTAGGCAGGAGAATCGCTTGAAACTGGGAGGCGGAGGTTGCAGTCAGCCGAGATCGCGCCGCTGCACTCTAGCCTGGGCAACAGAGCAAGACTCTGTCTCAAAAAAAAAAAAAAAAAAAAAAAGCTGGATACTGTGATTCACCACAGTTGGGTCTGATAAACAACTATGAACAACTCTGAATTTTGAACATCAGCTTAGCTATGCTAGACCCTCTCTGGACGTAACTGAAGACCGTTTCTTTTTTTTTTTTTTTTTTGAGACAGAGTCTCACTCTGTCGCCCAGGCTGGAGTGCAGTGGCGCAATCAGAGCTTACTGCAGCTTCTGCCTCCCGGGTTCAAGTGATTCTCCTGCCTCAGCTCCTGAGTAGCTGGGATTACAGGTGCCTGCCACCATGCCCAGCTAATTTTTGTATTTTTAGTAGAGATGGGGTTTTACTGTTTTGTGTTTTTAGTAGAGATGGGGTTTCACTGTGTTAGCCAGGCTGGTCTTGAGCTCCTGACCTCAAGTGTCCAGCTGGGCCTCCCAAAGGGCTGGCATTACAGGTGTGAGCCACACACCTGGCCAGTGGGACTTGTTTTAACGAATTGCACAGGGGCTTATAGACTCATTCCGTCCCACCTAGAGAGCAGGAATTGATCCTTAATTAGCACACTCACCCTCTGACACACACACCAACACCCCAGCTGCTGTGTCTTCTGGCAGAGCCATGCATGGTGTGTGCTCCCTTGCCTGACAAGCAAAGAAACTAGGAGCTCGTTGTGTGGGTCATGGTAAAAATTTTTGTGTTTCCTTTGAGTAAAGGGAGTAACAGTCGTGAGTGAAACTCTTTTTGATAAGGAGTAGCAACGGAGAGAAGGGGAAAGAATCAGATATTTAGCTGGTAGACTCAGTGGGACTGAGTTCAGGCCTGGTTTGCCACTACTAGAAGGGACTTCTGATGTTAAATAATGAGCATAAAGCGTATTAGTCTGTTTTCACCCTGCTGCAAGGAACCGCGTGAGATTGGGTAATTTATAAAGGAAAGAGGTTCAATTGACTCACAGTTCTGCATGGCTGGGGAGGCCTCAGGAAACTTACAATCATGGTGGAAGGAGAAGCAGGGACATCTTATGTGGTGGCAGGTGAGAGAGTGTGTGCGTAGGAGGAACTGTCAAACACAAAACCATGAGATCTCATGAGAACTCACTATCACGAGAACAGCGTGGGGGAAACTACCTCCACAATCCATTCACCTCCCACCAGGTCCCACTCTCCACACGTGGGGATTATGGGGATTAACAATTCAAGATGAGATTTGGGTGGGGACACAGAGCCAAGCCGTATCATCTAGTTTGTGTTCTGAGTTCTTTTTATATATTTCCCTTATGGTAGTGGTAATTATTTTCCAGTTACACTTGTGGTTGAAAAGCAATAGAACTTTCAGGAATAGCGGACAACCATGGTGTTCGCCATCACTTTGGAAATACACAACTCATCTCAGGGGACTGGTTATGTCTTCCCAAACCAGATATCAGAAAATCCCACTGCTGCCGTCAGGGAGAATGCCATCAGGGAGAATGCCTATTAGCATATGGGAAGGCCCATGGATAAGCTGTCTTCGCAGTGGGCTAACTGGAAAACGTAAGAAAACCGCAGCCACAGCCGGGCGCGGTGGCTCACGCCTGTAATCCCAGCACTTTGGGAGGCCGAGGTGGGTGGATCGCCTGAGGTCAGGAGTTTGAGACTGCCTGGCTAACATGGCAAAACCCCATCTCTACTAAAAATACAAAAAAATTAGCCGAGCATGGTGGTGCGTGCCTGAAATCCCAGGTACTCAGGAGGCTGAGGCAGGAGAATCACTTGAACCTGGGAGGCAGAAGTTGCACTGAGCCGAGATTGAGCCACTGCACTGCAGCCTGGGTGACAGAGCGGGACTCTGTCTCAAAAAAAAAACAAAGAAAGACATGAGGACCAAGCTCCTCTTCTATCATAAATATTTTTTCTCTGACAGCAACATAAATTACAACACAATCTCTAACTACTGACTTTATTTTGCTACGTGAATCCAAGATAAAATATAAAGGATGAAAAAAACAATGGAATAGAAATAGCAGCTCTTTTCTCACTGAACTCAGCTCTTTGCTGTCATAGGCCTGAATTGCCATTCGGGAGAGCATTTTCTCTCCCCCTTGGGTGCTTCCGGATTGAAAGTTCTTTCAGCATTAACTGGCCCAAGCTTCTGGTTGCTTGTGCAGTATAAATAGAGGATACGCTCTTTCTTGTTTTTCCCACAAAAAGCTTTGAAAGAGTTGGAAATCCCGTAAGAGACGGCTGCAAGAGCTCGGAGTGTAATTTTTAGAGCTGAAGGTGTAATTTTTAGAACATTGGTCTCTTCCTGAACATTGACATCTTTAAAGCTGAGAAATTATTAACACTAGGTGGCAGCAGAGACCTAGTGCAGGTGAGCGCGTCACCATCTGAAATGTAGATAAGGTTAAGGGTTAATTCAGTCTAGTCTACACTCACTTCTCTAGTTGTGAAATGAAAGATCAGCTCACTTATAATTCATTCTGGATTTGTTGATGCAATGATTGAGCAGACGTAACATCAGAAAAGCCGTTTGAAATCCTGCCTCTCACCTTGTTGGTCATGAATGTGTCTTACACATTATTGCTGAAATCAGAGCTCTGACATTAACATGAAATTACCTTTTTGTTTTTTTTTTTTTTGACCAGAGTTTCACTCTTGTTGCCCAGGCTGGAGTGCAATGGCGCAATCTCGGCTCACCGCAACCTCCACCTCCCGGGTTCAAGCAATTCTCCTGCCTCAGCCTCCAGAGTAGCTGGGATTACAGGCACACACCACCATGCTCAGCTAATTTTTTTGTATTTTTACTAGAGACTGGGTTTCTCCATGTTGGTCAGGCTGGTCTTGAACTCCCGACCTCAGGTGATCTGCCCGCCTCGGCCTCCCAAAGTGCTGGGATTACAGGCGTGAGCCACTGTGCCCGGCCTGAAATTACATTTTAAAATGAGAAACATAGTTACAGTGCACATATAAATAAGGAAGATGGATGTGGTCACATCAAATCCAGGAGCTTGGTCAGTAAGGTGGTAGGGGGACTCCAACAACATAGAGTCCAGCATTGGAGTTCAAAGGTGGAACTGAAGTAAGGAATAAAAGATAAAAAAAATAAAAACAATGAGCTGAAACCAGGTTCATGTCTTTCTGTGTATTTCACCGTTGACCTTCAAACCAGCCCCATCAGAGACACAGCTCATTTGACAGTTCTGTGAGAATAAAGCTCAGAGACTTTTGCCGCAGTTCGCAGGAAGAACAACAAAGCTAGGATTGGAACCCAGCTCTCCTATAGGTGAGCCTGACTTCTTTTGCTCTATCACGTTGCTTTAACGGCAAGAATGTGTAGCTACCATGGTGGGGACAGTTCACAGACTGTGTTTATCCTTCTATTTCAGATGGGTCAAAGCCAGAGAGCTGAGATAAGATAGGTAATTCATGTGCTGGATAATTGCATCGAATCCAGATGAAAAAAATCTCAACAAATGATGGTCGTAGATCCAGGCTGAAAAGACAAGTTTTACAAAGGGGGTGGGTGCGGTGGCTCATGCATGTAATCCTAGCACTTTGGGAGGCCGAGGTGGGCAGATCACCTGAGGTCAGAAGTTCGAGACCAGCCTGGCCAACATGGTGAAACCCAGTCTCTACTAAAAATACAAAAATTTGCTGGGCATGGTGATGCATGCCTGTAATTTCAGCTACTCGGGAGGCTCAGGCGGGAGAATCGTCTGAACCCAGGAGGCAGAGGTTGCAGTGAGCCAAGATTGCACCACTGCACTCCAGCCTGGGCGACAGAGCGAGACTCTGTCTCAAAAAAAAAAAAAAGGTTTTATGAAGGATGGATGCAAAGTCTCCAGTTGGTTGGAAGTAACTGTAGAAGTGCAGGATGAGGGCGTTCCCATGAAAAAGACCCAGAGGTTTTAGCGAACTGCTTGGTATGAAGCAACAATGTGCATTTATGATCAAAAAGGTCAATGAAATCTCATAGTTCACTGAATGGAGAGAGAAAAATAGCCCCATTTATTCTACTTTATTAACCCACTGGTGAATCATTGCGTTCAATTCTAGGACATTGTTAGAGGGACAGAGTTCAAAGGATGGGCAAGGTGGTAACAAATTTGAAAACTATATACAATGAAGAATTACTGGCCGGGTGTGGTGGCTCACGCCTGTAATCCCAGCACTTTGGGAGGCCGAGGCGGGTGGATCACCTGAGGTCAGGAGTTCGAGACCAGCCTGGCTAACGTGGAGAAACTCCATCTCTACTAAAACATACAAAAATTAGCTGGGCTTGGTGGCAGGCGCCTGTAATCCCAGCTACTCTGGAGGCTAAGGCAGGAGAATCACTTGAACCTGTGAGGCGGAAGTTGCAGTGAGCCAAGATGGCGCCATTGCACTCCAACCTGGGCGACAGAGCAAGACTCCGTCTCAAAAAAAAAAAAAAAAAAAAGAATTACTGCAAAATTGGAAAATTTTAACCTGGTAAAGGGAAGATATAGAGAAGATATGAAAAACTGACTTTTTTTTTTTTTAAGAGACAGGATCTCACTTTGTTGCCCAGGCTGGAGTGCAGTGGTGCAATCACAGCTCACTGTAGCCTTAAACTGGGCTCAAGTGATCCTCCCAAGTAGCTAGGTCTACAGGCATGTGCCACCATGCCTGGCTAATTTTTAAATTTTTTTGTAGAGAGAGGGTCTCGCTTTGTTGCCCAGGCTGCTCTCAAACTCCTGGCCTCAAGCAATCCTCCCACCTTGGCCTCCCAAACTGCCGTAATTGCAGGCATGAACCACCAAGTCTGGCCTGAAAAGCTGACTTTTAATGGCTAAAAGTAAATTAGATTTATTCTGTAGTTCCAGAAATCAAAAGTAGGATTAATGGAATCAAATTACAAGGATATAGATTTCAGCTCAGTTTAAGTGTAGCAGAAAAAAATAACTTGAATCAATCGATAGTACTGACTTTCACATATAATGGCTATAACATAACTCACCTGAGAGTATTTCTGTTTAGGGAAATAACCTTAATGAGCCTCTTTGGCTGTGCAAGGTGAGCTGCCTCTGGCTACAGTCAGAGGAGGAAGATACAAAAAATAAAGTCCAATTCTACTGCCTTGTAAGGTAGGAAGAGTTTTTGCTTTCCCCAGGGAGCTGTGGAAGGAAGGAAGAAACGTGAGGAGGGCTGGGGAAAGTCCAGGACTCACGGAGTGAAAAATTTGCCAAGGTGGGGAATGGCTATTTTCTCATTAAGTTTGAAATTATTTCCTGTTTGGTGCCATAATTACCCTCGACGACCATTAGCCCTTCAGAAAAATCTGCCAGACACAGTGACCTTGTCAGTGGTGTTTGGCGGGGGAAGTGACAGAAGAGGACTGGAGTTCATGGTGGATGAAGGGTCCCCGGAGAGAAGACGATGAACATGGACACTGAACTGTACGCAGTGGTGGCAGGCAAGTGGCTGCCTGGACGGACTGCTCAATACGGGGAACACTGGAGGAGGCCACCCACAATCTACCTTCCTTAGTTCTTAAAGATAAAGATGACTTCAGCAGGACGGGGGAGTTGAGGGTATCTAGATTACACTAGAGGAGACTTAAAATTGTCCAGTAATGAGGTAGTGAGCTCCCCCTCACTGGAAGAGTTCTCTTGCGAACATCTGTCAAAGCTGTCGTAGAGGGAATTCTTGCATTGGTTAAGAGGGTGCACCAATGAGCTGTAAAGATCCTTATGAAACCCGGGCACAGTGGCTCATGCCTGTGATACCAGCGCTTTGGAAGGCTGAGGTGAGAGGATTGCTTGACCCTGGAGCTTGAGATCAGCCTGGGTAACATAGGGAGACCGTGTCTCTAAGAAAAAAAAAAAAATACAGCTGGGCATGGTGGTGTACACCTGTGGTCCCAGCTACTCAGGAGGCTAAGGTGGGAGGATCACTTGAGCCCAGGAGGTCAAGGTTGCAGTGAGCCATGATCACACCACTGAACTGCCTGGGCAATAGAGTGAGACCCTATCTCCAAAAAATAAAATAAAAATTTTAAGATCCTTATGAAAGAAGCTGACCACCTTTCCTTTTACCTGCCTGATTATGTTCTATCATTCAAAGGTCAACTTTGGGTTGGCAAAAATTTCACGGTACTCAATAAATTAATATTTAAATCACTGACTATTTTTCAAAAGGCCTGATTCTACTTTTCCATCCAACCATTTAAGGAGTATCTATTCAGTTTCGGGCAATTATGCTACCCTTTATGGGGGCACACTTGTTAATTAGACATGATTCCTGCTCTTTTGTGATACATTTTTGTACGCACAAAACTTACGGGAATGAATTTTCTGGATCAGGAATTTGGAGCAGTGGGAATAGCATCTGTGAATCTGGAGACCTTTGTTCTCACTCCAGCTTTGCTGTGTGACTGAGAGAAGTTACAGAACCTCTGTCAATCTCCAGTTACTCATCCGTAAAATAAAAATGCAGAACTATTCCAGGTGTCGCAAACTCCAAAGCCTACGGGGTTCAGGCACGTAATGTAAGTACATGAAGCAAGCAGGTGTTATGATTTGTTTCATAACCACATTAAGTAGAATTCTCCAGGCAGGCACTTCGCATGTTAAGCATATTGCACTATTTTCTCTTCCTTAGAGAATTGCGTTCTCCATGGACAGAGAGAGGGGAACCACGGACATGGGCTTATTTGAGGGTGGAGGGTGGGAGGAGGGAGAAGTTCAGGAAAATAAAACCCAGCTATTGGGTACCACGCTTAGTACCTGGGTGACAAAATAATATGTACACTAAACCCACAAGTCACGAGTTTACCTAAATAGCAAACCTGTACGTGTAGCCCTGAATCTAAAATAAAATATACCACTAATATATATATAAGAAAACTAATATATAATAAAATATATATGTATATAAAATTGTGTTCCGTCCCATTTTTCTTAAAACACTCAGCCTTCTAGATCTTTCATTTATTTTTCCACACTGATAGAGACACAGTATAAGGGGTTTTAGTGGCACACAACAATCTCCACTACAGCTATGTTAAGCAGGAAAGAGATTTATGAAAGAGATACTGAACCGGGCACGGTGGCTGGTGCCTGTAATCCCAGCACTTTGGGAAGCTGAGGTGGGCGGATTACTTGAGGTCAGGAGTTCAAGACCCGCCTGGCCAACGCAGAGAAACCCCGACTCTACTAAAAATAAATAAAAATAAATTAGCCAGGTGTGGTGGTGCGTGCCTGTAATCCCAGATACTTGGGAGGCTGAGGCAGGAGAATCGCTTGAGCCTGGGAGGTGGAGGTTGCAGTGAGTCAAGATCATGCCACTGTACTCCAGCCTGGGCGACAGAGCAAGACTCCATCTCAAAAAAAAAAAGTTACTTAGTAATTCACAGAAATTCCAGGGAGGCTGGAAAACCAGGCTTGAAGGCTAAGGCAGCCAGTGTGGGTACTGTCAGATAAAATACAGGATCCTCAGGCAAATCTGGATGTCATTTGGAACATACTTATTTGTTCTTAACCTGAAGTTCAAAGTTAAATGGACATCTGGTATTTTTATTTGCAAAATCTGGCCACCCTAGCCAAGGTGGCTAATTGCCTAAATTATATTCTGAGATGATTCTAGGTGCTGATACCAGCGATGCTACCCAGCCCTGACTCTGAGCAGGCGATGGCCCCCAACCAGGTCTCTGCCAGCTCTGACTCTGAAAACTTGCTGTCCCACCCTGAACCTGTTCCTCATGGGTCCCCCTTTATACACCTCTCCAAATCGAGGTCTTGAACAGAAGTCCAATAGCCAATCAATAAAAAAAGATGCCCATTCTCACCAGTAATCAGGGAAATGCAAGTTAAGACAAAGGATCGCATTGGTGAGTCAGTGGGTAGTAATTAAGAGCCTGGACCCTGTGGCCAGACAATGTGGATTTGCATCTTGTCTTGGTGGTGTGTTTGGCACTGTGCTTCAATTTCCTCCTCTGTAAAGTGCGGGTAATAGTCTTATCTCAATACATTCGAAGAATGTATTTCTAAATTTCTAATATGCTTTGAAGTTTTGTTTTGTTTTGTTTTTGTTTTTGTTTTTTTTGACACGGAGTTTCCCTCTTGTTGCCCAGACTGGAGTGCAATGGCACGATCTCAGCTCACCGCAACCTCCGCCTGCCGCATTCAAGCGATTCTCCTGCCTCAGCCTCTCAAGTAGCTGGGATTACAGGCATGCGCCACCAAGCCCTGCTAATTTTGTATTTTTGGTAGAGATGGGGTTTCTCTGTGTTGGTCAGTCTGGTCTTGAACTCCCAACCTCAGGTGATCTGCCCGCCTTGGCCTCCTAAAGTGTTGGGATTACACGCATGAGCCACCGTGCCAGCGCCTTGAAGTTTTTTATGCTCTGGCATAGAGTTCTTCCTGCTCTCTTGATGGGGCCTCCTGGAAAGAATGTGCCTTTCCTGCCCCTTAATACTCAGCCTCGCCACCATGATTTACGTTGGAAACCATCAGGACTCAACTCATCACGCCCTGTATCCTTGTTTATGCCAACAGGGAAAGTTGAGAAATGTATTTCACTCAGGCAGGCCATCAAGGTCAACGCTAACAGCGATAAAAGTCATGTCGGTAGTATGATATGATATGATAGTTGGTATGACGCAGTGAAGGAGGCATTTTGCCGCTACGGCCATCCTCTAAAACCAGAACCTCAGGCTAGGTTCGTTGAGAAAGAAATCCCATCTGAGGGACAGTCCAAAAAATGCTTGACTGGCACTCCTCAAAACTGTCAAGATCATCAAAACCAAGGAAAATCTGAGAAACTTACAGCCAGGAGGAACCTACGGAGGGAGAGAAGAAAACTAAATATCATGTGGGATCCTGGATAGGACCCTGGAACAGAAAAGGGACATTAGGTGAAAACTAAAGAAATCTGAGTAAAGTGTGGGTCTTAGTTAGTAATCATGTTCCAATATTGATTCATTCATGATGACAAATGTACCATGCTAATGTCTGATATTAACAAACAGGGTAAACTGGGCATGGGATATAGGAACTCTGTACATCTTTGCTATTTTGCTATATATCTAAAAATCTTCTAAAATAAAAAGTTTATTGGTAGGTGTTTTTTTTTTTTGTTTTTTTGTTTTTTTGTTTTTTTTGACAGAGTCTCGCTCTGTTGCCTGCTCTGTCACCCATGCTGGAGTGCAATGGCACGATCTTGGCTCACTGCAACCTCCACCTCCTGGGTTCAAGCAATTCTCAGCCTCCCGAGTAGCTGGGATTACGGGCGCCCACCACCACACCTGGCTAATTTTTGTATTTTTAGTAAAGATGGCGTTTCACCATGTTGGCCGGGCTGTTCTTGAACTCCTGACCTCAGGTGATCCACCTACCTTGGCCTCCCAAAGTGCTGGGATCACAGGCGTGAGCCACCACGCCTGGCCACTAAGGGTTTTAAGACTTCCCATAACGACAGTAATTACTTTCTTCCAAAGCTGTTCATTAGAGGTAAAGAAAAGGTGTAAGATTTACCATACTTACACTTGATTTCTATTTAGCATATTCTTGAGAATATTGACATAAACATACAATATGGTGACCCCTATGAATTGTTACCATTACCATAATTTCAAATGACTTGTGCTGACTTTTTTCTTTTTTTGTTTTGAGACAGAGTCTTGCTCTGTCGCCCAGGCTGGAGTGCAGTGGTGCGATTTCGGCTCACTGCAACCTCCTCCTTCCGGGTACAAGTGTTTCTCCTGCCTCAGCCTCCCACGTAGCTGGGACTGCAGGCACGTGCCACCACGCCTGGCTAATTTTTGTATTTTTAGTAGATATGGGGTTTTACCGTGTTAGCCAGGATGGTCTCGATCTCCTGACCTTGTGATCCACCCGCCTCAGCCTCCCAAAGTGCTGGGATTACAGGTGTGAGCCACTGCGCCCGGCTTGTCTTTTTTTCTTAATGGAGTCAGCATCTCACTAAGTTGCCAAGGCTGGTCTTGAACTCTTGGGCTCAAGTGATCCTCCTGCCTCAGCCTCCCAAAGTGCTAGGATTACAAGTGTGAGCCACTGTGCCTGTACATGAGGTGGCCTTTCTAAATAAATGAATCAAAATTGTAATTACTCTTTATGTTATCTTGAGGTTCTCTTGATTCTTAGCTTGACATTTTGAGATCAAGGAGTAATTAGAAAATGGCACAAAAGTGCTACTTAGTACATGAAAATCTTTCCAATTTAGGCTGCAAAGCCAATTAGTCATGCTTAGAAATAAGGATAGGCCGGGCATGGTGGCTAACGCCAGTAATCCCAACATTTTGGGAAGACAAAGTAGGAGGATCGCTTGAGGCCAGGAGTTCAAGACCAGCCCGGGCAACACAGTGAGACTCGGTCTCTACAAAAAAAATTTAAAAATTAGCCAGGTGTGGTGGTGCGCGCCTCAGGGCTACTCAGGGAGGCTGAGGTGGGAGGTTTGCTTGAGCCTAAGAGATCAATGCTACAGTGAGCTATGATTGTGCCACTGCACTCTCCAACCTGGGTGACAGAGCAAGACTCTCTAAAAAAAAAAAAAAAAAAAAAAAAAACTTTTGAAATAGCATTTATACCTCTTAGTACTCTGCATTTATTTAATTGGGCCCCTGTATTCAGAAATGGCAGCAACCTTGAACTCACTGCGTACTGGCTAAAGGCACACGCAGGTACATAGGCAATAGCACTTCCTACCTCCCTGGCTGGCAAGATTAAAAGCTGAGAAAACACACTGTTTGCGAGTGTGTGGGGAAGCATGCAGAGTTGTACGCTGCTGATGGGTGTGTGAATTGGGGAAGCCTTCTTGGAAAACACTTTGGCAACAGTGCTCTGAATGTTCAATACTCAATCCTTTCATTCAACTTCATTAGAGGGAATTGACCCCATCGATGTGCTTACGCAAATGCACAAAAATGTTTGTATCAGAATGTTTTTCTTTCTCACCCTGTTGCCCAGGCTGGAGTGCAGTGGCGAGATCATGGCTCATTGCAGCCTTGAACTCCTGGGCTCAAGCGATCCTCCTACTTCAGCGTCCCAAGTAGCTGAGACCACAGACGTGAGCTGCTGTGCCCAGCTACTTTTCTTAAATTTATTTTTTGTAAAGATGGGGGAGTGTCATTTACGTTGCCCTGGCTGGTCTTGAACTCCTGGGCTCAAGTAATCCTCCCACCTCGGCCTCCGAAAGTGCTAGGATTATAGAATCACTGGACCTGGCCAGAATGTTTACTTTCACTTTGTTTATTACAGTGAGAAAAAGGGGAAGCAACCTAAATAAATGTTCATCAACAGGGAAATGATAAAAGAAATTGTGGATATGTTCGTGCAATGGAATACTACAAAACACTGGGAAAACATGGATCCGGATTATATGTGCTGCCGTAAATATTGTTCAAAGAACACACAGACAAAATACATATAAAACTGGTTCTATCATGCACTGGGGCCTGTCATGGGGTGGGGGGAGCGGGGAGGGATAGCATTAGGAGATATACCTAATGTAATGACCAGTTAATGGGTGCAGCACACCAACATGGCACATGTATGCATATGTAACAAACCTGCGCGTTGTGCACATGTACCCTAAAACTTAAAGTATAATAATAATTAAAAAAATAAAAAAGTGTTTCTATTTCTTTCTTTTTTTTTTTTTGAGATGGAGTCTTGCTCTGTCACCCAGACTGGAGTGCAATGGCGCGGTCTCGGCTCACTGCAACCTCTGCTTCCCGGGTTCAAGTGATTCTCCTGCCTCAGCTTCCCGAGGAGCTGGGACTACAGGCGCCTGCCACCACGCCTGGGTAATTTTTGTATTTTTAAAGTAGAGACGGGGTTTCACCGTGTTGGCCAGGCTGGTCTCGAACTGCTGACTTTGTGACCTGCCTGCCTCAGCCTCCCAAAGTGCTGGGATTACAGGCATGAGCCACCGCGCCAAGCCAGTGTGGTTCTATTTCTTAAAAATGATATATGATATATAAACTATATCAATGTTTAAATATATATAAATGATATAAAAATATGTAACTTATCAAGTATATATAAATGTACATTTCTAAGTGTATTTATAAATTTATAAACATTTATAAATACATAGATAATTTCTGGAAGGCCACATTGTTAATGGGAATTTTCTCTGGCGAATCAGCCTGAGGGAGTTGGGGTGGGAACAGAATTTTACTTTTATATTTTTAATGTTTTGTACGGTTTGATTTTGTTTATTTATTTTTTTGACACGGGGTCTCACTTTGTCACCTAGGCTGGAGTGCAGTGGCACAATCTCGGCTCACTGCAGCCTCGACCTCCCGGGTTCAAGCAATCCTTCTGCCTCAGCCCCCCAAGTAGCTGGGACTACAGGCACAGACCACCACACCCAGCTAATTTTTTTGTATTTTTTGTAGAGACGTGGTTTCACCATGTTGCCCACACTGGTCTTGAACTCCTGAGTTCAAGCCATCCACCTGCCTTGGCCTCCCAAGTGCTGAGATTACAGGCATGAGCCACCACACCTGGCCCTGTTCGATTTTTTAATGATTCTTTGAGTTTTTACATGCAAACAAAACCTAGTTGACACTTTGGGAGGCTGAGGCGGGAGGATCCCTTGAGCCCAGGAGGTTGAGACTGCAATGAGCTATGATTGCACCACTGCACTCCAGCCTGGGTGACAGAGTGAAAGAGTGAGACCTTGTCTTAAAACAAAAACGAAACAAAACAAAAGCTAGTTAAATATTGTAAGGTTTTCTTGCCACAAAAACCCAAAACAAAACTTTTTTAAATATAAAAAGGGAAGTTTTTGCAGGCTGCTCAGTGCGTGGCTAAGAAGAATGACATGTATTTTATTATTAATCTTTTCTTTTTTATTTTTATTTTTTGAGATGGAGTCTCACTCTGTCGCCCAGGCTGGAGTGCAGTGGCGTGATCTTGGCTCATTGCAAGATCCACCTCCCAGGTTCACGCCATTCTCCTGCCTCCGCCTTCCGAGTAGCTGGGACTACAGGCACCTGCCACCGCGCCCAGCTAATTTTTTTGTGTTTTTAGTAGAGACGGGGTTTCACTGTGTTAGCCAGGATGGTCTCGTTCTCCTGACCTCGTGATCCGCCCGCCTCGGCCTCCCAAAGTGCTGGGATTACAGGCTTGAGCCACCGCACCCGGCCAGTCTTTTCTTTTTTTTCTTGAGAATGACACATATTGGAGGCAGCACTCAGCACCCATTGTTGGGTGCAAACCACTGTCATTCCTCCACTTTGTTTTAATAGGGGTGGCTACACCTGGAGCCAAATGTTTATATGGGTCAAATAAAGCACACACCCAAAGAATGTGTGCTTATCAACAGATTTATTACGAGGCAGCTTTTATGGGTGTGTTTGACATTTCAAATGTTATGCCAATATGGCCAGAAGTCATCAACCTGACATTAAGGTTAGTAGCTTACTTAATAGATAGTGACAATTAAAATTATATTTGAAAAGTCCCTCCCTAAAGAGTTTTGGCATTCTGAATATTACATAGTCCATGGGAATAATAGTGTCACCCAAGAAAACTTGACTTTTCTTCTAAATAGTCTCAAAAGCTGATTGCAGAGAGTAAAAGGGAAGAGAGGTTTTGTTAATAACTCAAACAGGCCAGCTGAAGTCAGTTCTGAGCGATATGAGTGCAAGGGATTTGGAATAATTTGGAGCAAATAATGATAATATATTAAGTAAAAAAAAAGACATGACAAAGAACTTACATCTATGTTCGTAGTTTTTCTTTAAAAAACCAAAGTTCTGCACATGTACGCATTTTAAATCATGGAAGAATAATCCCATTCACAATTCCAGTCCATCCATCTGCTTTTCCTATACCAATCGGCTGCTGAGGTCTAAGGGCTGACAGGTGTAGTGAGGCCTTGGGCCGCCCACCAGCAAGGTTTAAGTGCTTGCCAGTCAGCTCGGGGCCCTGCAGGTGGGCCTGGAAGTTTCCTGGGCCCTGTGAAAGGAGATCTACTCTGGCTTCGTCTCTAAGTGCCTGGGTCTTGGGGGCTCCTGGAAGTCAACTTGCTGGACAGGTAGGCTGATTGGGAGGGGTTATTTGAAAAGTGGGGTTAGTGGTGGTTACCAAGAGAAATGGGAAATGGGTGTCGGGAAGGAGGTCGTTAAATCCACTGTGGGAAGCAGTTATTAATGAGGGTTGGCCTATGAGTATTTAGGGCAGGATCCATTGTTTTTCTTTCATTTCTTTCTTTTTTTTTTTTTTGACATGGAGTCTTGCTCTGTCATCCAGGCTGGAGTGCAGTGGTACAATCTCAGCTCACTGCAATCTCCGCCTCCTGGGTTCAAGTGATTCTCCTGCCTCAACCTCCCGATTAGCTGGGATTACGAGCATGTACCACCATGTCCAGCTAATTTTTGTATTTTTAGTAGAGATAGGGTTTCACCATGTTGGCCAGGTTGGTCTTGAAGCCCCAACCTCAGGTGACCCGCCTGTCTCGGCCTCCCAAAGTGCTGGGATTACAGGTGTGAGCCACCAGATCCATTGTTTTTCAAGTTTTAAAGAAAATCCCTGTGAATACTTCCAGCCGAAGACCAGCAGGAACACACCTGCAGTTAAGCAAGTTGGGTTTATTGCTCATTTCGGAGAAGGAAAACCTTGCACCATGGAAACCTGGGGCATTTCGGAAAGAAAGTGCTCTAAGGGCCTTATTACAGGATTTGCACTTCTGGCTGGTGATTTGGAGGTGGGTTTATGGAAGTGGAGATTTGCTCAGGGTTAGATGTTGCTGTTGGAAGCAAGGATAATTCTATGATTGGATATTTTACTAAAGCTTAATTATAGGAAGGGTAGATGAGAGTGAGGCTACAGCTGCAATTGGTAAAGAAGTAGCCATCCCTCATACCGGCTGGGAGAAGTCGGGGCAATGGTTGGTATTTGTGGCTTCGAAAATGTTCAGGTTTTGTCTGTGTTCAAACACCATACCCAGGTGGTCTTGATTTTTGTCTTGATCTGTCACCATCGTGGACATCCTTGTCTGATGTAGACGCTGTGTGAAATTGTGTGCGCTCACCAGCAGAACAGCAACACACAGCCGAGGGTGTCAGGGCTGCCTTCCTCTGTCTCACATGCAATTATGACTAATTTTGTCAGGCCAACTCCACTTGCAGAGTAACAAACCCAGTTTTTATCTACTCAGCCAAATCCTTAGCATCTTGGTAGCTTTGCTTATTCTCTGGTCTTTTTGTCTCTTCCTCTCTTGCTTCTTTTCTTTCTTCCTTCCAACAAACGATGTAGAAGTCAGTATCTTAATGATCACATACTTTTAATCAAGATTCATAGAACAGTCAGATGACAGCAAGAAAGGAGATCGAGATGAGTGTATTAGTCTGTTCTCACCCTGCTGTAAAGACATGACTGAGACTGGGTAATTTGTAAAGAGTTTTAATTGGCTCACAGTTCTGCATGGCTGGAGAGGCCTCAGGAAACTTACAATCATGGTGAGAGGCAAAGGGGAAGCAAGGCATGTCTTCACGTGGTGTCAGGAGAGACAGAGCAAAGATCTGGTTGTTTAAAAGTGTGTAACACCCTCCCCCACTCCACTTCGCTCTCTCTCTCCCCACTCACTGTCACGAGAACAGCAAGGGGGAAATCTGCTTCCATGATCCAATCACCTCCCACCAGGTCCCTCCCCCAACACTGGGCATTACAATTCAACATGAGATTTGGATGGGGACACAGAGCCAAACCATATCAACAAGCACACACAAATATGCAAAATGGGCCAGGCGTGGTGGCTCATGCCTGTAATCTCAGCACTTTGGGAGGCCGAGGCGGGCTGATCACTTGAGATCAGGAGTTTGAGAACAGCCTGACCAACATGGCAAACCCCATCTCTACTAAAAATACAAAAAAATTAGCCAGGCATGGTGGCACATGCCTGTAGTCCCAGCTACTCGGGAGGCTGAGGCAGGAGAATTGCTCAAACCCGGGAGGCAGAGGTTGCAGTGAGCAGAGATTGTGCTACTGCACTCCAGCCTGGGCAACAGAGAGAGACTCCCATCTGAAAAAACAAAACAAAACTCGAAATGATGCCTTATGTCTGCTATGGTACATGTATATATCTGTAAATACATAGAGAATGTTCTGGAAGGACACACCAAACCGATAACTCGTTACCTTAGAGCAGCAGGAAGACCAAGGTTGGCAGTGATGCTCAAAGGGAACCTTGCTTTTTTAAAAAATAGACTGTGTTTTAGAGCAGTTTTAGGTTCACTGCAAGTTGAGCAGAAAGGACAGAGTTCCCATAGAGCATATCATTAAAACTATTTTAAATAACAAAGTCAGGCAGATTTCAGCATGGTGGCCCCATTCATCTGAGAACCCCAAACGACAGGCACTTTGTAAATAGTTCATTACCTTTCATCCTTACAGCAACCCTGAACGGGAGGTATTTTCTTCCCACATTTACAAATGAGGAAACTGAGACCTAGTTAAGAGCGTTGCCCAGGGCCATTAGGCTAGTATTTGGCAGAGCTGGAGTCAGAGGCACATGGTCAGATTCCTGAACGAACCCATTCTTCTTTCATTCTGAAAACCTACGTTGGCCTAGGCATGGACCCCTCCTTCCCGGCTCCCGCCCATTGGCTGGGGACCCACCTGTGAATGGACCCTGTGGTGTGCTGGTGACCCACTGGCCACATGGCAGTCTGACACAGCAGATGACCAATGCCTCTTGTGCTTAGAGGAGCTTTGTTGGGGCTTCCTGTATGTGGTTTCCAGGCCCCACAAATTTGAGCAGCTCCTGGAAGCCCACCCTTCACCGCTTATATCACTCACCACCTCTAATCTGCCTACTGTAATGTAAGGCCTCTCCATCTGGATTAGACAATCACAATGTTTGATTTCAGTTATTATTATTTTTTGAAATGGAGTCTTGCTCTGTTGCCCAGGCTGGGGTGCAGTGGGGCAATCTCAGCTCACTGCAATCTCTGCCTCTGGGGTTTAAGCGATCCTCCTGCCTCAGCCTCCCAAGTAGCTGGGACTACGGGCATGCACCACCACATCCGGCTAATTTTTGTATTTTTAGTAGAGATGAGGTATCTCCATGTCGGCCAGGCTGGTCTGGAGCTCCTGACCTCAAGTGATCTACCTGCCTCGGCCTCCCAAAGTGTTGGGATTATAGACATGGGCCACTGCACCCAGCCTGGTTTAAGTTTTAACATTTCCTTAACGATAAAAGCCGTACAAACTTTTTCCTCCCTTGCGTAGGATACTCATTTCTTGTTTCCCTGGTAGTGTAACTGACATGCACACACAGTGGACCTGTGGCTGAGGTCTCAAGCCTCCCGCCTGCTCCTCCCTTTATGCCTTGAATGACCAGTAGTTAAGTTACAGCAAAAACCTGGGGGTAGACTTTGGCAAATGTATCGTGATTTTTATCTCCTGGTTCTAAGATTTCAGAAATGATTGTTTTGAGCTTATGGGATTTTCTTAGGCAATAACAAGAAAGCCTTGGTAATAATTTTGAAAAATCATTTAGCTTTTCCAAGTTGACATTCAAGACACCAGATATAAGCATTTGTTGTTACTGTTCACAGGCAAAGAGAGTACAGGCGTTCTGGAAAAAGGAGTCGGCATTTGCTCCCCAGCATTTGAGGAAGCCAATCCAAAAAAAAAAAAAAAAAAAAAAGCATTTCTTAGTCATTATTGTGGTAAAAACAAAATAAATACAAAGAAAAAAGAATTTAAAAATTAATTATAAAAAGAGCATTTCTATCAAGTGGACCTTAATTAGTGCACAGCACAGACCCGCTTTGTGAATAGCTGCTTTTTTTTTATTGTGGTAAAATATATATAACATAAACATTTATCATTTTAAACATTTTCCCCCATTTTTACCATTTTAAAATGTACAGTTCAGTGGCATTAAGTACATTGATGATGTTGTGCAATCATCACCACTATCCAAATTCAGGACTGTATCTTCCCAAACAGAAACCCCATACCCATTCAATAAGAATGCCCCACCCTCTGCACTGCCCAGCCCTTGGTAACCTCTACTTTCTGTGTTTATGAATTGCCTGTTCTGAGTTCTTTCCTATACCTGGTGAAATCATAATATTTGTCCTTTTGTGTGTAGCTTATTTCACTCAGCATGAGGCCTTGCAGGTGCGTCCATGTGGTAGTGTGTATCAGAACCTCATTCCTTTATGTGGAGGAATCATATTCCATTGCATGGATACACCACATTCTGTTTGTCCATTCATCAGTTGATGGACACTTGAGCTGTTCCCACCTTTTGGCTATTGGGAATAAAGCTGCTGTGAGCATTGGTGGACAAGTATCTGTTTGAGTTGAGTGTCTGTATTCTTTTGTTTTGATCCCTGTCACTAATACAATATGGGGGAAGTGATACCATCTCACTTCTGAGATTGGGTTATAAACACACTGCTGCTTCCAGTTTGCGTGCTCTTTCTCTCATCACCACAGTGGCTAAAAGTTGAAAAGATGAGCAATCTCTTCTCGGCCATTTGGCCAAGATCAAGTGTAAAAAGATTGGCAGTACCACGTTTTGCAGAGAACGTGTAGCAACCAGTGCTCTGAAACATTGCTGGTGACAGGGTAAATGGCACAACTGCTGGGCACAAACTTTTTGGTAATTTCTCAAATTAAACATACACCTATCCAATGACTAAGGAATTGTTGTCAGGTGTAGGCATTAATATACAAATCTTTTTATGAACATAGGTGTCCAGGTTTGCCCATGACAGCCAAAAACTGGAAACGATGCAAATATCTATCATTAAGACAATGAATAAACTGTGTTATATTCGTATGATGGACATACTGACACTAGCAGCAATGTGGATCAATGTCAATAACATTAAGGTGAGCAAAGTAAGCCAGACATAAAACAGGCCATGCCGCACGATTCCAGTTCAGTGAAGTTCAAGAACAGGCAAAACTAAACTATGATGACAAGTCAAGATAGTGGTGTCCTCTGGGTGCTGAAGGGCTGGGGAAAAGGGACTGGGAACCTTTAGGGGTGAGGACAATGTTCTGTATCTTAATATGAGTGTTGGTCACCGAGCTATAATCTTCAGATTTGTGTTTTGTCAACTATACCTCAGTAAAGGACTGTCAGTTGAAAAACATTCTAATAGGAACAATTTTCCCTCTAATCCAAAGGCCAGATATAGATATTCTTTGTTTCCCTTTGAGAAAAGGGGACTGTTTTCTACTCCAATAAGGAATTGGGAGTGATGCAGGTGTTCCCTAGTACTGAACCCCAGTTCTCATGGGGCCCAGGTGTCATCTGCCCGGGTTACTGCAGAGACTGGCCGCCTCTCGGCAAAGCAGCAGTGTCTGCTCACACACATCACTCAGTCCCCTTTCTTTCTTGTTAGCTCATAGTTCACAACTATGCTGATTATACTGTATCCAGCACCTTCAGGGGTTTGCAGCAGGGAGGTCTGCAAGTTATTATATCTTGGTCACCAGACTGCAGAACCAGAAGTCTACTGTATTACCCTAAAGTTTTAAAAGCCAGTAATCGAAACAGGAAATGTAGAGCATTTCCAATGTGCCAGGTGGTGTTTTAAATGCTTTTCTTATTTTTATTTTATTATTTATTTATTTATTTTTGAGACAGAGTCTCGCTTCGTCACTCAGGCTGGACTGCAGTGGCATAATCTCAGCTCACTGCAACCTCTGCCTTCTGGGTTCAGGTGATTCTCCTGCCTCAGCCTCCTGGATTACAGGCATGTGCCACCACACCTGGCTACTTTTTTTGTTATGTTTAATAGCGACGGGTTTCACCATGTTGGCCGGGCTGATCTTGAACTCCTGACCTCAAGTGATCCTCACACCTCAGCCTCCCAAAATGCTGGGATTACAGGTGTGAGCCACTGCACCCAGCCTTTAAAATGTTTTTATAGGAACTTAATCTTCCCAGCAACTGCAGGTGGTAGGTGCTACAATCATCCCCATGTTACTGTTGAAGAAACTGAAGCTGAAGTTAAGATAACTTGCTCAAGGTCATAAAATGACAGGGCCAAAATTTGGACCCAGCAGTCTGGCTCTGAAATCCACACTCCTATCTGCTGCACTAGATTATCTGTAAAAAAACAAAGAAAGAAAGAAAGCACAGAAAAATAATGACAACTGGACAGATACATGTTCCGTTATTAAACATGGCTCTCTCAGAGACATGGAAAAGGAAAATAAGGGCTTTCACATTGTAATTTAAAATTTCCTCATTGTTTGTTTTCCCAACATACTTATGTAATTTTTTTTTGTTTTTTTGTTTTTGTTTTTTTTTTAGATGGAGTCTTACTCTATCGCCCAGGCTGGAGTGCAATGGCGCGATCTCGGCTCACTGCAACCTCCACCTCCCAGGTTCAAGCAATTCCCCTGCCTCAGTCTCCCGAGTAGCTGGGATTACAGGTGCCCGCCACTACGTCTGGCTAATTTTTTTGTATTTTTAGTAGTATTTCACAACGTTGGCTAGAACTGGTCTCAAACTCCTGACCTCAGGCTATCCGCCCACCTCAGCCTCCCACAGTGTTGGGATTAAAGGCATGAGCCACTGGGCCTTGCCTACTTATGTAATTTTTAAAAATTACATGTCTTGGTAAGGTTAGAAGTGGCATATTAGTGTTATGGAACTACAGATGATTATTCTGTTATTTTTTCGGTCGTATTTAATATTAATTAAATAATAACATTAAAATAATTTTAAAAAATAAATAATACTTTAACAATAGGACAGCCTGGGCAACATGGTGAAACCCTGTCTCTACAAAAAAGAAAGAAAGAAAAGAAAAGAAATTAGGTGGGCATGGTGATGCACACCTGTAGTCCCAGCCACTCAAGAGGATGAGGTGGGAGGATCACCTGAGCCCACGAAGTTGGAGGCTGCAGTGAGCCGTGACTGTGCCACCGCACTCCAGCCTGGGCAACAGAGTGAGACCGTATCACAAACAAACAAAAAAAAAGGAGGAAAGCACATTAAAAAAAAAAAAAAAAGGCACATTTAAAACTCACCCGAGCCCAGGGAATTCAAGGCTACGGTGAGTCGTGATTGTGACATTTAAAACTCACCCGAGCCCAGGGAATTCAAGGCTACGGTGAGTCGTGATTGTGCCACTGCACTCCAGCCTGGGCAACAGAGTGAGAGCCTATCTCAAAAAACAAAAAATAGGAGAAAACACATTTAAAAAGAATTTGCCTTGTTTTGACAATAGCTTTTGTCAAGCTACTTCAAATGGTTTGATAGAAATCTTAGAGCAGAAATCTCAGCTTTTTTATAATAAACTTCCATCTTTCTCAAATCTTATAATGGGAGTTTACTGAAGAACTAAAACGCATTGTCCAAAGACAGACTGTGTGGTCCTTCGCAGGTCTCTGGCCACTTCTGGCCCTGGGAACGTAGAGCAGCTTCTGCATCTCCCGGACTCACCTCGGAGTAGGCTCTGTGGGAGGCACCGCCCGATGCATCGTCATGGGCCTTGTGAAATACACCAGGTAACCTAAAGAAGGAGGTATCACGTGAGCCATCAGTGTCAACAAGCTGGCCGTGGGAAATCCTGAGGCAGGACTGGCCAGTCTTTCTTCTATCTCTGTACACCTGAGGGTAAGACACATTTTCATAAGCTGCAAGACTCCTGACTGCAGTCACCCTTACCAGGAACAAAGGTCAGCGCTCCAGGGTCCAGGAGAGAGGATGTATGTGGACTGGGCAGAGTCATCAGCGGGACTCTAAGCCTCCCTACCAGGGGACTGACCCCTGCTAAGAATCAGGGCTCTGAGTAAAGACTGAAATCCAAGCTCATCAGAATGAAGAAAGTTAAGACCCCCATTCTGGTGCACCCCCTTAGGATAAGTCCACAGACACCGACTGGGCCTCAGACCCTGCCACACTACTATGAAAGTCTCCTTTGAGTTCTCCGGAGTAAAAGCAAACGTTTTCTGATGAAGATGTTTATACAGAATCTATGACATTCTTAGCTGCTCCCTCTCAAAATCTAGAATCAGAGAACCAAAGAGACCCACCTGCTCTACAGAACCTGGCCCCAGAAGTCCTAGGAAAGGGAATGTTGGCGTCCTGGTACGACCCGTAGGCCGCGGTCACCCGTGCAAATGTCAGTAAGGGGGTGTGACAGAGTTGGGGAGCACAAACCGGTTGCTGGAAGCGCTGTCTTCCTGGTTCTGAAATTTAAAAATCCACAAACTAGGCTGGGTGCAATGGCTCACGCCTGTAATCCCAGCACTTTGGGAGGCCAAGGCGGGTGGATCACCTGAGGTCAGGAGTTCAAGAACAGCCTGGCCACCATGGCGAAATGCCGTCTCTGCTAAAAATACAAAAATTAGGCGAGCGTGGTGGCAGGTGCCTATAATCCCAGCTACTCGGGAGGCTGAGGCAGGAGAATCACTTGAACCCGGGAGACGGAGCTTGCAGTGAGCCGAGATCACACCACTGTACTCCAGCCTGGGTGACAGAGCAAGACTCCGTCTCAAAAAAAAAAAATCCACAATCTGTCTTAAAGCTGAGTTACAAAATAAAGACCCGACATTACAAAACCAGAAAATCCATGATTTTAGGAGAAAGAAATAAAACAAAACACCAAAGCATAAGTTGGTACGACAGTTTCCTGCTTCCCACCGCAAAGGACTCAAGGCAGGAGACGAGCTGGCACAGGCAGGGCTCCAGGCAGCTCTGGCCACGCTTCACTTTCTGCAGGGCTGTGTCCTCACATGCCCCCAGGTTTCTAGAGGAATCACTGGGTAGATTCAAACGGTCTGTAAACAGATTGGAAAAATAGCATTTTTTTCAGTGAATTCTAATTTAAATTTTCATTTATTTCAATTATGAAGGCATGCAAACTTACAGATGATGGTGTCTTAATATTCAATTTATTAAGTTATACAGTTAAATCTTAGTTTTTCTTAACCCCCCTTTTAAAAACTTTAAAAATTTTTAACATATGTGCAAAGATAGGCTAATATAGTGAACTCACATACTTCTCCCCCAGCTTCAGAAATTATCAACACCTGCTAATCTTTTTTTTGAGACAAAGTCTCACTCTGTTGTCCAGGCTGGGTTGCAGTGGCATGATTAGCCTCGCAGCTGAGACTGCAGGCACGTGCCAGCATGCCAGGTTTATTTTTAAATTTTTTTGTAGGGATGGGGTCTTACTATGTTGCCCAGGTTGGCCTTGAAATCCTGGGCTCCAGCAATCCTCCCAAAGAGCTGGAATTAGAGGTGTGAGCCACCGTGCCCACCAGCACCAGCTAACCTTGTTTCATCTGTGTTCTCTTCCCCTCCCACCTTGCCACAGGATTGGTTTGAAGCAAATCTCAGGCACTGTATCATTTCATTCATAGTACTTCAGGGTGTATCTTTAAGAGACAGAAATTCTTTTGTAAAACACAACCATGATACTTAAAATTTTTAACAATAACTCCTAAATATTCTATTGGTCTTCAAATTTTCTAATTGTATCATAAATGTTTATTAAGTCCAAATAAAGTCCACACATTAAATTTATTGGTATACCTCTCAAGTCTTCTTTCTTTCTTTTTCTTTCTTTTCTTCCTTTTCTTTTTTCCCTTCCTTCCTTCCTTTCTTTTCTTTCCTTTCCTTCCTTTCTTTCCTTTCTTTCTTCCTTTTCTTCCTTTCTTTCCTCCCTTCTCCTACCCTCCCCTCCCCTCTCTTTTCCTCTCCTCTCCTCTCACGGTGTTGCCCAGGCTGGAGTGCAGTAGAGTGACCTTGGCTCACTGCAACCTCTGCCTCCCGGGTTCAAGCAGTTCTCATGCCTTAGCCTCCTGAGTAGCTGACACTACAGGTGCATGCTACCACACCAGGCTAATTTTTGTAAGTAGAGACAGGGTTTCGCCATATTGGCCAGGCTGGTCTGGAATTCCTGACCTCAAGTGATCTGCCCACCTCACCTTGGCCTCCCAACGTGCTGGGATTATAGGGGTGAGCCTCTGTGCCTGGCCCAAGTCTCTTTTAATCTAAAGAATCTATAGATTTTTCTCCCTCTTTCATTCCTGCAATTTATTTGTCAAAGAACAAATAGGATTTTTTTTTCTTTCAGTGAGCAAATAAACTATTGTTTCCTTGCAATTTATTTTTTGAAGAACATTTGTCCTGCGGAGTTTTCTACATTTTAGACTTTTCTGGCTGTGTCTCTATGTATTTCCTGTGAACTGGTGTTTAGATTTAGAGTACGTTTTCCAGATAAAATTCAGGCTGCCCAGCTAAATTTGAATTTCAGCTAAACAATGAATAATTTTATTAGTGTAAGTGTGCCCCCTGTAATATTTGGGCATCCTGTATTTTTTTCCTTTGAGACAGGATCTCACTTTGTCACCCAGGCTGCAGTGCAGTGATGCAATCTCGGCTCACTGCAGCCTCAACCTCCTGAGCTCAAGTGATCCTCCCACTTCAGCCTCCCAGGTAGCTGGGATTACAGGTGCATGCCACTATGCTTGGCTAATTTTTGTATTTTTTGTAGAGACAGGGGTTTTGCCTGTTGCCCAGGCTGGTCTTGAACTCCTAAGCTCAAGCAATATGCCCACCTTATCCTCCCAAAGTGCTGGGATTATAGGCGTGAGCCCCTGCGCTTAGCCCCTGTATTTTTTTTTAATCATTCTGCATTTTTATTTGCTAAATTTGACAACTTTAAGCTAGAGAAGTGATCACACTCAGGAGTGGTTTTTTGGCAGGACTGTGTTCTAGGTGGTATTGTGTACTTCCAGCAGGAGACGAATGTCTGGCTGTTCCTCTTTTTGTGATGTGATGTGATGTGAAGATGAATGGATTCAGGTTTTATTAATATCAGCCAGATAGGCCGGGTGCACTGGCTTATGCCTGTAATCCCCGCACTTTGGGAGGCCGAGGCGGGTGGATCCCTTGAGATCAGGAGTTCGACACCAGCCTGACCAACATGGTGAAACCCTGTCTCTACTAAAAATACAAAAATTAGCTAGGTGTGGTGGTGCATGTCTGTAATTCCAGCTACTTGGGAGGCTGAGGCAGGAGAATTGCTTGAACCCAGGAGGCAGAGGCCACAGTGAGCCAAGATTGTGCCACTGCACTCCAGCCTGGGTGACAGAGTGAGACTGTCTCTCAAAAAATTATATATATATATATTTTTTTTCTTTTTTTTTTTTTCAGCCAGATGCATCTGTTGTGAATGTGTCCCCTTGGCTTTCCACCTGATGGTTTTGGCAGCTGATGGTCTAGAATCATTACTTTCTTAGCGTTTGTGGAATGATGATACTTCAAGGCTTTTACTCCTGCACTCATTAGTCTATGTTCTTCTAAAAGAAGAACTTACCCTGCAGTTCACATAGGAAAGTTGAGCTCTTTCTTTAAATCTGAATTTTGCAGGCACCTAAGAGAGAGCCTTACATATTGAAGAATAAAATCTTGATAGGGATTTAGATAAGTCTTATAAGTCAAATATACATTAATCAAAATGTACCTTTAGTAAGATCAAAACCTTAAAGTGTTTCTAGATGTTGAAAATCAAACTTATCTATTTAGAAAGTCAGAACTCTTTAGCATTTAAACGTTGATTGCACGCTTAAATAGCTAGAGCTTCCTGAGGATTACAATTAAAATTGTATGTTAAATTCTCTAGTATGTCAGATCGCCTGAAATGTTTCAAACCACTGAAAACTGAAGAAAGCATATAAAAAGAAACACAATGATGACACAACTTTTCACATCAGGATTGATACAGTTTGTGTTAAAACTTATTTTCTTCGTCACCTATATGCTTATTTATTTTTTTGTGTTTTATTTTTAAAATTTTAAAATTTTTATTTTTGGGGGCCTTGCTATGTTGCCCAGGCTGGTCTCGAACTCCAGAGCTCAAGTGATCTTCCTGCCTCGGCCTCCCAAAGTGTTAGGATTATAGGCGTGAGCCACCATGCCCAGCCTATGCTTATTTCTTATGCCTTTCTAGGATTGCTAATTCATGAATCCACTTAAGCAGAGCTGAGTGAGTGTCTCGAGCTTGTACTGTAAACACCAGTTCACAGGAAGTGTGTAGGGATGCAACCAGAAAGGTCTAGAATATAGAAAAGTCTACAGGACAAATGTTCCTCACAATCCAAGAAATAAATTGCCGGCCGCGATGGCTCACGCCTGTAATCCCAGCACTTTGGGAGGTCGAGGCGGGTGGATCACGAGGTCAGGAGATCGAGACCATCCTGGCTAACACGGCGAAACCCCGTCTCTACTAAAAATACAAAAAATTAGCCGGGCGTGGTGGCGGGCGCCTGTAGTCCCAGATACTCCGGAGGCTGAGGCAGGAGAATGGCGTGAACCCAGGGGGCGGAGCCTGCCGTGAGCCGAGATAGCGCCACTGCACTCCAGCCTGGGCGTCAGAGCGAGACTCCATCTCAAAAAAAAAAAAAAAAAAAAAAAAAAAAAGAAAGAAATTGCAAGGAAACAATAGTTTATTTGCTCATTGAATGAAGAAAACCTGTTCTTTGACAGATAAAGGGTGACTCAGGGCTGCTGGCCAAAGGCAGCGGGAACACAGGAACCTGGGTTCAACAAACTGGAGGCGGACCAGCGTGATCCATTCTCAGTTTGTGTTTCTTGAGGCCACATCTTCAAACTGGAGTTTATTGTAAATTTCTCGACCCAGTGCATCATACATTCCAATGATCTTTCAAACGTCATTCTTACCAATTTTGCTTTTCAGATTTCAGTAGGTGGAATTCAGCAACTCTCCCCCTGCCCCCAACTTGGGTTTCTTCCTGCTGCCTGTTAAGAGTGAGCTGAATCCTGCGCTCTCCTTATGTTGAGGGCATCCATCCATCAGCCGCCATCCTGCAGTGTTGACAAACTGAACTCAGAACTTCTAACAAAACGTGAAGAGTGTCCCCTTGCTCAGTTTCTGATCCCTGTTGGTATTTTTTTCAGGTAAAGAAATAGCCACTGAGAAATGAAGCAGGTGTCTCTCATTCCAAGTTTTCAGTTGAAAGGCCAGGGCTATAATCAGCACTGCTTTTCCACCATCTAACTAGATCAAGAGTAGACAATGTGTGACTTGGCTGCTGTTGGGCATCTGCAGGTGACTGTCTCGTTCATCCTTCAACTGCCTACCTCTACTCTTCTATTTCTTCATATCTCTATAGGTGAAAGATCATGGAAAAAAGTTTACAAAAATACTACAATGAAACAAATTGATTGTGACATCTGTGTACCACAAACGCAATATATATATATACACACATATATATACATATATATACATATATACATATATATACGTATATATACATATATATACATATATACATATATACATACACACACATATATACATATATACATATATACATATATATACATATATATACATATATACATATATATACATATATATACATATATACATATATATACATATATATATACATATATACATATATACATATATATACATATATATATATATACACACACACATATATATTGCTTAATTTGTAAAGTTTGGACTTAATTAAAAAAAATATATATGGCCCAATTCTGTACAGTAGTTAATTTTTAAAAAAAATTTTATTATTAATTTTATGTTATTATTTTATGTTGTTATTTTTGAGACAGGGTCTCACTCTGTTACCCAGGCTGGAGTACAATGGTACAATCTCAGCTCACTGCAACCTCCACCTCCTGGGCTCAAGTGATCTTCCCACTTCAGCCTCCCAAGTAGCTCGGAATATAGACTCATGCTACCATGCTTGGCTAAAAACATTCTAGATGCTTGTTTAAAATGAAAATGCCAGATAGAATTTATATGATGACATTCAAGTTTGGCACATTAATTATATGTATAGGGGTGGCTCTAAAAAGGACTGTTATTTCTCTTCCTGATTGTAATAGCTTTCTTTTTTCTCACAGACTCTGATTTTTTTAAAAAATATTTCATTTGGAAGGCTGTGTGATCTTGGGAGTGGAAAAGTACTTTGTAGTTGGAAACATCCCAAAGGAGTAAAACCTGGCATGCCTTGGCAAGCTCACAGAGAAGAGAGGCCATAAGCACCCATTGTCTCTAACCTTTTCAAATGATACTTATGCAGCTTAGTTTTAAAGGGGTTTTGCAAACTCTCTGAAGTTCCCATGCCGGCTCGCTCTGGCCACAAGATGCCAAGTTGGTAAACAAGAGCTGAGCGAAAAAAATCAGGACCAGAATTAAAATTCTATTTTCTCTTCATTTGTAAAAGCCTTGTTGTACGCAGCTTACAGTAGAAAATCTTCCTCTGGTACGCTTAACGATGCCCCCTGCAAGGCTGATTCCCTATGCACTGGCACCACGTTAGCCCACTGCATTTCAGCTGCAATTTCTACTACTTGGGTGAGTCCAGTGAGACAGAACAGTCACACAACTTACAAAACAACTTTTTTTTTTTTTTTTTTGAGATGGAGTCTCAATCTGTCACTTATGCTGGAGTGCAGTGGCATGATCTTAGCTCACTGCAACCTCTGCCTCCCGGGTTCAAGCGATTCTCTTGCCTCAGCCTCCCGAGTAGCTGAGATTACAGCCACCTGCCACCACCCTGCCACCTGGCTAATTTTTATATTTTTAGTAGAGACTGGGTTTTGCCATGTTGGCCAGGCTGGTCTCAAACTCCTGACCTCAAGTGATCCGCCCGCCTCAGCCTCCCAAAGTGCTGGGATTATAGGCATGAGCCACTGTACCCAGCCACAAAGCAACTTTATTATTCACAGATAGGCAGCAAAGGATGGCAGAAGCGTAGGATTCATGGAGAGCCAGTCCCCCGAGGCTCAGGAGAGCTTCCTGGGGTGGATGGAACCCACTTGCGCCACAGCTGAGGGACCCTGGAAACGAGGCTGTCCTGGGTTTTATACCTCGGGAGTCATGAGACTTGCTGGGCTAAGGAGTGAAGGGCATCCTTTTCTAGGAGGGACAGAAAAAGAGCCTGGGCTGTTCTACTGGTTCCTTTTTATCTGAAGGTATTGCATTCTCAGCACATTCTACAATCGTTCTTGAGAACTGGAAGTGAGAAAGAGGGAGGAACTGAATTGGTCCAAGGCCACCTGGACAACAGTCATGCACCCCTCTTCACCCAAAGATACTCACAGCCTCATCCCAGCAACCTGTGAATTCATGTCACCTTACATGGTAGGAAAGGCTTTGCAGATGCAATTAAATTAAGGATCTTAAAATGGAGGTTATCCTGGATTAAGTGAGTGGGACCAGTGTAATCATAAGAGTCCTTCTAAGAAGGAGGCAGGAGGCCAGGTGCAGTGGCTCATGCCTATAATCCCAGCACTTTGGGAGGCCAAGGTGGGCAGATCACCTGAGGTCAGGAGTTCCAGACCAGCCTGGTCAACATTTGAGACCCTGTCTCTACTAAAAAATTATTAGTTTTTGAGACAGGATCTCACTTTGTCGCCAGATTAGCCAGGCGTGGTGGCATGCACCTGTAGTCCCAGCTACTCGGGAGGCTGAGGCAGGAGAATCACTTGAACCCGGGAGGCAGAGGTTGCAGTGAGCCAAGATCATGCCACTGCACTCCAGCCTGGGTGACAGAGCGAGACTCTGTCTCAAAAGGAGGCAGGAGGATCAGAGCAGAGAGGAGATAGGAAGGTGGAATCGATGTTGGAGTGATGTGCTTGGAAGGTGGAGGAAGGGGCCATAGGTCAAGAAACGTGGGTGGCCTCTAGACGTTGGAACAGGCAAAAAAACAAATTCTCCCCGAGAGCCTCTGGAAGAAAAGCAGCTCTGCTGAGTTTAGCCCCAGAGACCCACTTTGGACTTCTGAGATAAACAAATTTGTGTTGTGTTAAGCCAAAAAAACAAAACAAAAGGCACTGTAGCTTTTTCCTCTGGCCCAGAAAATACAGCATAAAGTCAATGAGGCAAAGAACAAGACAGCAAGAAAGTCTAGACTCCACAGAGGGTAAATGGCCTGTTTTGCCGGGCGCAGTGGCCCATGCCTGTAATCCCAGCACTTTGGGAGGCCAAGGTGGGAGGATCAGTTGAGCCTGAGAGTTCAAGACCAGCCCAGGCAACAAAGTGAGACAAAAATGAAAAAAGTCAAATGGGTATGATGGCACATGCCTGTAGTCCCAGCTACTGGGAAGGCTGAGGTGGGAGGATCACTTGAGCCTAGGAGTTTGAGGCTGCAGTGAGCTATGACTGTGCCACTGCATTCCAGCCTGGGTGACAGAGAGAGACCCTGTCTCTAAAAATAAAAACAAACAAAATTACATTAAGTTAAATTTAATTTAATTTAAAATTCAGTTTCTCAGTCACAGAAGGCACATTTCAAGTGCTTAATTATCAGTGTCAGCTGGGCACAGTGCTGCATGCCTATAATCACAGCACTTTGGGAGGCTGAGGCAGGAGGATCACTTGAGCTCAGGAGTTTGAGCAAGATCAGCCGAGGCATCGTGGCAAAACCTCATTTCTACAAAAAAAAAAAATACAAAAAAATTTGTCAGATATGGTGGCGTGTACCTGTAGTCCTAGCTACTTGGGAGGCTGAGGTGGGAGGATCACTTGAGCCCTGGAGGTCGAGGTTGCAGTGAGCCGTGATTGCACCACTGCACTCTAGCGTGGGCGACAAAGTGAGATCCTGTCTCAAAAACTAATAATAATAATCAGTGGCTACCATATCTGGAGAGTACACATATAAAATATTTCCAAATAGTCTACTGGAAAGTTCTACTGGACGGTGCTGCTTTGGAGAACAAAACCAAGATGTGAAGTGATTCTGACTTAGTAGAGATCATAAAATAAGCCAGTGGAAATGAAGAAAAACATTTTCCCTAAACAATCCCAGAATATTAGATAATGGCTGGGTGGTGGAGGGCCATTGGGGAGGGGGGCAATATTCTTCAACTTCAGCTCGTTTCTTTGGACGTCCATATTTGGGTATGTGCCTGCCATTCCAGGTCCTCCCCTGACATCCTGATTCTTGAAGGCTCCTTCTGCACAGCTTCCTTCTACTGCAGAATGTAGACGCTCCCAGCTTTTTTTTTTTTTTTTTTTTTTTTTTTTTTTTTTGTGAGACAGAGTCTTGCTCTGTCACCCAGGTTGGAATGCAGTGGTGTGATCGCAGCTCACTGGAGCCTCGAACTCCTGGACTCAAGTGATCCTACTCCCTCAGGCTCCCCAGTAGCTGGAACTACAAACATGTGTTACCATACCCAAATAACTCTTTTTTTTTTTTTTTTTTTTTTTTTTGAGACAGAGTTTCATTCTGTCTCCCAGGCTGGAGTGCAGTGGTGCGATCTTGGCTCACTGCAAGCTCCGCCTCCCGGGTTCACGCCATTCTCCTGCCTCAGCCTCGCGAGTAGCTGGGACTAGAGGCGCCCGCCACCACGCCCGGCTAATTTTTTTTTTTTTTTTTGTATTTTTAGTAGAGATGGGGTTTCACTGTGTTCAACAGGATGGTCTCGATCTCCTGACCTTGTGATCCTCCCTCCTTGGCCTCCCAAAGTGCTGGGATTACAGGCGTGAGCCACCATGTCTGGCCCCAAATAACTTTTTAAACATTTTTTGTAGAGATGAGGACTCAGGATATTGCCCAGGCTCCGACTTTGTTTTTGAAGTTGCCCAACCTTCTGAGAATCTGATGCAAGTATCATGACCAGCTACTGCTGCACCCACTCCACTTTCTGAATTAAACAAGGAACTGGGAAGAAATCTGGAAGAGATGACTGCAGTTATGCCTCGCTTTCAGGCAGAGTCACTTATCCACTTCCAAAGGCAAATCAAGTTCAAATGAATCTGTTTTCTAGGAAAATGTGAGTAGATAGAGCCCCAGGGCCTCAGTTTTGTGTGAGTGAACAAAAGACCTTTCAGCATGGCTGGGTGCAGTGGCTCACGCCTATAATCCCAGCACTTTGGGAGGCTGAGACAGGCTGATGGCTTGAAGTCAGAAGTTCGAGACCAGCTTGGCCAACATGGTGAAACCTCATCTCTACTAAAAATACAAAAATGAGGGAGGCCGAGGTGGGTGGACCACAAGGTCAGGAGATCGAGACCATCCTGGCTAACACAGTGAAACCCCATCTCTACTAAAAATGCAAAAAATTAGCCGGGTATGGTGGCACGTGCCTGTAGTCCCAGCTACTCGGAAGGAAGACTGAGGCAGGAAAATCGCTTGAACGCGGTAGGTGGAGGTTGCAGTGAGCCGAGATCATGCCACTGCACTCCAGCCTGGGCAACAGAGCGAGACTTTGTCTTAAAAAAAAAAAAAAAAGAAAAAAAAAAAATTAGCTGGGCATGGTGGTGGGTACCTGTAATCCCAGCTACTCAGGAGGCTAAGGTGGGAGAATCACTTGAACACAGGATGCGGACTGGGACGTGGAGGTTGCAGTGAGCCAAGATCAAGCCACTGCACTCCAGCCTGGGCAACAGAGCAAGACTCTGTCTCAAAAAACAAAAACAAAAAAAACTATAGATTTTCAGCGAAAATCTATAGCATGCCCATAGCTCTCTGAGGTACCCATCATTGCTAACATTGATTGGGGTGATCCAGTGTATCAGGCATGATGCTGTCTGCTTGCCATACTTCATTTCATTATAGCCTCTGAAGGCATTACTATTATTAACTTCTCTTTACAAGTGAGAAGGTAACTAGAGGTTAAATGCCTTTTCAAGCTCACACAGCTTACACCTCACAGAACCAAGATTTATCTCCTGCTCATCTGACTCCGGGGAGCTTTGTCTTGATCATGTCTCTAGCACAGCGTTTATTATTCTGTGTTGGGTTTGGTTTATTTACTGTCTTTCTCTCCTTCAAGATGGGGCACTTTTCAAGGACAAGGTCAGTGCCATGCTTATTGAAATGTGTCATTGTTGTTTTTGGTTGCCAAGCCTCCAAACTTCCCTTCCTATCTATCTATCTATCTATCTATCTATCTATCTATCTATCTATCTAATCTATCTATATTTTTTTGAGACAGGATCTCACTCTGTCACCGAGGCTGGAACGCAGTGGCACAATCATGGCTCACTGTAGCCTCCATCTTCCTGGGCCCAAGTGATCCTCCTACCTTAGCCTCTGGAGTAGCTGGGGCTGCAGGTGCATGCCACCACGCTCAGCTAATTTTTGTATTTTTTTGTAGAGATTTTTTTTGTAGAGATTCTCGTTCTGTTGCTAAGGCTGGTCTGGTCTTGAACTCCTGGGCTCAAGCGATCCGCTTGCCTCCCAAAGTGCTGGGATTACAGGCACGAGTCACCGCGCCCAGCCTCCCTTCCTAAATTTGAGCTCCCCCACCACTGTATGTTTTCCCTCCCACCTTTGAAGTATGAAAGGATAAGAAACACCCTTTCCCTGTCTCAAGTGACCAGGGCGTGGACATGGGTCCTGGCTTGGCCAATCACTTTCTCCTTCCTGGGGCACAGAATCTTGAACAAGTGGCACAAAGACAAACAGTTGGGCATCATTCACAGGGATGGTGGTGTCCAGCAGAGGTACCCTGTGGTGGCATTGGTAGTAGCATCCTGACCAAATGGCTTCTGCTGAAAAATAGTGGTTATCTTCCTGTTCCCTAGTCCTCTGCCGCAGTCCTGTTTCCTGATCATTTTCCAAGCCCTTGACGCCCATCTGCTTCTTCCAGAATATTCCCTTTCTGTGTAGAGTTGTTTTCTGCGGCTTGAGGCCAAGAGTTATGACTAACATAGTCATCTTTGCATACCCAAAGCGTGGGGTGGTGCATTAGTAAATGTTTGTTGAAGGAACAAATAAATGAAAACTTTTAAGCGGTCAACATACCTTTTATAGAAGGAAAGACTAAAAGTGGGAAATAGGAGGAAAATCAATATGTTAGAATTGTAGAAAGTGGGGTGGAGAGGAAGTTTCCCATTAAATTTTTCTCCTTTTCACTTGCTAGGTGTGCTTGTAAGAAGCTCTGATAGGCAAGGCAGTGGTGGCTCACAGCTGTAATCCCAGCACTTTGGGAGGCCGAGGCAGACAGATCTCTTGAGCCCAGGAGTTTGAGACCAGCCTGGGCAATGTGGCGAAACTCCTTCTGTACAAAAACAAACAAACAAACAAAAAAAACATTAATTAGCCCGGTGTGGTAGTGTGTGCCTGTGGTCCCAGCTACTCAGGAGGCTGAGGTGGGAGGATCACTTGAGCCCAGGGATTTAAGGCTACAGTGAGCCATGATTGCACCACTGCACTCCAGCCTGGGCAATAGAGTGACACCCTGTCTCAAAAAAAAAAAAAAAAAAAATTCAGGGCATGGGAAATGAAATTTCATTCTTAGAAGTGTGATTAAAGAAAGGGATATCCCCCTGTGAAGTGTGAGGTGTAAGCCTTCAACTCTCTCGGGAGCTTCCTATGAATTCCACTGTGAGTCCTTCCACAACTGCTTTTCAAGCATGGTAACCCTCTCCCTGTCCAGGTCGTTAGTTATTCAGCACTCAGGGTGACATGCCTGCAGGAACCTGCCCCATGTGCCTGCTTCTGGCAACAGGGATGAAGAGCAAGGATTAGTGGGGCTCCATCTTTGATGACTCACACCAAGAGATTAAGAAAGGATAAATCCTGGGTCAGGCCATCAGCAAGATGTATTTTATGAAGTTAAGCTTCATTAATTCAGCACTGTGATAATCCAGAGGAAATCCAAGTAGACATTTGACTTCACACAAAATGCAAATCAATAAACGAACAGTGTGAGCAAGAATGCAGGAAAATCATTGAAACTTACACAGAAACAAAAGGTTCACCTCTCTAAAAACATACCACAGTAGCTCATTATAAATTATTCTTATGCATTCAAAGAAGTTGTTCTTCCTTGAATAATTATTTGATGGTCTAAACCAAGCTGGACTTTCTTAGTTTGGTTCTACACACTGTTTGTTTATATTTGCATCAGACCCGAGCTCAGTGGCTCACACCTGTAATTCCAACATTTTGGGAGGCCAAGGTGGGAGGATCGTTTGAGCCCAGGAGTTCAAGACCAACATGGGCAACATGGTGAAACCCCATCTCTATCAAAATTAGCCAGGTGTGGTGGCTCACACCTGTAATCCCAGCACTTTGGGAGGCCGAGGCGGGGAGATCGCTTGAGCCCAAGAGTTGGAGACCAGCCTGGGCAACGTGACAAAACTCCATCTCTACAAAAAATTAGCAAGCCATGGTGGTGTGTCCCTGTAGTCCCAGCTACTTGGAAAGCTGAAGTGGGAGGATCACCCGAGATCAGGAAGTTGAGGCTGCAGTGAGCTGTGATTGTGCCATTGTACTCCAGCCTGGGCAACAGAGCAAGACCCTGTCTCAAAAAATGAAATAAAATAATTTTTAAAATAACATTAAGAAATATGCTTGCATCAGTTGGGGGTCTCTAGAAGACAGGAGATACACTCAAGACTCTGCCTGCTGTTCATTCTCTTGATTAGAGAGAGACACAGAGATAGAGACAACAGAATCCATCGCACTTTTGCCCTTTGAACAGACTCCAAACTCCCTGCCTTAGCTAACAAGGCTGGGTCTGATTTATTAGAATGTTGCGCAAATCTCCTACTTATCTTCTCACGCTGCACGTTCTCTTCCCCAAGATCCTTGGTCTGCTTACTCAAACACATCTCCATTACTGCCTTTGTTTGTGTTAAATAGATATATTCTAATGTGCCATTTCAATTCTTTTGTCACTTCTATATGTTTTGAGTTGGTTGCCCCGGTAATTATAATGAACATCTTATTGGAATCTAGATCTGATTAATACATCTTTATGTCAGTATTACACAAAATCTTTATTCTCCCCTTCCTCCTTTGTGTCATTATTGTCTTACAGATTATATCTTTATAGATTATGTGCACATTAACACTGATTTATAATTTTGCTTTACACAATTGTCTTTTCAGATAAGAGATAGAGTTACAACAAAAACACATTAATACTGCCTTTTATGTTTAAGCAGTTTTCTTTACAAATGCTCTTATTTCTTCAAATGAATTCAAGTTACTACTGTCTAGAGTCTTCATTTCAGGCTAAAGGACTCTCTTAATATTTGTTATAGGGCAGGATTGCTAGTAATGAATCCTTTGAGGTTTTGTTTATCTGAGAACATCTTAATTTCTCCTTCATGTTTAAAAGATAGTTTTGTCAGATATAGAATTCTTAGTTGACAATGTTTTTTCTTTTGTCTGGCCTCTGTGGTTCCTAATGAGAAATCAGCTATTGATATTACAAGGCTCTTGTGAATGTAAAGAGTCAATTTTCTCTTGCTACTTTTGAGATTCTCGCTTTGTCTTTCAACAATCTGATTATGATGTGTCTTGGTGTGGTTCTTTTTCTGTTTATTCTACTTGGAGTTTGTTAGGCTTGGATGTGTAAATTTTAAACTGGGGCGTTTTCGGCTATTATTTCTTCAAAAATTATTTTTAAGACAAGGTCTTACTGTCACCAAGGCCGGTGCCATCTTGGCTCACTGCAACCTTTGCTTCCTGAGCTCAAGCAATCCTCCCACCTCAGCCTTCCAAGTAGCTGGGACCCCAAGTGTGCACTACCACCTCCAGCTAATTTTTGTATTTTTTTTTTAGAGATGGGGTTTTGCCATGTTGCCCAGGCTGCAAATATTCTTTTTGTTCCTTTCTATCCTTTTTTCTGGGTCTTATTATGTGTTTGTTGGGATACTTACGGTGTTCTACAGGTCTCCAAGGCTCTGCTCATTTTTCTTTCCATTCATTTTTCTTGCTTGTCCTCAGGCTGGATAGTCTCAATTGATCTATCTTCAGGTTGTCTGATTCTTTCTTCTGGCTACTCAAATCTGCTGTTGAGCTCCTCTAGTAAATTTTTCATTTCAGTTATTGTGCTTTTCCACTTCAGAAATTATATTTGGTTATTTTTATAATTTTATCTTTTGATAGTATCTATTTTATGAGACATTATTCTCAAACTTTTCTTTAGTTCATTGTAAATGCCTTCATTTATTTGAACATGTTGAAGGAAAATAATTGGAAATCTTTAGTAAGTCCAACATCTGGACTTCCTCAGGGACAATTTCTATTGATTATTTTTCCCTGTGTATGGATTATACTTTTTTGTTTATTTGTGTGTCTCATCTTTAAGTGAAAACTGGATATTTTAAGTAACATAATATGGCAACTCTGGAAATAAGATCTTTCTTCACTCTCCCACCAGATTTTGTTGTTGCTGCTATTCTTGTTAATTTGTTTAATGACATTTCTGAAGTAATTTTATAAAGTCTGTATTCCTTGGTTGTGTTAGCCACTGAAGCTTCTATGTGGTTTGTTTAGTGGTTAACTAGTGATTGGACAGAGACTTCCTTAAATAACTGGAACCAGTAAGTCTTTGTTAAGGGGTTTTGTGTGCATGTTGGAGTGTGCTTTCAATAATCAGTGGAGTGTACAATTGGCAACTCCACCTTAGCCTTCACTTCCCATTTGTGCAGAGCCTCAAAGTCAGCCAGAGGTGACAACCTAGGGATTTCTCATGTCATTCTTGAGCATGGACACAACTCTACACATGCCTGGCCTTCTAGATTCCTGGGAATATATCAGAGCTTATCAAAGCTCTCTGAAAATCTCATTCCCAGGCTTTTCCTCTTAAGCCTTTTTGTTAAGCCTGTTGTTTGACCTGGCTGTTATCCATGATCTCAGGCAGCCATGAAATCAAACAATTGCTTCTAAATGTTATTGACAAATGCACTTGGGGAAAAGGCCCCCCTCTACCCTACCACATGGGGCGAGCTCCAAGTCAGGTGAAATAAAGAAAGCTTTGCAAGTGGTTTTCCGGGGAACAACTAGATAGGTCAAATGATGAGAATTCTCTGGGAAATAGACTTCAAAGGTGCTCCAACCTCAGCCCCTTCTGGTGGCTGCCGGACCACTGGATTTCCTCATGAGTGCAAGCTGTTGGTTTTCAAGGTTACCATGGAGTTGGAGGGAAGGGGTTAAGACTGGAGCAAGTAAAAACACCACAATGCTAGCTGTCCTTACCAAGAGCCATTTTTCTTGAATAAATGCTTCCTGGATTGCTGCAACCATTTGGTTAATTTCTAGAATTCCAAAAAAAAGTTGATCCTGATGATTTTTGCCAGTTTTCTCACTGCCCTATGGAGAACAGAATTTTTGGAAGTTCTGTAGATTCTTAGGCCCCACCTCAAATATACTGAATCAATATTCCAGAGGGTTAGAGTGAAAAATCTGTATTTTTATAAGCATCTAAGTGATTTGTACCAAATCCTAAAATTTGAGAAACTGCTACTTAAAGTCATTGTTTGGTCGCCACATTTAAAAAATCAACCTTACTGAGCCAGCAAAACAACAGAATTTACATGATACCAGAAGTTTTAAGGCCTTTAGAATCTGCAGACAAGGATCATATCACTTTTTTCCTTGCTTTCTCTACCCCTTCCCAAAGCAAACAGAAAACATGCTAATCTTAGGAATCCCATGGCCAGATAGCATAGAAATTGCCACAAGAACTTGGGGTCCTTGCTTTCCCTAAACTGCTTCTGAACGACGCTGCTTGTGGCTAGTTCTATAGCACCCTGCAAGCTACTGGAGAAGGTTGAAGGTAATGCAGTTTGGCACATCTAAGCCAAAAATTCAGAACCATTTAAATCACATTGCAAAACATGGATAGAAGTCGAAACAGCCATTTCCTGTTCTGATCTCTGCTTGAAAAACAACAGCCTGCATAACTGGAAATCATAAATCAAATCAATAGGAAAGTAAATTACAGTCTTTTAACTTCTGAACTAAAAGTGGATAGATGGATGCAATCAAGCCCACACCTGATTTCTTAATAACATTTTAAGCAGCCAGTGATGTGGTGGTGGTGAGAATTCACTTGGCCAAAATGCATGCATATTTAGAGCTAAATCTTTATTAACTCACCCTGAAAGAAGGTACAGATAGGCTTCTATTTCAAAATGCCCTGTAATAGGAACCTGCTTTAGAAGGTGCATGTGGGGCTTTGGGGAAACCATGTGGAGGCGGTTTGTGGGAAAAGTTTCTGCCTAAGGCTTTCTGGCTTGGCTACCTCACTCAGTGGCTATGCAGCTTGGGGCTAGTTTCCTAATATCTCTAATCCTCAGTGTCTTCATGGGGAAAGTGAGTATCATAATGGTGTTTATTTACAGGACTGCTGGGAAGATTAAACACAATACTCCAGTGAATCCTTTAGCGGATCACCTAGGGTGGCAGAAGCACGAGGCAGGCAGAGCAGGCTGATTCTAATCGTTTGTGTCACAAGGATGTGGGTATAAAGGGCTCAGCATGATAACGACTGTATTTTGCAGATGCCCTAAGTCTGTGCTGCTCAATATGGTAGCCACTGAGCACTACAAATGTGGCTTATCTGGATTGAGATGTGCTGTAAGCGTAAAAGGAAACATGCACTGGGTTCTAAAGACTTACTACATTTAGGGCCGGGCACGGTGGCTCATGCCTGTAATCCCAGCACTTTGGGAGGCTGAGGCAGGTGGATCACCTGAGGTCAGGAGTTCGAGACCAGCCTGACCAACATGGCAAAACCCCGTTTCTGCTAAAAAATACAAAAATTAGCCTGGCATGATGGATTTGGCCTGTGATCCCAGCTACTTGGGAGGCTGAGGCAGGAGAATCGCTTGAACTCGGGAGGTGGAGGTTGCAGTGAGCTGAGATCATGTCACTGCACTCCAGCCTGGGCAACAGTGAGACTCCATCTCAAAAAAAAAAAAAAAAGTCTTCATTAAAAAATAAAATCAAATCTCTCACCATGATCTCAGGCAGCTGTGAAATCAAGCAATTGCTTCTAAATGTTATCGACAAATGCACTTGGGGAAAAGGCTCCCCCTACCTTACCCTATAGGGCGAGCTCCAAGTCAGGTGAAATAAGGTTTCTATAGTTTAGTGAAATGTAGTTTCTATATTGATTACATATTGCCTTGATCATATTTGGAGTATGTTGGGTTAAATGAAATATAGTATTAAAATTAATTTCACCTGTTTCTTCTTACCTTTTTAAATGTGGTTACAAGAAAATTTAAGTTTCTATGAGTCGCTTATGTTTTGTGGCTCCCACCTAATTTCTGGTACAATATACTTTATCAGCAGCATAAGAGGCGCCCATTTCCCCACATCCTTGCCAACACTTGTTATTATCTCTCTTTTTATTAGAACTGTGTCCAGGCCGGGTGTTGTGGCTCATGCCTGTAATATCAGCACTCTGGGAGGCTGAGGGTGGGAGGATGGCTTGAGCCTGGGAGGTCAAGGCTGCAGTGAGCCATGTTTGTGGCACTGCACTCCAGCCTGGGTGACAGAGTGAGGCTCTGTTTCAAAAAAAAAAAAAAAAATCCCAAAGAGCTGTGTCCATACCACAAGTTCCCTCATGCTTTTAACTTCCTCACTACATGTCCCTGTGGCACACACACCTTTGGGTGCACGCCACCAGTCCCTTGAGTTAACACAGCTTCCTGTGTCCACAGCACAAACCCTCCCAGGTATACAGAATCTTGCACACCAACCCCACCGGGCACCTCAGGTACACAGGAGCTCTACCTCCCACTACAAGTTGCGTCCAATACACACAGCCTTCTCGTCTAACACAGATGGGGCCTCAGATGCATAGAGCCTCCCTACCCAACCCACACACACCACAATTCCCCTGGACATGAAAAGTCCCCTCAGATGCACATAGTCTTTTTTTTTTTGTTTGGTCTACACCACAAGTTCCTCAGTGTCACAAAACTGCTATGTCCACACCACAAGCCTCTAAGGCATACACAGCCTTTTATCTACACAAGAAGTCTCCTCAGGTGCACACAGCCTTTGTGCCACATCACACACGTCCTCGTGTATAACCTCCTCCTGTGTCTACACTACAAGTCTTGCTGGGAACAAACAGCTTTCTAATCCACTCCACAAGTTGTCTTGAGTCTACATACCTTGGTGTGCACGTCACAACCCCTTGCAGGTATATACCGCCTTCTTGGTCCACATCCAGGGTCCACACCAGAAGTCCCTTCAAGTTCACACAGCCTTGTTTTTTTAAACTCCCAAGTCCCTGGTACTCTCAAGTTATGTAGCCTTCTATGTTCTCTGTCCACATCACAAGTCCCCTCAGGAACACACGATTTTCGGTGTCTGCACCACAAGTCACATCACATATGGATAGCTTTCTTTTTTTTTTTTGACGGAGTCTCTCTCTGTCGCCAGGCTGGAGTGCAGTGGCGCAATCTCGGCTCACTGCACCCTCCGCCTCCTGGGTTCAAGCGATTCTCCTGCCTCAGCCACCCAAGTAGCTGGGATTACAGGTGCGTGCCACCATGCCTGGCTTATTTTTGTATTTTTAGTAGAGACGGGATTTCATGGTGTTGGCCAGGATGGTCTCGATCTCCTGACCTCGTGATCCACCTGCCTCGGCCTCCCAAAGTGCTGGGATTACAGGCATGAGACACTGCGCCCAGGCGAGTCACTTCACATATGGACAGCTTTCTACTTTCACAACCACAAGTCCTTTTAGGGACACACAGCCTCCTACCTCCACTCCAGAAGTTCCCTCAGGGATATAAGGGCACCTCTGCCCGCACCACAAGTCCTCTTGAAACACATGCTGTCTTCTGTGGCCACAGCACAAGTGTCTCCCCTCCGCACACTAACCATCAGTGTCCACACCACCAGTCCCCTAGGTGCTCACAGCCTTCTGTGTCCACACTGTCAGGTCTTCGGGTCACAGGCAAACATCGTATCCACATCACAAGTCTCCTTGCGTCTAACAGCCTTCTGGAAACAAACCACATGTTCCCTCAGAAGCACACAGCCTTCCCTGTCCATACCACTGGTCCCCAAGGTTCACACATCCATACCACAGGTCTTCTTAAGTACACAAAGCTTTTCATGTCCACGCAATAAGTCTTCTCCAGTACATACAGGCCTCCATGTCCACACCACAGGTTTCCTCTTGTACTCCCATCTTCTTGGTCTCAGGCCTCTGAAAGCACTGCCCTAGGCAATCGGTCATCTCACACTTACAAAAATCAGGATGATTCAAGTTCACTGTGCTAGTGCATCAGTCAACACGGGCTTGTATTCTCATCAAGTATATTTTTATTTTTTTCTTTATTTTCTTTATTTATTTTTTTGAGACAGAGTCTCACTCTGTCACCCAGGCTGGAGTAAGGAGTACCCTGGTGCAATCTTGGATCACGGTGACCTACGCCTCCTGGGTTCAAGCAATTCTCGTGCCTCAGCCTCCATAGTAGCTGGGCCTACAGGTGCATGCTAATTTTTTGTATTTTTAGTAGAGACAGGGTTTCACCATGTTGGCCAGGCTGGTCTCGAACTCCTGACCTCAAGTAATCCACCCGCCTTGGCCCCCTAAAGTGCTGGGATTACAGATGTGAGCCATTGTGCCTGGCCTTTATTTTTTTCTTTCTGGACATTTTTTTCCTACATCCAAGCCACTGATTCTCATGGCTTTTTTTTTTTAATATCTGGGGATAATTCAACTATTTGTGAAGTATAAGCTGGCTTATTCAAGCAAACTTCATATGTGATTTATAATCTTAAGTGGAATTGTGAAATTCTTTCCCCAGCTTGCTTGCTTCTTTTTCTTTTCTTTTCCTTTTTTTTTTTTTTTTTTTAGACAGGTTCTCACTCTGTCACCCAGGCTGGAGTGCAGTGCTGCGATCTAAGCTCACTGCAGCTTCTGCCTATGCCTCCCTGGCTTAAGCAATCCTCCCACCTCAGCCTCCCAAGTAGCTGGGATCACAGGCACCTGCTACCATGCCCGGCTAATATTTGTAATATTTTTTATAGAGATAGAGTTTTGCCATGTTGGCCAGGCTGGTCTCGAACACCTGGGCTTGAGTGATCCACCCACCTCAGCCTCCCAGAGTGCTGGGATTACAGGCATGAGCCACCACGCCCAGCCACCTCAGCTTTCTTGAGGTATAACTGACAAATAAAAATTGTATATATTTATTTAAAGTGTACAGCATGATGTTTTGACATTTGTGTACATTGTGACCTGATTACCACGATGAACAGATCTGCCATGTTTGTGTTGGTATCACTTTTCCCCATCACCGCGGACCTGTCAACCCTCTTCGTCAATAGACCCTAAGTCCCATACACCCTCATGGAGAAGAGAAAAGAGAAGCTGGATTAGGATAAACTGGTCTCCTAGACTGAATTTGGATCTGGGACTTTGTCAGTTAACAAAAAGTTACCAATTTTCTCTAGTCAGACAATATTCTTCCAGCTTGGCAGTGAAAGGAGGAGAGATGGTCATGCTGTGTAGTCTTTGGGCAGAGTAAGGTCTGAGGGAGTCATAACAATGGTTAACAGTAAAGCCAGCAGGCCAGGACACATGAGGCTTCCACACCCATATGCTGGGGATTGGGCTGGCTCTAACCTCATCATTTGTGTTCAGGGTTGGACTTGAGAGACCACTGGTCTGGAAGCTTCCCCAGGGTTACAGGCCAGCCACAGAACAAACCCTCTCTCTAATCCTCAACCAAACCCAACCCAAACCTTAAAGCCAGTCTTAGAATAGACTTTTTTCTTAGAATACTCTAGAATAGTGATTCTGCCCAATACCCCTTTCCTATCCCCTCTCCTACTCCTTCTGAGCTTGACTGGCTCCTTGAGGCACATTGCCTGGATGGGTCTCCCTAAAGTGTCTGATGTTGGTAGGATGGAACAAGGGTAAGCAGGTTTCTTCATTGCAGGATTTTTCAGGACCTTTAATAGGTATTTTGACTCTCTAGGAGAAGAATAAAATTGCAGAGTTGCTCAAATTTACTTGGCCATTAAATTTATTTCTCATCAATATCTCAGAGGACTGGTGTTGGACGGGACACTGTTATAGTTTGGGTTTTCCAGAAGCAAGACCTGAAATGGTGATTCTTGTGTACATGATTTTTGAGGGAGGGATCTCTGGAGAAACTTGTATAGGGCAGGGAATAAGCCAAGCAAAGATGCAAGTTCAAGCTAAGTTTAGCCTTAGCCCAACCCCACAGGGACCACTGGAGTATAATAAACTCTACTACAGAGGTTGCCCCTGTACCCCTGCCAAGATAAGGGGGCTGGGCTGTTACATACCCACCTCCATTAGTCATTGGCCACAGGCTGCGCCCTGAAGATGGTGCATAACCTTCAAGGCATCTCCAGACAAGGCGCTCTATCCACCAAGAGCAAGAGAAAGAGGTAGGTGTGAGCAGTGGCAACACCCAGGAGCTAGAGGGCAAGGTGTACCAGCCCAGGAAAGAAAATACGGGCAGGGCACCAGGTCTGCTACCGTCACACTTTGGGAAAGACAGCATGGCACCTCAGTCCTGTCTATGGCTTCTCCCCAAGGCTGCATGAGAATCAGACTACTCTTTGGACAAATATTCATCTGGCTGTTCTCATGTCACATTTTCCTTATCTCTAAGGTAGAGAGAAATTATCTTGGAGATACCTTATCAAGATGAAGAGGATTCAGAGCAATTAGGCAAGAGAATGAAATAAAGGGCATCCAGATTGGAAAGGATAAAGTCAAATTGTCCCTGTTGGCAGACAACGTAATCTTATATATAGAAAAACTTAAAGACTCTACCAAAAGACGCTTAGAACTAATAAATAAATTCTCTAAAGCTGCAGGATACAAAAATCAACACACAAAAACCAGTAGTGTTTCTATACACAAACAACAAACTACCTGAAAAATAAATCAAGAAGTCAATCCCATTTACAGTAGCTACAAAAATTAAAATATTTACGAATAAATTTAACCGAGGGGGTGAAAGACATCTACAAGGGAAACTACAAAACACTGATGAAAGAAATTGAAGAGGATAAAAACAGGCAGAAAGACCTCCCATGCTCATAGATGGAAGAATCAATATTGTTAGAATGACCATACCACTCAAAGCAATCTACAGATTCAGTGCCATTCTTATTAAAATACCAAAGACATTCTTCAATGAAATAGAAAAGAAAATCCTAAAATTTGTATGGAATCACAAAAGACCCCAAATAGCCAAAGCAATCCTGAGCAAAAGGAACAAAGCTGGAGGTATCACACTACCAGACTTCAAAACATACTACAAAGCTATAGTAACCAAAACAGCACAATAGACACAAACTAGTGGAACAGGGAATGCAAAAATTAATCCATGTATCTATAGCCAACTGATTTTTGACAAAGGTGCCAAGATCACTCACTGGGGAAAGGACAATCTCTTCAATAAATAGTGCCAGGAAAACTGGGTATCCATATGCAGAAGAACAAAGCTAGACACTCATCTCTCATGCTATACAAAAATCAACTCAGAGTGGATCAAAGAACTAAAGGTAAGACCCAAAATATAAAACTACTAGAAGAAAACATAGGGGAAATGCTTTAGGACATTAGTCTGCGGAAATATTTTATGAATAAGACCTCAAAAACACAGGCAACAAAAGCAAAAATAAACAAATGGGATTACATCAAACTAAAAAGCTTCTGCATAGCAAAGGAAACAATAGAGTGAAAAGACAACCTACAGAATGGGAGAAGATATTTGCAAACTATTCATCTGACAGGAGATTCATATTCAGAATATACAAGGAATTTAAACATCTCAACAGCAAAAAAACAAAAAACAAATCTGATTTTAAAATGGTGATTTGAACAGATATTTCTCAAAAGAAGACATACAAATGGGCCAACAAATAGATGGAAAAAATGCTCCATGTAACTAATCATCCGGGAAATGCAAATCAAAGCCACAGTGGAGTATCATCTCACCCCAGCTAGAATGGCTGTTATCAAAAAGACAAAAAACAAATGCTGGCAAGGATGTGGGGAAAAGGGAACTCTTATACACTGCTGGTGAAAATGTAAACCAGTAAGCCCGGGCACAGTGGCTCATGCCTGTAATCCCAGCACTTTGGGAGGCCGAAGCGGGCAGATCTCCTGAGGTCAGGCGTTCAAGACCAGCCTGGCCAACATGGTGAAACCCCATCTCTACTAAAAATATAAAAAATTAGGCCTGGTGGCAAGCTCCTGTAATCCCAGCTACTCGGGAGGCTGAGGCCGGAGAATCGCTTGAACCTGGGAGGTGGAGGTTGCAGTGAGCTGAGATCATACCACTGCACTCCAGCCTGGGTGACAGAACGAGACTCCATCTCCAAAAAAAAAAAAAAAAATGTAAACCAGTAAAGCCACTATGGAGACCAGTATGGAGGCTCCTCAAAAAACCACAAGTAGAGCTACCATAAGATCCAGCAATCCCACTACTGGACATTTATCCAAAGGAAAGGAAATCGGTCTATCAAGGAGATCTGCATCCCCATGGTTACTGCAATACTATTCACAATAGCCAAGATATGGAATCAACCTAGGTGTCCATCAACAGATTAATGGATAAAGAAAATGTGGTATGTACACAATGAAATGTTATTCAGCCATAAAAAGAATGAAATCCTGTCATTCGTGGCAACATGGATGGAACTGGAGGACATTACGTTAAGTGAAACAAGCCAGGGATAGAAAGTTAAACACTGCATTTTCTCACTCATGTGGAAGCTAAAAAAAAGTTGATCTCATGGAAGTTGAAAGTAAAACTTTCTACTAGAGGCTGGGAAGGGTGGGGAAAGGGTGGCAAAAGGAGACCTTTGTTAAAGGATACAAAATTACAGCTAGATAGGAGGGAAAGTTCATCAGTTCTCTGAATAAACCACTGTAAGATGACTATAGTTAACAAGAACACGTAGTTTCAAATAGCCAGGAGGATATTGAATATTCACAACACTAATAAAAGATAAATGCTTGAGATGATGGATATGTGGAATATGGAATTATCCTAATCTGATCACCACGTATTATATGTTTGAAACATCACTATGTACCTCATAAATAGGATTATTATGTATTAATTTAAAAAAAGATGAAGGGGAAACTTCATCTTGAGGTTACTAGACTATGAAGTCAGGACCAATGTGTGTATATAGAGTAGAGGAGGTTTCTTAGGGAAATGGGCTTTTCAACAAGACCATGAACTTTTTTGGTTTAGAAGGAACAGGGGGAGGAATAGAAAAACTCTCAGTGCTCCAAAATAGGGACGGAGCAGGGTCTGTTAGAGATAGGGGCTCTCGCTTGAATTTCTTGGGTGTGCTACTTCTGGAAGCAGGGCAGGCAGTAATGCTTGGAGTTCTTGGGGTGGGGGATAAGGAACTAGCGGCTGTGTGGCCCTGGCTATCAGAGAGGACAAGAAGATGTGCACTCAGCTAGGGGCATGGGGCACATTCAGATCAAGATCAAGGGACTCTGGAATCCACGTTTCTGCCCTCAGCGGCTCCACCTTGGGTTCTCGGCAGAGCCCAAGCACCACTAAGTGGCACTAGAGGGAGACTGAAATGCTGGAAGATGGGAGAAGGCAGCAGCTTCATCCTGTTCTGCTCTCCATTCCCGCCAACGTCACCACAGCATCTGTTCTTTACCCTGAGAGTGACACTTTTTTTTTTTTTTTTTTTTTTTTTTGAGTCAGCGTCTGGCTCTGTCGCCCAGGCTGGAGTGCAGTGGCACTGTGTCGGTTATAGCCACCTCCCAGACTCAAGCGATCCTCCCACCTCAGCCTCCCAAGTAGCTGGGATCACAGGCCCAATCTACCACGCCTGGCTAATTTTTGTTTTTGTTTTTTTGTAGAGACAGGGTTTTGCCATGTTGCCCAGGCTGGTCTTGAACTCCTGGACTCAAGCAACCCACCCGCCTCGGCCTCCAACAGTGCTGGGATTAGAGGCATGAGCCATTGTGCCTGGCCCTCTGAGAGTGACACTTTTTATGCTCCCCAAGCCAGCTTCATCACCCCCATCAGAGAAAGCAGCAGCAGCCAGGCAGTGCCCACTCCATAAGGATCTGGGTCCTGGCTCTCAGGACCATCCATCCACCTTCTAAGGCACCAGCACCCGCCTGGCAGTGCCCTCTCCTCGGAAGCCTGAGCTGAGGTTTCCCCCTAGACTCCCCTATCTATTCCTAGGTTCTAATAAACCCACCTCTCCCCCTTGTTCTCCCAGTCCTTGGGGTGGGAGTTACTTCCTGAAGTTACAATGTCTGTCTTTTGTCCTTTCCTCCAGTATTTGTTAATTCTCTCTGTTAAATTCTCTCTGCTAAGATAACTATTGTGGTTGCTGTTTTCCTGAATGGACCATGATTGATATGCTTACTAAACAATTCAAAGCTTCCTGGGGCTCAGTGGGGCCATGGATGGCTTCTGGAGGACCTCAGATCAAATGGGAGAGACTAGGGCAAAGATCATAAGGAAAAAATGGAGAGGGTCAGGCCAGATTTGACTGGCTGGGAGACAGAATCCCATGTGGACTGTGGGAAGCATCTGAAAGGATTACTATCTCTAAAGAGTTATTTTCAGCATCAAATCCTCTACAAGACCCCCAAACTCATCTTGTCCCTCCAGTCCCTTCCTAGGCAGCATCCCTAAAACCCCACCCCTTCGCCTGTGGCAGGACCCTGTCTTGTCCTCATTTCTGCACACTTATGTCACTGTTCATCTCCTCCCACCCTCAGGCCTCACAGGACTTATTTGTGGTCACCATATCAGACTGGGTTAGCTCAGTGTGGGGGCTGCTGGCACTTTGTTCATTGCTGCAACACTACTACCTGGCACATCACCCGGTTACTTCTCTTGGTTTGTCCCTGGGTTGCCACAAAGAACTTTCTCCTTCCAGCAGTTTCCTCATGCATTGCCCCAGGGTTTCTGTAGGCATCCTATCCGGGAATACTGCTTGACCCAGATTTCAAGATCACCTGGAAGGCTCTGGCAGTCTTTTCTTATAATATCCACTTTCATCAGGGTGTCCACCAGACAAATAAGTATTTCCAATTCAGGTGGTAGAAGTGGAAATTGTCATTTAAGATTCTGTTAATCTAGGATTATGTCCTCTTCTTTCTCACAGACAACAGGAACTTCGCTCCTAAGCTCCAGAAGTGATTTTGAAACATCTTTCAGTTATAGGCAGGGCTGAGCTTGTGGATGTGTGACCTGTGTAAATCACACAGGTCCCTGTGGTTGGTTTAATGCTCTGTTGTCCCCATCTTGAAATTCTTAATCATTTTTGAAGAAAAGGTCCTGCAATTTGATTTTGCACTGGGCCCTGCAAATTATGTATCTGATCCTGGATATATGGTGTGTGAAATCCTAGCAAAAGGCTATAGAGAACATTTGCATATTGAACTATGAACACAACTTGCCCCACATACTGTTCGCTCTAAACCCTGGGCTTCTGCTTGGGACAGGAAAATGATGGGAGAGTACAGCTCCCTGGAGCTGGGTCTCTATTAGACATGAGAGTCTCTGGTCCAGGCTCTGGGTAGGACAGCCAGGTCTGTCCCCATCATCTCCAGATTGTAGCATCATTTCTCCCCTACATCCAACTGCATCCTCAACAAGTGTGTGGCAGCCAGGTAGTAACAGGCAGAAGGGACAGAGCACAGGAACCAGGGGCTCATCACGGACAATCAGCATCTGCCTCTTGGCCAATGGCTACTACTTCGAAGTCTAATCGACGTCTTGAATTCACATCACAAAAGCTAAATTCTGGCACTCTCTCCATTTCTCACCACTTCCACTGCGGCCACCCTGGTCAAAGCTGCTGTTGTCTCTTGTGTGGATCATTTGCCATGGCATCCTGACTAGTCTCCCTCTTCCCATGTTTGCCCCCTCCAGTCCATTCTCAGTACAGTAGCCAGGCCATGCTGTTAAAGCAACCATAATTGACTCCTTTGAGGCAAAAAGAAATGCTATTGATAATTACAATGGATAACAGGAGTAAGCCAGTACTGGCCCTGGCAAACCAGAACATGTGATCACCTTGATTAAAACTAAGTCAGATTTCGTTCCTCCTCTGCTCAAAACCCTCTTTTAGTCCATTTTCTGTTGCTGTAACAGAATACCACAGACTGGGTAATCTATAAACAAAAGAAGTTTATTTAGCTCACAATTCTGCAGGCTGGGAATTCCAAGGACGTGGTGCCAGCATCTGGTGAGGGCCTTTTACCTTCATCCTAACATGGCAGAGGGCACCACATGGCAAGAGGGCAAAACGAAGCATGTGCAAGAGAGAGCTCACTTTGATAACAAAGGCATTCCCATGAGTACTCACTCCCCTGATGGTGACAACATGAATGCATTCATGAGAGCAGAATCCTCATTAATCCATTAACCCATTCATGAGGGCACAGTTTCTAACACATGGACTTTTGGGAGACACATTCAAACACCAGCAACTCTATGCCAGGTCCACGTTTCACACGGCATAAAAGCTGAAGTCCTTCTAAGAGGATGATTTTCTAGATCGGGTCTCCAGCTACCTCTCCGACCTCATTTATGCTTCACTCCGCCTCAGCTACACGGCTTCCTTCTGGAAGCATGCCAGGCCTATCCACCAGGGCTGCTGCACCAGCTGTTGCCTCTTCTTAAAGTTATTGTATATTTAAATAATAATGGGGCCGGGCGCGGTGGCTCATGCCTGTAATCCCAGCACTTTGGGAGGCTGAGGCGGATGGATCACCTGGGGTCAGGAGTTCAAGACTAGCCTGGCCAAGATGGTGAAACCCCACCTCTACTAAAAATACACAAATTAGCCGGGCGTGGTGGTGCACGCCTGTAATCCCAGCTACACGGGAGGCTGAGGCATGAGAATCGCTTGAACCTGGGAGGCAGAGGTTGCAGTGAGCTGAGATCGCGCCACTGCACTCCAGCCTGGGCGACACAGTGAAATTCGGTCTCAAAAAAAAAAAAATGATGATAAATAAAAATAATGGGGTGGCAAAATTCATGAGGGTGGTGTTGACTGTGCTCAGAAATCAAAAGCAATGTCCAGCTGGGCATGGTGGCTCACACCCGCAATCCCAGAACTTTCAGAGGCTAATGTGGGAGGATCGCTTGAGGCTGAGTTTGAGACCAGGCTGGGCAACTTAGTGGGACTCCATCTCTGTATAAAAGAAAAAAAGCAAGGCCTCTATATATGACCTGAGTGAATGGCTCCCACCACGCCTCCTCTTCTCAGGGGAAGAGGAAAATGCTCTTCCCCTGAGATCCACATGCCTCCTCCAAGTCTTAGTTTGTGTCACTTTCTTGGGGAGGCTTACCAGTCCCCTCCCAATTGTCCCCCAGGCTGAAATGGGGAAATGGGTATGGAGCGTGGATCTTTAGCTCTGACCTGAATGAGTAGGAGATGCTAGGTGCCGACTCCTTTCTCTGTCTCAGTGTCTGGAAACTGAACAATTGAGCCTGGATGATATCTTAGCCCCCTCCCACTCCCCACTTACCCTACGATCATGCATGCCCCGTGCTGCTCATAGCTCCTGACGGTCAAGGCAGAGAGTGGATACTGAGGAGACCCTGAGCACTAAAGCTGGGGCAAAACAGGAAATGGACAGGGAAGTCTGTTGTGCTGTTTAAATGTCTTCCATCTTGCCTCGATTTTCACTAAGGTGTTTTTTTTTTTTTTTCTTTTTTTTTTCGCCCCATCTGGAAACTGCCAGACACTAAAGGTTTCTTAACCGTGGGCATAGAATTTATGGGGTCCCTGAACTTGCAAAGGAAAATAATTAAATACTTATTCTCACTCACCTTTAAGTGATACTTGGGATTTTCTTCAATTATGAATGCAGGCAGCAAATAAACCATAGTGGTATTAGCAGTGCCAATAGAAATGGAAGGTATGTTCATGTCATATTACAGTCATTACAGTGACCTGGAAAAGTCACTTGTGCTCATTTTTTCCAAATTCCTAGATCTTGTTATTTATTCCCATCTAGTTCACGCATTTAAAAAGGTTATTCTGAGAGGAGCGCCACAGGGTAACCAGTCTGTGTACAAAGTAAGGTTAAGAGTCTCCATTAGGGGTTATTTCATTTCCCTGTGGCTCAAGCAGCTCTGAGATTTGGTTTTGAGGGGGTCTGAGACTGACTTCGCCAAGCCCGGCTCCGGGTGTGCAGGGCCCCTCGGGCAGGGGGCCGCGAGAGGGCAGGCGTGTCCCAGCCTGTTCCAGCAGCTCGGGCTGCAAAGGGCCATGCTGCTCCCGGGGTCAGCGCCGCTCATACTGGGAGCGTACGTCCACCACCTAGTGGTGAAGCGCGGCGCTGCGCTCCGCAGCCTTGGCGAGGCCCAGGCCCAGGCCCAGCCCAGGTGTCACAGCCAGCCCAGGTGTCGCAGACAGCGGGCTGCTGTTCCTGTGCCCTCACTCCGACACCTGCTCCCAGGCCCCCCTAAACGGAGGAACATTGGCAGAGCCCCAAATTTAAATGTCCTCCTTTGCAACTCTCTTCGGGTTCAGGCATACATGGCCAGGATCACTTGGTGGGAACTATTCACCCATGTCATATTTAGGGGCGTTCCTTTTTTTTTTCTTTTATTATAAATGTAGTGATGGAGTCCCGCTGTGTTACCCAGGCTGCTCTCAAACTCCCGGCCTCAAGCGATCCTCCCACCTCAGCCTCTCAAAGTGCTGGGATTGCAGGCCTGAGCCACCACGCCCAGCTTTGATTTCTGAGCACAGTCAACACAACCCTCGTGAATTTTGCCACCCCATTATTATTTAAATATGCAATAACTTTCTTTAAGGAACTCACTTTTTACCTGAAATTAATTCATATAAAATGGAAAGTTTACATCCCTATCGCAAATGGAAAACCCAGTATACTTTGCCACAAATATAAGGTAACTATAAAGACAAATACAACAAAGACAAAACAATTCTGTTACTGCTAATCAGTTCCAGCTAGGCGTAAAGACTTAGTAGCATCAAACAAAGGCTTTCTGTTTGACATGATTGGAATGACTTGGGGGAAAAAACTGAAAAGGGGATGGCTTTTTTAAACTTTGGCATTCAATGTTATTACACGAAGATCATCCCACCATTTGGAGAACACTGAGGGAGATGAGGCTGAGTCCTTGGCAGCTTCTCAGTATTCAATAACCGCACCTTGGGAGGCTGGCAATGCAGGCCAGGCCCTGGGGTAGGTGTTCTGGATGCTGGGAGGGACAGGTTATTCATAGGCTCTACTTTCAATGGGCATTTTGGAGGACTTCTCCTTTCCTCCAAGTGGATCTGGAGATTCTCCTTCCTCAGCTTCAGTGGGGAAGCCACTTGGTGTACCCCCTGCATAAGTGGCAGGTTATTTTTGTAGTTGGGCTCAGGGAAGCTACAGAGCTGGGTGTGGTAGCAGATAGAAGGAGCAAGGCCGTGATCTTGTCTGGGTACTGGGCATCCTGCCCACAAGTTCATTGTGTGGACGACATATTTCCTCAGCAGGCACTTGTCTTGAGGTCTGTGCCAGGATTTGGCCCTCAGGGTTATATGTTGCTCTGTTTAAGACTTACCCATAGGATTTCCAAAGGACAGAAAGAATTTGAATACAGATCTGGTAGCTTAGAGGGCAAGCTAAGATAATAAGTGAGAATGCAAGCATGTGTGTGTGTGTGTTAAGAACTACAGAACACTTCACACATAAGAACTTTGTACAAACCTCTGCACTAAATAATGCAGAGCACCTAAATGAAATACTAGTATGGCTTCTAACAGCATAATGCTGTGTCCCTAGGATGTTACTAGAGATAAAGAAGGACATTTTGTAATATGAGATGGGTCAATCCACAGTCTACACACATGTCAAAACATATTGTACACTATGAATCCCAAATATCTGAGATAGGTCTCAGTTAATTTGGGAAGTTTATTTTGCCAAGGTTGAGGACATGTTCCCATGACACAGCCTCAAGAGATCCTGACATGTGCCCAAGGTGATCAGGGCACAGCTTGGTTTTATACATTTTAGGGAGACATGAGACATCAATCAGTATATGTAAGATAAACATTAGTTCTTCCCAAAAAGGCAGGACAACTCAAAGCAGGGAGGGGGCTTCCAGGTCACAGGTAGGTGAGAGACAAATGGTTGCATTCTTTTGAGTTTCTGATTAGCCTCTCCAAAGGAGGCATTCAGGTATGCATTTATCTCAGTGAGCAGAGGGGTGACTTTGAATAGAGCGGGAGGCAGGTTTGCCCTAAGTAGTTCCCAGCTTGACTTTTCCCTTTAGCTTAGTGATTTTGGGGTCATAAGATTTATTTTCCTTTCACATTTCCCCCCTTTTGTTTCTAAAATCTTTTGGAGAAAGCATTATCGGAAGAAAATGAGTCCCTGGTCTCAGGTTTCATCTGCTGTCTCACAGCTAAGACAGTTTATTCCTAGACAGATAAGTTCCAAGTTATTAGGAAAGCTCATTTTTAGCAGGTTCTGAAGTCTTATGTCCTATGAAGAGAAAATAGGAGAAAGAAGGGAGAAAAACAACAACAAACAAAAGAACAATCCTGCAAAACTGATATAGACCACCTTACTCTGTAGTCCATACATCAGTAGGCAGGTATAAAAGTGGCTTATGTATGTAAAAGGTTGCTGTTATTTTCTTTTGAAGTTTAAGTTGTCTAGTTTCAGTTTGCAGGGCTTTAAGAAAGCATAGCTTAGTTTTCAGTGATTTCAAATTAGGAAAAATGTAGGGAAAAGGAAAAGAAAGAAAAAAATGAAAACATTATTTTGGAGACTTGTAGCCAGGAAAAGTTAGAATTCAGTCCAGTCTGTAGAAAATAATAAAAACAGAAAAACATTAGGCAAGACTAGAATCTAACAACAGGTGTACTTTAGTTTTTGAAACAATTTTTCTCTCTCCAGTTTCCCATTTTTACTAAAAATCATGACAAATCATGGTAGGACCAATTTGCTTTATTATACTTGGCCAAATTATTTGTATAAAGTGCAGCTAGAATAATTATTCTTCACATAGGCTTTTTAAATTGGCTTTGATGGAACTTTGTTCCATAGAAGGAATCTCAGATATGACTTTTTTAAAGCCAAGCCCAGCCATGGATTTGTACCATCAAATACCTATGAGTTGGGTGAATTCCTCTCCCCTTGAGGTCTCAAGATAACTTGGGGTTCCCAGGCCAGTCAGAAAGTGACATTCATTTCTTATCACAGGTCAAGAACCGTGTACAGGGACTGTGTAGATAAGGTATGAGGCCAGTTTTCCCAAGGGGCTTTTATTGGCTCTAAAAGACAACTTTGATTCCTTAAAGGAAAGTAAACCATTCCAGTCAAAACTTGGTAAAATAACCAGTTGCTCCAGTCATGTCCTGTTACAAATGAAAACAGATTCTTATTGCACTTATGCAAATAACTATATAGCCGTAAGTTAAGAATACTTAAAATAGTTTCCAAATTCTGGAGAAATCAGGTGGAGAGAAACAAATATACTCCAAATTTTGTTGGTAGGAGTATACTTAGTTGTTAAAAGCTGTCAATAGCACAAAAGAAAAGTTTCCTTGACTCTGAAAATTGAAAGATCAGTAACATTTTAAGCAAAAAGTCAAAAAGATTACTTCAGTCATCTATTATTTCAGTCTTTGTAGTTAATTCCTGTTCTGCTTGAAATTCATGAACATTTCAGCTCTCCATGAGTCCTGAAAGTTTTTCCTCTATTCTGATGTCACCATCTCCAAAATTATCAGAAACCTCCATTCAGGAGCCCCTATTAGAGTTTTATAGTAGATTATAAAACCACCTTCTAAAGAGAACCAAAACAAGACAACAATTGTCCATGGATGACAAAATGTTTTAGGGCAGCTATAGTCAAAGACACAATTGACAAGGAAATCTGTTACCTCTGTGGCACACAAAAATTTAACATAACAATTATTATTATTACTACTAACTATGTACACTAAGTCATATCAGAATTATAGGAGTTCCCATAATTTTGGAACACATACCAATAACATATTTATACAAATATAGCCCAAAGAAAACCAAACCATTTCATGTTTGACAATGCTTCCTGTATAATTTTTATACCAAATAGGCCAAATATGTCATTTTTGGGCTTTAGGGAACCTAATATCTAAAAAGATTAATTAGGTCATAAAAAGACGTGTAATTTTATTTTGAAAAGTTTGTCAAATATCAAAGGTTTAAAACACTTGATATCACAAAATAGGATCACAGTTCATTGTAAAATAAGTGATTCATTTAACCAAAGTGATAACTCAAGGGTTTTCTAAAAAGGTGACAACCTTCATTCTTTGAGAGAGGAGACTTAATTTTCCAAACAATAAGCCCTAATAAAAATAGCATGAAGCCAATTAAATTTGTTTTTCAAAATTTTTAAACAATCTCTAAAATGTTAATTTTGACCATAACATATAACTTCCATAAGTCTTTTTATAGCCTTTATAACCTTTAATAAGGAGTTGGTTAATACTTCAAGAAAACCTTGTTAATCTGACACAGGGCCTCATGTGCTGGTCTTGCATCAGTATGCCTTTGACATTAATGGTTAATTTATAGAGAAACTGAACTTCCTTTATCTCTCAAAATTGGCCCTTACAATCTCATGCACCTGCCTCTTCTGTGATACTCCCTGGACCTTGAGGAGTTGAATAGCTTTAATTTCTGGCCCTGTGTCTTAGGAATGCAGTTTATTTTGATTGGCATCTTCTATCAGACCTGAATACGAAGCTTTAATTGCTGTCAGTGTTTAAGAGTTAGCAGGATTTGGTGTCCTTTTTAGACCCAGGAGTCAAAGCCCAGCAACTCAATGTTACAAGGACTTTAAAAGCACATACAGAAAAATACATGGAGGTAATAACCTTAATTGAAAAAAATTTTTGATCTGTTTTTTCTAAGCAAACCAAAACTTAATAATAATGGGATAAGAATTATTTGATAAGACATGAAATCTGTTAGGCCAGTTATCAAAAGGCCAAAGAAAAGACCTTCTGCAGTGCACAGAATATTATGTTGGAAGAAAACATTTCCTTTAGGCCTTGTTATGTAAATAAAGAAAGCCTTAAGTAGTCAAAATTAAAAAATCTTTCCCTTTTTTCCCCTTTTGCTGGCCACTTTTCTCCCCCCACCACACCACCTTTTATTGTGGGTGGGGGAATTTAGCCACTTCAAAGGCCTTGTTCCCCATAATTTGGAACTTTCCTTCAGATATGATCAAGTTGGATAGAGTTGGTCAAACCTGATAGGAAAAAGACTGAAACAACAACAAAAGAAACAAAAAAACAAACAAACAACAGAAAAAGTTAAGCGAAACAAACGATTGCACAACTTACATGATTGCTGAGCGCTCTAATGGTAAGGAGAAATTAAGACCAGCTGGTTGTTAATTTTAACTTTAGCCAAGGCAAACCCCAATTCAGTTATTTACGTAGGGATGGGTCTCAGGCCAAAGCCTGCTCTCTACCATCCTAGAAGCAGGAAAAACTCAAACTCGTCTTCCCTGTTGGGAGCGAGTTCAAACTCCATAAAGGAATTACCTGCCGTCCATTGTCATGGAAACAGGAAAAACTTGCCTTCCTTGTGTTAAAAGCAAGTAAAACTCCAAAAAAAAAAAAAAAAAAAAAAGGAGTTGTACAGAAAAATAAAGTTTAGATCTTGACCAAATTTTGGGAGATCAGGGATTCTCTGGAGGAGGTGCTTCTAAGTGGCTGCAGGAGGGAGGCTGGCTGGGGCTGCACACTCCATGGAGCCCATGGGAACCCCGCTCCTTCTGAGTTGGGGCAGGAGCTCCTTGGGTGCCGCTGCAGCCACCCAAACTGCAGACCTAGGCCTTCCTGTTCTATGGATCAGGAAGGAGGCCCACCCTCCTGTGCTCCCTGCTGTCTTGGCGGGTGTTTACTCCCATTGCCTGGCCTCTCTCCTCTCCTGGGGAGGGCACTGGTCTTGGAGCAGGGTTGGAGCAGAGCCCTGGGGCCTTGAATGGCAGCGGGAGGCAGAGTCCTGGGCAGAAGCAGGCGGATCCCCAGTAAGGTCCCACCTTCAGACCAGGGAGGGCCTGACAGCTGGGGGCAGGCTGCCAGTCACACAGACCAGAGTAGGGACTTGAAGCGCCTCCTCTGGGCCTGCCCATGGCTGCGCATCCACCAATTGGCATGCATTTCCTCCCCGCTCAGGTCCATAAAAGCCCTGGGCTCGGCCACAGCAGGGCAAAGACCAGAGGACAGAGAGAGGAAGGGGATAACTACCTGCAGAGAGGAGCTATCCTCTTTGCTGAGAGCTTCAGAGGCCTGCAGAGACATCTGAACAACCTGCCTACAAAGAGGAGCCACCCTCTTCAGAGCCTCCTCTCTGCTGAGAACAGCAGACAGCAGGATGACCAGTGGGCAGAGAAGAGCTACCCCCTCCAGGGCCTCCTCTTTGCTGACAGCTGAACACTCCATGGGATGACCTGCCTACAGAGAGGAGCTACCCACTTCCGGTCTCTTCTGAGCCATTCTAACACTAAATAAAATTCTTCTTCATCTTCATCACCATTCACTTCTCTGCATACCTCATTCTTCCTGGATGCAGGACAAAAACTCGGGCAAAAGCGTCACCAGCCACAGAGGTTTCTGGAAAGAAAAATCAACACCCCAAAGATCTCATAACACTTCCAGGCCTCAGCAAATTGTCCTATTGGTTTGAGCCATAAAGATAGCTCAAGCTGATACCAAGCACCAATAGGAGATTTGTCAAAGGTCAGGGGCATCTCCACTCAGAATTCCTTTGTGGTTACCATAAATGTTAACCCCAAATATCTGAGACAGGTCTTAGTTAATTTAAAAAGTTTATTTTGCCAAGGTTGAGAACATGTGCCCATGGCACAGCCTCAGGAGGTCCTGACATGTGGCTAAGGTGGTTGGGGCATAGCTTGGTTTTATATATTTTAGGGAGACATGAGACCTCAATCAATATATATAAAATGCACATTGGTTCCATCCAGAAAGGCAGGGCAACTCGAAGCAGGGAGGGGACTTCCAGGTCACAGGTAGGTGAGAGACAAACAGTTGCATTCTTTTGAGTTTCTGATTAGCCTCTCGAAAGGAGGCAATCAGATATGCATTTATCTCAGTGAGCAGACGGATGATTTGAATACAATGGGAGGCAAGTTTGCCCTAAGCAGTTCCCAGCTTGACTTTTCCCTTTAGTTTAGTGATTTGGGGGCCCCAAGATTTATTTTCCTTTCATAGCACCATACATATATACAATTTTTATTTGTCAATTAAAAATCAGTCAATCCATCAGGAAGGCCTAACATTTATATATTCCATGTTCATTGCAGCATTATTCACAATAGCAAAGATATGGAATCAACCTAATTGTCCATCAACAGATAAATGGATAATGAAAATGTGGTACTTATACATATTGGAATACTATTCAGCCTTAAAAAGAAGGAAATATTGTCATTTGTAACAACATGGATGAATTTGGAGGACACTATGAAAAGTCCAATGAAATAGGACTTATTTCATTGAAATAAGCCAGGCACAGAAAGACAAACACTAAACGATCTCACTTATATGTGGAATCTAAAAAAGTTGAGCTCATAGAATTAAGAGTAGAATGACTGTTACCAAGTGCTAGGGTAGGGGAACAGTTGGGGAAATGTTAGTCAAAGGGTATACAATTACAGTTCAATAGAAGAAATAAATTCAAGAGCTCTGTTGTACAACATGGTGATTATGGTTAACAACAATGTATTGTATCCTTTAAAATTGCTGAGAGAGTAGATTTTAATGTTCTCACCACAAAAATAAGTATGTGAGTAATACATATGTTAATTAGCTTGACTCAGTGATTCAATAATGTATACATATTTCAAAACATGTTGTACATGATAAATATATACAATTTTATTAGTCAGTCAAATAAATATGCACCTAATAAGAGAGGTCCAAAACATATAAAGCAAAAACTTTAAAAAATTAAAGAGATAAGTAGATAATTCGACAATAATAGTTGGAGCCTTCAATGCCTCACTTTCAACAAAAGATATAACAACTAGGCAGATCAACAAGAAAACAGAAGGCTTGAATAATACTATAAACCAACTAGACCTGACGCATACCTGGAACACTCCACTTAACAACAGCAGAATATACATTCGTCTCAAGTACACATGGGACATTCTCCAGTACAGATCATATGTTAGGTCATAAAAAGAATTTCAGTAATTTCTCAAAGGATTGAAATTATACAAAGTATGTTCTCTAATCACAATGGAGTAAAATTAGAAATTAACAGTGCAGTGGATCACATCTGTAATCCCAGCACTTTGGGAGGCTGAGGTGGGAGGACCACTTGAGCCCAGGAGTTCAAGATTAGCCAGGGCAACATAGTGAGACCCCATCTCTACAAAAATTTTAAAAATTAGCCTGGGGTGGTGGCATGTGCTTGTAGTCCCAGCAACTCAGGAGGCTGAGGTGGGAGGATCATTTGAGCCCAGGAGGTTGAAGCTGCAGTAAGCCATGGTCATGCCATTGCACTCCAGCCTGGGTAGCAGAGCAAGACCCTATCTCAAAAGGAAAGGGCAGGAGAGGAGAGTGGAGGGGAGGGGAGAAGGAGGGGAGGGACAGGGGAGGGGGAAGGGAGGGACAGGAAGGGAAGGGAAAAGAAAGAAAGAAAGAAATTAACAACAAAAAGTACATTGAGAACTTCATAAATATGTGGATATTGAACAGCACACTTTTTTTGTGTGTGTGAGTCAGAGTTTCCCTCTGTTGCCCAGGCTGGAGTGCAGTGGCGCGATCTTGGCTCACTGCAACCTCTGCCTCCCAGGTTCAAGCGATTCTCCTCCCTCAGCCTCCCAAGTAGCTGGGATTACAGGCACCCGCCACCACACCAGGCTAATTTTTGTAGTTTTTAGTAGAGACGGTGTTTCACCATGTTGGCCAGGCTGGTCTCAAACTCCTGACCTCAGGTGATCCTCCTGCCTCAGCCTCCCAGAGTGCTGTGATCACAGGTGTGAGCCACTGCACCAGCTGAACAGCACACTTTTAAATAACAAGTGGGCCAATTAAGAAATGACAAGGGAAATTAGTATCTTTTTCTTTTCTTTTTAATTGACATACAACAATTGTACATATTATGGGGTACATAGTGTTTTGAAAATATTTTGAAATGAATGAAAATGAAGACACAACATCTCAAAACTTATGGGATATAGTGAAGACAGTGCTTAGAGGGAAATTCATAGCTATAAATACCTATATTTAAAAAGAAGAAAGATGTCAAACCAATAACCTAAATTTACACCTTAAGAAACTACAAAAAGAAGAGTAAGCTAAACCCAAAACAAGCAGAGGAAGAAAATAATAAAGATTAAGGTAGAAAGTAATGAAATAGAGAATAAAAAACCGTAGAGAAAATCAACAAAACCAAGAGTCGGTTCTTAGAAAAGATCAACAAAATGGACAAATCTTTAGCTAGGCTGAAGAGAGAGGGAAGGAGACAGAGAACTCAAATTACAAAAATCTTTAGCTAGACTGAAGAGGGAGGGAGGGAGACAGATAGAGAACTCAAATTACAAAAATCAGTAATAAAGAGAGAGCATTACTACAACCTTACAGAAATAAAATAAAAGGACTATTAGGAAATGCTAAGAATAACTGTATGCCAACAAATTAGATAACATATATAAAATGGATACATTCCCAGAAAAACACAAAGTATCAAAACTAACTCAAGAAGGAATAGAAGATCTGAATAGACCTACAATAGATAAAGGTACTGAATTAGTAATTTTGAAAACTATCCACAAAGAAATGCCTAGGCTCAGATTCACTGGTGAACTCTGCCAAACAATTAGAGAATTTATACCAATTATTTGCAATTCATCAAAAAAATAGGGAAGGAGGTAACACTTTCTAATTCATTATGATGCCAGTACCACTCTGATACCAAAGGCATCACAAGAAAAGAAAATTATAGACCAATATCTCTTATGAACTTATAAACAAAAACCTCAATGAAATACTAGCAAACCAAATCCAGCAGCATTTAAAAAGGGTTATACAACACAACCAAATGGGATTAATCCTAGGAATGTAAAGTTCATTTAACATTTGAAAATGAATACTATATCATATCAATAGGATAAAGAAAAAAACACATACTCAGTAGATGCAAAATGAGCATTTAACAAAATTCAATACCATTCATGATAAAACCATTTGACAAACTAGGATTAAAAGAGCATTTCTTCAACCTAATAAAGGACTTCTACAGATATCCCACAGCTAATATCATACTTAATCATGAAAGACTGAGTCATGTCATCTCCCAATAAAGACAATTTGACTTCTTTCTCTCCAATCTGAGTGTCTTTTACTTCTTTTTGTTGCCCATTGCATTGAATATAACGTTTAGTATAATGTTGAATAAAAGTGGTAAGAGTGAAATCCTTGCATTCTGCCTGAAATTAGGGGGAATATATTCAATCATTTACCATTACATTTGATATTAGCTATTGGATTTTTGTAGATATCTTTTATTGGGTTGAAGATGTTCCCTTCCATTCCTCCTTTGATAACTAGATATGATTGGATGATGGAAATGGATTTGACTGGATTTTGTCAAATGCTTTTTCTGTACTTATTGAGAGGATTGCATGGTTTTACATTTTTTAGTTTGTTAATATGGTGAATATTATTAAATTTCTAATGTTAAACCAAGCTTGAATTCCTGAAATTCATGATGTATTATCTCTTGAAAATATTGTTGTATTTTACTTGCATAAGTTTTGTTAAGAATTTCTGCAATAATGTTGATGAGTTGGTCCATAGTTTTACTTCCTTGTAATGTTTTTTGTTTTGCTTTGTTTCAGAGACAAAGTCTTGCTCTGTCACCCAGGCTAGAGTGCAGTGGCATGATCACAGTTCACTATAATCTCAAATTCCTGGGTTCAATTGATCCTCCTGCCTCAGCCTCCTAAGTAGCTGGGACACCAGGTATGTGCCACCACAGCTGTCTAATTTTTTTACTTGTTATAGAGTCAGGGTCTCACTATATTGCCCAGGCTGGTCTCAAACCCCTGGCCTCAAGAGACCCTCCCACCTTGGCTTCCCAAAACACTGGAATTACAGGCATGAGCCACCATGCCTAGCCTTTTAAAATGTTTTTTTTTTTTTCTGGTTTTGTATAAGAGTAATGTTGACTTCAAAGTATGAGTTGGAATGTATTGCTACTTCTTCGAATCTTGGAAGAGTTTGTGTAGAATTGGTATTATTTCTTCCTTACATATTTGGTATTTCTCCTTATGAGAGATATTGAAAAAAATTTGGTAAAACTACCAGTGAAGCCAATATTCCATAGAATTAACCAGTGAAGCCATCTAAAATTTCTTTTGTGTGTACATGTTAAACTATAAATTCAATTTTGTTAACAGTTATAGGGCTGTTTAGGTGATCTATATCTTCTTGAATAAGCTTTGGTAGTTTGTGTCTTCCAAACAATTAGTCTACTTTATCTCATTGTCAAATTTATTGGAGAAAAATCTGTTTGTGATATACCCTTACTAATGTTTTAACAATGACGGATTCTATTGATCTCTCCTCTCCCTTTTTTTCTTTTTTTTGTTGAGATGGAGTCTCATTCTGTCACCCAGGCTGGAGTGCAGTAGTGTGATCTTGGCTCACTGCAACCTCCACATCCTGGGTTCAAGCGATTCTCCTTCCTGAGCCTCCCGAGTAGCTGGGACTACAGCCATATGCCACCACGCCCAGCTAATTTCTGTATTTTTTGGTAGAGACGAGGTTTCACCATGTTGGCCAGGCTGGTCTTGAACTCCTGACCTCAAGTGATCTGCCCACTTCAGCCTCCCAAAGTGCTGGGATTACAGATGTGAGCCACAGCACCCAGCCACCTCTCTCATTCTTGATATTGGTAATTTATGTCTTTTCTCTTTTCTTCCTTATTGGTCTGGCTAGAGATTTCCCAATTTTATTGATCTTCCCAAAGTACTAACTTTGGTTTCATTGTCTCTGTTTTAAATTTTGTTTGCTACTTCATTGATTTCTGCCTTAATCTTTAATATTTCTTTTCTTCTATTTTCTTCGAGTTTAATTTGCTCTTCTGTTTCTACTTTCCTAAACCTGAGGTCATTGATTTGAGAACTTTCATGTTTTCCAGTGCAGGTGTTTGGTGTTTGATGTTTGGTGTTTGGTGCTATAAACTTGAAAGTTCTGCTTTAATTGCATCTAGCACATTTTTATGAGTTATACTTTCTTTTTCATTCAATGCAAAATACTTTCTAGTTTCCCTTTTGAGTTCTTTTTTTTCCCATCAGTTATTTAGAAGCATATTTAGTTTCTAAATATTAGGGTATTTTCAGATATTTTTCTGATAGTGAGTTCTCATTTAATTCCATTGTGGTCAGAGAACATACTTTGCATGACTTAAGTCCTTATACATTGACTGAACTTGCTTTATGGACCAGAATATGGTCTATCTTGATAAAAGTTTCACGCAAACTTTAAAAAAACGTATTTTGCTGCTGTGTGATAGAGTGTTCCATAAATGTCAATTAGTTCAAGTTGTTTTTATAACATTGTTCAAGTCTTCTATACCTTTACTGATTTTGTTTACATAATGTATCAATCATTGAGAGACAGAGGTGCTGAAGTCTCTTGCTATAATTATGAATTGGTTTTTGAATTATGAACAAATTATGAATTTGTTCTCCTTGCAGTTCTGTCAACTTTTCCTTCCTGTATTTTGAATTTCTGCTATTATGGATATAAAAATTTAGGATTGTTTACACTGAAATTCATAGTAACATTGTTCACAATAGCCAAAAGGAGAGAACAACCCAAATGTTCATCAAAAATAAAATGTGGTATATCCATACAATGGAATATTATGCAGCCATAAAATGGAATGAAATTTTCATGTACACTGTAACATGAATGTACCATGAAAACATTATGCTTACTGAAATAATCCAGATAAATAAAGACAAATACTGTATGATTCCACATATATGAGGCATCTAAAGTAGCCAAATTTATAGAAACGGAAAATAGAATGGCAGTTGCCAGGGGCTGAGGGAAGAAGAAAAACATAAGTGTTTATTGTGTATAAAGTTTTAATTTTATAAGATGAAAAGGTTCTGGAGATGGATGGCAGTGATGGTTGCACAAGGTGAGTATACTTAACTGTGGGGAAAAGCAAGAGAGATCAGATTGTTACTGTGTCTGTGTAGAAAGAAGTAGACATAGGAGACTCCATTTTGTTATGCACTAAGAAAAATTCTTCTGCCTTGAGATTCTGTTAATCTATAACCTTACCCCCAACCCCGTGCTCTCTGAAACATGTGCTGTGTCAACTCAGAGTTGAATGGATTAAGGGCGGTGCAGGATGTGCTTTGTTAAACAGATGCTTGAAGGCAGCATGCTCCTTAAGAGTCATCACCACTCCCTAATCTCAAGTACCCAGGGACACAAAAACTGCGGAAGGCCGCAGGGACCTCTGCCTAGGAAAGCCAGGTATTGTCCAAGGTTTCTCCCCATGTGATAGTCTGAAATATGGCCTCGTGGGAAGGGAAAGACCTGACCGTCCCCCAGCCCGACACCCGTAAAGGGTCTGTGCTGAGGAGGATTAGTAAAAGAGGAAGGAATGCCTCTTGCAGTTGAGACAAGAGGAAGGCATCTGTCTCCTGCCTGTCCCTGGGCAATGGAATGTCTCGGTATAAAACCCGATTGTATGCTCCATCTACTGAGATAGGGAAAAACCGCCTTAGGGCTGGAGGTGGGACCTGCGGGCAGCAATACTGCTTTGTAAAGCATTGAGATGTTTATGTGTATGCATATCTAAAAGCACAGCACTTAATCCTTTACATTGTCTATGATGCAAAGACCTTTGTTCACGTGTTTGTCTGCTGACCCTCTCCCCACAATTGTCTTGTGACCCTGACACATCCCCCTCTTCGAGAAACACCCACAAATGATGAATAAATACTAAGGGAACTCAGAGGCTGGCGGGATCCTCCATATGCTGAACGCTGGTTCCCCGGGTCCCCTTATTTCTTTCTCTATACTTTGTCTCTGTGTCTTTTTCTTTTCCAAATCTCTCGTCCCACCTTACGAGAAACACCCACAGGTGTGTAGGGGCAACAAGATGAAAAGGTTCTGGAGATGGATGGCAGTGATGGTTGCACAAGGTGAGTATACTTAACACTACTGAATTGTACATTTAAAAATATTTAAGATGGTAAATTTTATGTTATGCGTATCTTACTACTCTTTTAAATTTAAGATTATGGTCCCTTGATTATTAGCTACTTTATTGTTTTAATCATATATATTAATAATTATTATGATTACTTTTTATTCTTGGTAATATTCTTTGCTGTGGAATCTATTTTGTTTTATAGCAATAGTGCCACTTCAGCTTACTTGTCGTTAGTGTTTGTGTGGTAGATCTTCCATCATTCTACTTTGAATTTATTTTTGTCTTCATATTTAAGGTGAGATTTCTTGTAGGCAGCATATAGTTGGATTTTAACTACCCAATCTCGTAAATTTTTTCTTTTTTAGAGACAAGGCCTTGCTCTGTTGCCTAGGCTGGAGTGCAGTGGCATGATTATAGCTCACTGCGGCCTCAATCTCCTAGGCTCAAGTGATCCTCCTGCCTCAGCCTCCTGAGTAGCTAGGATTACATGTGCATGCTACCATGTCTGCCTAATTTTTATTTTTATTTTTTGTGGAGATGGGGGTCTCACCATGTTGCCCAGGCTGGTCTCAAACTCCTGGCTTCCAGTAATCCTCCCACCTCAGACTCCCAAAGTGCTAGGATTACAAGTATGTCACTGTACCCAGATGAAATTTACACTTAATGTGGTTATTGATATGGTTAGGTTTAGGGTTACCATCTTGCTCCTTGTTTTCTATTTGTCCTATTTGCTTGTTGTTCCTCTTTTGTTATCTTACTGACTTTTTTTGGATTGCGTGTTTTGTTTTTTGTTTTTTGTTTTTTTTTTTTTTGAGACAGTCTCACTCTTACCCAGGCTGGAGTGCAGTGGTGCAATCTTGGCTCACTGCAACCTCTGCCTCCCAGGTTCAAGTGATCCTCTCACCTCAGCCTCCCAAAGAGTTGGGATTACAGGCATGCACTACCACGCCTGGCTAATTTTTGTATTTTTAGTAGAGACAAGTTTCCACCATGTTGGCCAGGCTGGTCTTGAACTTCTGACCTCAAATAATCCACCCACCTCAGCGTCTCAAACTGCTGGAATTACAAGCATGAGCCATCACATCCAGCTAATTGAGTGTTTTTTATGTTTCCACTTATCCCATTTTTTTAGCTTATTATCTATAACTCTTCATATTGTTATTATTGTTATTTTAGTGGTTATTTTACAATTTATGGAATACATATTTAACTGTCTACTTTCAAGTGATGTTATGAACCTTCACGTATACTATGAGAACCTTACAACAGTATCTTTCTATTTCTCCTCTTCCTGCCTTCGTAAAATTCATTTTGTCATATATTTTACTTATACATATGTTATAATCCCCAACATACATTGCTATTTTTCTTGTTTAAACAATATTTTTAAAAGATACTTAAATAATAATATATATTTTTTTAATTTCCAACATAGTTATCATGTCTGGTGTTCATTTCTTTAAATAGATCAGTATTACCATATGGTATCATTTGTCTTCTGTCTGAAAGACTTTATTTCTTATAGTATAGGTCTGCTATAAGTGTATTCCTTCAGTTTTTTTATATCTGAAAAGGTCTTTGTTTACTCTTTTTTATTCTCTAAATATATCTTCACTGAGTATAGAATTCTAGGTTGACAAGCTTTATTCTTTCAGTGCTTTAAAGATGTTGCTCCATTGTCTTCTGGCTTGCATTGTTTTCAATGAGCAATCTCTTGTCATCCTTATCTTTGTTTTTTAAACAAGGGTCCCCAGCCCCTGGGCTGCAGACCGGTACTGGTCTGTGGCCTGTTAGGAACCAGGCTGCACAGCAGGAGGTGAGTGGGTGAGCAAGCATTACTTCCTGAGCTCCTCCTCCTGTCAGATCAGTGGCAGCATTAGATTCTCATAGGAGCTTGAACCCTATTGTGAAATGTGCATGTGAGGGATCTAAGTTGCACACTCCTTGTGAGAATCTAACTGATGCCTGTTGATCTGAGGTGGAACGGTTTCTTTCCAAAACCATCCTTCTAACTCCTGTCCGTGGAAAAATTGTCTTCCACAAAACCAATCCCTCGTGCCAAAAAGACTGGGGACTGCTGCTTTAGTATGTAATGGGTCCCCCTGCCCATTCCCCTCTGCAGCTACTTTTAGGATATTTCTCATTATTGCCAGTTTTAAGCAATTTGCTTATAATGTTCTTTAATGTAATTTTCTTAATGCCTCTTGTGCTTGGGGTTTGTTGAAATTCTTGGGTCTGGGAATATATAGTTTTCATCGTATTTGGAAAACTATCAGCCTTTATATCCTCAAATATTTTTGTTTCCCTCCCTCCCTCTGGGAATTCAATTACACATATATTAGCCTGCTAGAAATTGTCTCACAGCTCACCAACTCTCTACTGATTTTGTTTCTGTCTTCTTTCTCTTTGTATTTCATTTTAGATAATTTCTATTGCTATAGCTGCATAGTGAAGCATGTATCTTTGGTGAACGCTGCTTTTTTCTTCTGCAATTTCTAAACAGTCCTTCATCCTCTCCAGTGTATTTGTCATCTCAGACAAATACAAACTTCATCTCAGAAGTTTGATTTGGATATTTTCTTTTCTGTCTTCATTGCGTCTAATTAAGATGTTGTCTTTCCTGTAGCTTCTTGAGCATGTGAGAACACTTACAATAACAGTTTTAATGCCCCTTTCTACTGATTCTGTCGGCTTTGTCATTTGTCATTTGTGGGACAGTTTCTAATTTTTCTCATAATTGTTTACCAATATCCTGTTAAAATACTGCCAAAGAGGCAGTATTTTTCTGCTTCTTTGTCCTTTGGGGGTCTTGCCTTTAAGGTTTTTTAGTAGAGACAAGAGAAGCTAATTATTTTCCACAACTAAGGTAAAAGCACTTTCAGTATTCAACCCAATGTCCTGAGAATTATGAGATTTTCCAGTCTGGCCAGTGGAATGTTGGGTTGTGTGAGCTTCCAGGATTGTTCCCTCTAACACTTTCAGTTGGTTTTTACTGATTCTCAGTAGTTTCTTCACCCACATGTGTTCATCAATATCAGCTAAATACTTGAGGGAAACACTCTGTAGATCTCTGGAGTTCTCTGTGCATCTCTCTCCACTCTGGTATTTTCCCCTGAGAACTCCAGCCACCTGAGTGTCCCCCAACTCCCAGCTCCATCTCTTCAACTGAGGATGACCACTGAACTCTGCCTATATTCCCCATCCCAAACCTCACTTCCCCACCCATGCACTATGACCTGGAAACTCTTTCCAGGCAGTAAACTGGGTCAATCAAGAAGCTCACCTCATTTATTACCCCACTTCTCAGGGATCACTGCCTTTGGTTGCCTGATGTCCAAAGTCTTGAGGCCGTTGTTTCATGCATTTTGCCCAGTATTTTGGCTGTTTCATGCAGAAAGATAAATTTGTTCTCTTCCATCTTGAATGGAAAAGAAAGTCACCATCTCACCTTGCTTAAATTCTCTGGTGACTTTCACTCCCTAAGTTCCTGTTTATTTACTAATTTATTTATCAATTGCCTCACCAAGAATTTAAGCTCCTTAGAAGAGAATTTATCTGTTTTCCTCACCACATCCCCTAGAACATGCCAAATTGCTCCAGAAACATTTATACACCTGGGGTTGAGAGATGAGTCAAACTGATGAGCATGTATGTTAAAAGAAAAGTCCTCTTCGAGTGATTTGATATGTCCCCTTTCCCCTAGAGAAAGTCATTGGTATAGCATCTAAAGTCTGACAGGGAGTACACAGATAAAACAAATATCAATGGGAAAATCAGGGTGGATGTTTGAGCTGGACCCCGAAATATAGACAAAATATCAACCCATGAAAATAGAATATTTGCCATCCCAGAAAGATGGCATTACCACAAATGGGCAAAAGCTCAGAGGCAAGAAAAGGTGGAGTGTATTTAGGGGTAATGAATTGAATCGGTCTGCTCTTCTGATACATGGACAAGAGTTGGAGATATAGTTGAAATATGGATTGTGACAGATGGTAGAGGAAATTGATGCTACAAGGAGGGATGCAGAAAGCTTTAGGAAAATGCTAAAATATGTTTAACTTGGCAACAGTCAGAATGAAGGATGTATTTAAGTAGAAAGAGACTCACAGCAGAAAGGCTTTTAAAAGATTAAAATCTGATTCATAATAAAAGAAGGGCAAATTAAGGCAACACGATTTCTTCCCTATCAGATGGACAAGCATTCTAAAGCTTAACCACATACTCTGTGGACTCTCATATATTACTGGCAGGAATACAAAAGGGTACTACCTCTAAGGAAGGGTATGTGGCCGTGTCTAACAAAACTATACATGCATTTACCCCTTAATCCAGCAATTTCATTTTTAGGAATTTTCCCTGAAGATACTCATCAAAGTCATATGAAAATCATATGCATATGACATTTATTCTGGAATAAGTTACAATTGCAAAATACCAGTACTAATCTAAATGTACATACACAGGGAGGAGATTGGTTTAATAAACTATGTTGTATCCACACAGTGAAATACCATGAAGCTATGAGAGAAAATGAATTAACATGGAGTGACTTACAATCTAACTCATTCGGAGGAAAAAGAAAAGTACAAAAGAATATTTATAGTAGCCACTCTTTTGTGTAAGAAAGGAAGGGAAATAAGAATATGTGTATATATATATATATATATATATATATATATATATATATATATATAAATATGCTTGTTATTAGCATATAATTACATAACAAATACATAACAAGATGAAACACAGGGAATATAAGCCAGAAACTAAGGAATTCAGTTTAACTACAATGGGAAATGGAACAGGGTGGAAGGTATAGGGAAGTGAAGTGAATGGACTTTGCTGAGGGGATTTTTAAGTATAGTCTTGAACCAGATTAATTCTTTACATACTTAAAAATAATATTGCACTTTGGGAGGCCAAGGCGAGCAGATGACTTGAGGTCAGGAGTTCGGGACCAGCCTGGCCAACATGGTGAAATCTTGTCTCCACTGGAAATCTTGTCTCTACTAAAAATACAAAAATTAGTCAGGCGTGATGCTGCACACCTGTAATCCCAGCTACTCAGGAGGCTGAGGCACGAGAATCGCTTAAACCCGGGAGGCAGAGGTTACAGTGAGCTGACATCACGCCATTGCAGTACAGCCTGGGCAACAGAGAGAGACTCTGTCTCAAAAAAAAAAAAAAAAAACCCAATAATAATAATATTGAATTCACAAGCATAGGAGGGAAATCCCTAAAACTGAATACAACAGAAACAATGGAAACTAAGTATAGTCTTGTACTACATATGGAAGTTGACATATTTTGGTCAACCACAGGCTGCATGTATGACAGTGGTCCCATAAGATTTTACCATATTTTTACTGTATCTTTTCTATGTTTAGATACACAAATAATTACCACTGTATTCCAATTGTGTACAGCATTCAGTACAGTAACATGTTGTACAAGTTCACAGCCTCCTACCACATAGCCTAGGTGTGTAATGGGCTACACCACCTAGGTTTGTGTAAGTACATACTGTGATGTTCACACAGTGATGAAATTACCTAACAATGCATTTCTCAGAATGTATTCGGATTGTTAAGCAACACAGGACTGTATGTATACCAAACTGATGACAACCACACTGAAGAAACAGTGAATCAGTATTTGTTTTGAGCACTGTACTTTATCAGGTACTGTCAGTGACATGTAGGACTAACTTCATCAGGCAGGTCCCATGATGCTTTTTTTTTGGTCGGGGAATTGGATGTCTTGCTATGTTGCCCAAGCTGGACTCAAACTCCTGGCCTCAAGAGTTCCTGTCACCTGTGCCTCCCCAGTAGCTGGGACTACAGGCATGCACCACCAAGTCCAATTCAAAACACCTTTTTTTTTTTGAGACAGTGTCTCACTCTGTTGCCCAGGCTGGAGTGCAGTGGCGCAATCTTGGCTCACTGAAAGCTTCACCTCCTGGGTTCCCGCCATTCTCCTGCCTCACCCTCCCGAGTAGCTGGGACTACAGGCGCCCGCCACCACGCCCGGCTAATTTTTTTGTATTTTTTTAGTAGAGACGGGGTTTCACTGTGTTAAACAGGATGGTCTCGATCTCCTGACCTCGTGATCTGCCCGCCTTGGCCTCCCAAAGTGCTGGGATTACAGGCGTGAGCCACTGCACCCGGCCCCAGTTCACAATACTTTTAAGAGCCACGAACAGGTGTTAATTTTACTTTCTTTCCTTCTGTCGTTGTTGTTGTTTTATTTTTTGCGACAGAGTTTCACTCTTGTTGCCCAGGCTGGACTGCAGTGGAGTGATCTCGGCTCTCAGCATCCTCTGCCTCCTGGGTTCGAGTGATTCTCCTGCCTCAGCCTCCCAAGTAGCTGGGATTACAGGCATGCAGCACCATGCCCAGCTAATTTTTGTATTTTTAGTAGAGACAGAGTTTCACCATGTTGGTGAGGCTGGTCTCGAGCTCCTGACCTCAGGTGATCCACCTGCCTTGGCCTCCCAAAGTGCTGGGATTACAGACATGAGCCACCGTGCCCAGCCAATTTTACTTTCTTTAACATCATAAGAGACACTAGGATGGCTATGATTTTTAAAACAGAAATAGCAGTTATTGGTGAAGATGTGCAGAAATTGGAACCCTTGTGCACTGCTGGTGGGAATGTAAAATGGTGCAGCCACTGTAGAAAACAGGCAGTTTCTCAAAAGGTTAAACATAGGACTACTGACCCAGCAATTTCAGTCTTAGACACACATCTAAAAGATTTGAAAGCAAGGACTTCAACAAACTCTTGTACACCAATGATCATAGCAGCATTAGTCACAATAGCCAAAAGGTGGAAACAATGCAAGTGTCCATTAACAGATGAATGGATCAACAAAATGTGGCACAGCCATACATGGAATATTATTCAGCCATGAAAAGGAAAAAAATGTTTGATGTATGTTACAACATGAATGAACCTCGAAATCATTATGCTTAGTGAAATAAGCCAGACACAGAAGGACAAATATTGTATGACTCCACTTATATTATGTACCTAGAATATGCAAATTCATAGAGGCAGAAAGGAGAAGAGGGTTGCAAGAGGCTGGGGAGAGGGAGAAAGGGGAGTTGTTACTTAATGGGTGCAGAGTTTTTGTTGAAAACGAAAAGGTGTTAGGTATAGTGGTTGTATTAGTCAGTTCTCGCATTGCTATAAAGAACTACCTGAGACTGGGTAATTTATAAAGAAAAGAGTTTTAATTGGCTCATGGTTCCACAGGCTGTACAGGAAGCATGGATGGAAAAGCCTCAGGAAACTTACAATCATGGTGGAAGGCAAAAGGAGAAGCAGGCAGTCTTTACATGGCAGGCAAGAGACAGATAGCAAAGGGGGAGGTGCTACACACTTTCAAACAACCAGATCTCATGAGAGCTCACTTGCTACCGCGAGAACAGCAAGGGGGAAATCCACCCCCATGATCCAGTCTCCTCCCAGCAGGCCCCTCCTCCAACACTGGGGATTACAATTCAACATGAGATTTGGGCAAGAACACAACTCCAAGCCATATCAGTGGTGATGGTTACACAACATTGTGAATGTATATAGTGCCACTGAATTGTACACTTATACATGGTTAAAATTATAAATATTATGCTATGTATATTTTGCCACAATAAAAAATACAGGCCAAAATAACAGGCTACATGCATCCAAAAAACTCAGAAGAAAACAAGAAACATGATAATAATTACTATATAATGATGAATCCAGTCTAGATTATATTCTTTACAACAATATAGTCATAAAATATAATATTTAATGTCTCCTTATAGAGAAAGGGCCCCAAAAGTCATTATACAATTCTGGATGGATATATCTGATGACAAGAACTGCCCAAAACTTCTGAAATTGATGTAGTATGTTTGTCGTAGTACTTGTGTAACAACTCTGGACATATCTTGTGTCCATTGCAGGCTTATGCAAATAAGTACGTATGCTGATGTTGGTTGGAAACCATTGTAGAATAAGGTAGATAAAAATATGGAATGGAAGAAGGAGAAGAAGAATCCAGTAGTATTGGATTTGAACCACAGGGATCAGTGTGAACTCATGATCTTTTAAGAAATACATTTTCTTGCTTGGAGCATTGAAAGCTCCAGGAAGCAATGACACTCCACTAGCAATGAGCACACATAATGGTCTGATCTTATTTTTGAAATCCCACTCCCTAGTAAAAGAAACTAAGGTTCTTTGAAGAAGTGGAAGAGTCCAGAGCTGGGACAGAGAAAGTACAAGGAGAGTCTATAATATCTTGTTATGCCAGAAAGTAAGGAAGTGCTTAAAAACTGGTAGAGATGGCCAGGTGCGGTGGCTCATGCCTATAATCCCAGCACTTTGGGAGTCCAAGGTGGGAGGACTGCTTGAGTTCAGGTGCTTGAGACCAGCCTGGGCAACATAGTTAGACCCTAGCTCTAAAAAAAAAAGAAAAGTTAAAAAAAACCAGTAGAGACTTGACAAAAGAATACAGCCAGGTTGACGGGGCTCCCACTGGCCAAATTTGGGTTAACTTGAGTGGCAAAATGAATAATGGCAGAAATGGATTATAACATATTCAAGAGAAAGTTTTAGGGTTTTTTTTTCCAATAAAATAACTTCAGCAAATAAATGCAGAAAACATGATAGAAAATCACCATGTTACAATCAGAAATAACTGATTCAGGCAAGAACATTATTATAGGATATTTACTAAGTCTCCTAGTAAGATAAAAAAAATCTGTGATCTGATAAGTAATATCTTTATGTGAGATGATATTTACTTATCATCTCACATATTTTTTATTAATTACAAAAGAGAAAATATACCTTTACAGTGAGGAAATCTGGTAGACATGATCCTAACCAAATGATTACGGTGAAAAACACCAATAATGGAACAAACTGACCTCATCTGCCTCTTGATATGAGGCACCAGGAAGGACACAACATCTCCTATGTAGTATTCCTGCCAAAAATGTTGTACTTGAATTTAGTAATAAGGAAACTATCAGGCAGATCCAAATTGAGCTACCTCCTACAAAACAACCTTGACTCTTCAGAAATGCCCTGGACTCTTCAGAAATGTCCATGTCACAAGAGACAAAAGAAGGATATGAAAAACTCTTCTAACTTAAATAAAACTAAAGAGAAATGACAACTAAATGCAATGTGGATCTTTTATTATAAGGCCCTGGACTTTAAAGCAAAATCAGCTTTTTTTTTTTTTTTTTTTTTTTTTTTTTTTTGAGACAGAATCTCACTCTATTGCCCAGGCTGGAGTGCTGTGGAGCTATCTCAGCTCACTGCAACCTCTGCCTCCCAGGTTCCAGCGATTCTTCTGCCTCAACCTCCCGAGTAGCTGGGACTACAGGCATGCACCACCACACCTGGCTAATTTTTGTATTTTTTAGTAGAGACAGGTTTTCACCATATTGGCCAGCCTGGTCTTGAACTCCCAACCCCATGATCTGCCTGCCTTGGCCTCCCAAAGTGCTGGGATTACAGGCGTGAGCCACCATGCCTGGCCCAGCTTTTTTTTTTTTAAGGCATTATTTGGATAATGGATGAAATTTCAATATGGATTATATATGAGATGTCACACTAATGTTAAAATTTTTCTGAGAATGACAATTGTATTGTGGTTATGGAAAAAAGCATCCTGGTTCTTAAGAGACACCTGCTAAAGTATTTAGAGGTGAAGTGTACAATGGCTGTAATTTACTCAAAATGGTTCGGAAAAAAAGTATGTACATAGATGTGTGTCTATCTCTGTGTGTGTGTGTGTGTGTGTGTCAGAGAGACAGAGAGAGAGAGGCAAACAGAGAAAAAGGTTAACAATCATGCAAATCCAGGTGCAGAGTTTAAGGGTATTCATTGTGTTATGCTTGTACTTTCCCTTTAAGTTTGAAATTTTTGTAGTTAAAAAATTTGTGTGGGGCTGGGATGGGTGGGCGAGACCAGAAGGAAATATGCTAAACTGTGAGTTGCGGTTGCCTCTTGTCAGAGAAATGGAACTGGGGAGACTGAGCTGGGCAGGGAGGGCTGTGAGAGGACATGCCTCACTCACTCTGTAAACTTCTCTATAGTATAACTCTTTTCTTTTAAGTCAAGTTTATTGAGATATACCTTATGTACTGTAAAATTCACCCCTTGAGGTATATAGTCCTATGACTTTTGACAAATATGTACCATCATGTTATAATCAAAGTCAAGATATAGAATATTTCCATTACCCCAAGAAAGGTCCTTCATGACCCCTTGTGGTCATCCCCTGCCCCTGATCTGCAGATCTTTTATACAGTGACAATATATCTATGTGTTGCTTGTATAAATAAATATATTTAAAAAGGTTATTTTTTTCTCACCCCACTGTCCACACATGCTCTTTATGGGGGAAAAAAGCAGGAAATATAGGTATGGAAAAGGAAGGTGACTTCCAATAACATCTTGGTGCAAATTCTTCCAGCTTTCTCAAATAGATACTCGAAAGAACCAGGCAGCTCTGCCATGTTTCTCTAGTACGTCTGCTTCCTACTTCTCCAACTGAAGACAGGTTAAAAAGGGAGAAGAATGTCCAGGACAACTAGAACATTCTCTGTTCTCAGAGAATAGTGTGGGAAATTTTTGTTGTTGTTGTTGTTTTGAGATGGAGTCTCCCTCTGTCACCCAGACTGGAGTGCAGTGGAGCCATCTTGGCTCACTGCAACCTCCACCTCCTGGCTTCAAGCGATTCTCCAGTCTCAGCCTCCTGAGTAGCTGGGATTACAGGCATGCGCCATCAGGCCTGGCTAAGTTTTGTGTTTTTAGTAGAGATGGGGTTTCACCATGTTGGGCAGGCTGGTCATGAACTCCTGACCTCAAGTGATCCGCTCACCTCACCATCCCAAAGTGCTGGGATTATAGGCGTGAACCACCATGCCCGGCCCAAAAAAAAATTTTTTTTGATACAGGTTCTCACTGTCGCTCAGGCTGGAGTGCAATGGCACAATCACTGCTCACTGTAGCCTCAAGCTCCTGGGCTCAAGCAGTCCTCCCAATATGGGAATTCATGGTGAGTCAGAGCCAGACTGACTGTATTACATACTTTAATTTGTCCTGGTAATCAACTAGTTAACTAAACACTCTTTACTGAATGAAATCACGTGAGGTCTATGGTCCTCACAGGTCTATGGTAACGTTAAGGATCTACATCTGATGGCTGGGGTGAACATGAGCGTCATCTCAGAGGTAGAATTGACACACGTGGGCAGTGGATTGGTTTGGGAAGGGTGGGAGAGGAGAAATAAAAGAGGATTCTGAGGTTCCTTGCTGAGTATCTAAAGTTTTATGATGCAGAAATAGAAAAGCTCATTTTAGGAACAAGATAATGGGTTTGGATGTGCCAGGTTGAGTTTGGGATATGGTTGTCATACGGTGATCAGAAATGCCTTTCTGGAGCTTGAAAGAGGGTCAGAGAGGGAGCTACGGGTGTATAGTTTAACAGCTAGAGATGGTTGTTGAGGTAGAGGAAGTGTACACTGTCACCAAGGGGAAGAGTACAGGCAGAAGAGTGGAGTGTCGCGGGCGACCTTGGGAAATATCTCCTCTTTAGAGGCAGGAAAAAGAAAATATGCTAGTGATGGAAGAAGGTGCCATCAAAGGCTGGCAAAGATTTAGGGGAGTGAGAGTCAGGATCCACAAGGAAGTTGTATGTTATGTTCAACAACCTAAGAGCAATGACAGAATGACAGCCCGGATAATTAAGATGCCGTTGAATATACTCCCATTAACACATTGGGGCCAGAGCTGGTCAAAGCAGGAAGTGAAAATACAGCAGCCCCCAACTCTCTGCAAGGACCTGAGTCTCTGTAGCTCTGGCCTCGATTGCTCTCTTCCATGTGATCTGGGGGTGGGAGTGGGAACAGGGGGAAGAAGGCTCTAGGGTTGTATAGCAGTGTTTGGCTGTGCAGATGGGACTGCCACTTGGCAGACAGGGAGCAACACTCCAACCCCACACACCATAGTATGTCCCAGCAAGTGGGTAGATGTCACAAAAGATGGGATGTGGGCCCTGATCCCCCAAGCAGAGACTCTGGGATTGCTGGAGTAGTATATACCCATCTGTAGTCCTCCCTTTTCTTTTTCTTTTTTTTTTCTTTCTTTTTTTATTTTTTTAGATGGAGTCTCACTTTGTTGTGCAGTCTGGAGTGCAATGGCATGATCTTGGCTCATTGCAGCCTTGGCCTCCTGGGTTGAAGCAATTCTCCTGCCTCAGCCTCCCAGGTAGCCAGGATTACAAGTGTGCACCACCACACCTGGCTAATTTTTGTACTTTTAGTAAAGATGGGGTTTTGCCATGTTGGCCAGGCTGGTCTCAAACTCCTGACCTCAAGTGATCCACCCACCGTGGCCTCCCAAAGTGCTAGAATTACAGGCTTGAGCCACCACACCCGGCCCAGCCTTCCCTTTTCTAATAGTCACCAGGGTACTCACTTCCCAGGAGACTTTTCTATTAATTTCACTAAACCCTCTCTTTTTAAATATGTGTATATTCCCTCTGCCTCTCTGCACCATGGCAGTTTAGGTAATTTTTTGGAGGGAGTTGCTTTACAAATGCCCTCCAGCTTCACATGCTCTTTTCCTCAATCTGGGGCATATAAATGATGTCTTCCCTTTCCTTTATGTTCCCAGCTCAAGACAGAGAGCAGGAATTTGAAAAAGATGGAGGGAGTAAATAAGTGAAACTACTCTGCACTGTGGTAATAGCTAGCCTAGAGCACTAGGGAGTTTCTCAGTAACTCCAATCACTGCCTGTCTTACCTGTCTAAATGCACCCAGCAGATTTGTTCAAAAGTTATTCCGTCCAACTCAAGTCCACAGGCAACAAGACCAAATAATGATGCAGAACTCCAAGGCAAGTTATTGTTAACTGGCCCTTTTCCCTGATTGCTATCTCCGAATGGCCAAGCACTGATATCTAGATATACTTGTGGTATGGTTTGGCTGTGTCCCCACCCAAATCTATTCTTGAATGGTGTCTCATAATTCCCATGTGTTGTGGGAGGAACCCTGTGGGAGATAATTGAATTATGGGGGTGGTTTCCCCCATACTGTTCTCATGGTAATGAATCAGTCTCACAAGATCTGATGGCTTTACAATGGGAAACTCCTTTTGTGTGGCTCTCATTTCTCTCTTGCTGCCGCCATGTAAGAAGCACCTTTTACCTTCTGATTGTGAGGCCTCTCCAAGCACATGGAATTGTGAGTCCATTAAATCTCTTTTTCTTTATAAATTACCCTGTCTTGGGTATGTCTTTTTTTTCTTTTTTCTTTTTTTGTTCTGAGACAGAGTCTCCTCTGTTGCCCATGCTGGAGTGCAGTGGTGTGATCTCGGCTCACTGCAACCTCTGCCTACTAGGTTCAAGCGATTCTCCAGCCTCAGCCTCCCAAGTAGCTGGGATTACAGGTACCTGCCACCACATCTGGCTAATTTTTGTATTTTTAGTAAAGATTGGGTTTCACCATGTTGGCCAGGCTGGTCTCGAACTCCTGATCTCAAGTGATCCACCCGCCTCGGCCTCCCAAAGTGCTGGGATTACAGGCATGAGCCACTGCACCCAGCCGTATGTCTTTATCACCAGTGTGAAAATGGACTAATATAACTTGTGAGCAGCTGGCCTCTGCCAGACGGACCAACACTGGGCACTGGGTGACAAGCTGGCATTGAGGGAGAGCTCAGGCCTGGGACCTTTCCTCTCCTCCCTGATGCCAGGATAGCTGAACATGTCCATAACCATGATCATGATCTTAACCATAACAATAACAACACCAGATTCCACTCCACACTTGCACGACGCCAAGCAGCTCACAGAAAACTTTCTTCTGTGCTATCTCATTTGACTTTCCTGACAGCCTTTGACTCAGCCAGGACAGCAATTTTTGATCCCTATTTTATACAGAAAGAAACTGAATATTCACAGCAGCACTGTTCGTAATAGCCAAAGGTAAAAACAACCCAAAAGTCAGTCACCCGGTGAATGGATAAACAAAATGGGATATATCCATAGAATGGCACACTATTGGGCCATGAAAAGGAATGAAGTACTGACACCTGCTGCCACGTGGATGAACTTCGAAAATGCTGTGCTAAGTAAAAGAAGTCAGCACAAAGGTCACATGTTGTATGATTCCTTTTCTATGAAATATCCAGAATAGGACAATCCATGAAGACAGAGAACAGATTAGTAGTTGCCAGGAGCTAGGAGAAGAACAGGATAGAGAAGGACTGCCAGTGGATCTGGGGTTTCCTTTTGGGGTGGTGAAAATATTTGGAGAAGATGATTGCACAGCACTGTGACTGTACTAATGCCCTTGAGTTGTATGTATTAAAATGGTTAAAATGATGAATTTTATGTTTTGTGAACTTTAATGCAAGTTTTTTGTTGTTGTTTTTGAGACAAGGTCCGGCTCTGTTGCTCAGGCTGGAGTGCAGTGGTATGATCTCGACTCACTGCAACCTCCACCTCCCAGACTCCAGCAATCCTCCCACCTCAGCCTCCTGAGTAGCTGGAACTACAAGCGTGTCCCTCCAGGCTCAGCTAATTTTTGTAGAGACAGGCCTTCGCTATGTTGCCCAGGCTGGTCTCGAATTACTGGACTCAAGCAATCCACCCGCCTCGGCCTCCCAAAGTGCTGGGATTACAGGCGTGAGCCACCACACCCAGCTCATGTACACACATTCTGTGATGTTCATATAATGATGAAATAGCCTAATGATGCATTGCTTAGACTGTATACCTGCCATTAAGTGACACATGACTGTATACATTTGATTTATGTGAAAGTGATACCTCAGAGCCATGTAGAAAAGAGTGTGGTCTTTTCAACAAGTGTTGCTGAATAGACTGGATATATACATGGAAAAAAATACTAATCTCGACCCATATCTTACACCATACTAAAAAAATCAATCCCAAGTTGATTTTAGATCTAAATATGAAAAGTAAAAAAATAGAGCTTCCAGAAGAAAAGAATATATAGAAGAATATATTTATAATTTGGGGGTAGTCAAATATTTCTTAAGATACAAAAGCCATAATCATAAACTAAAAGACTGATAAACTACTTTAAATTTTAAAGGCCAGGTGCGGTGGCTTACGCCTGTAATCCTAGCACTTTGGGAGGCTGAGGCAGGCAGATCACCTGAGGTCAGGAGTTCAAGACCAGCCTGACCAACATGGTGAAACTCTGTCTCTACTAAAAATACAAAAAATTAGCTGGGCGTAGTGGCGCATGCCTGTAATCCCAGCTACTTGGGAGGCTGAGGCAGCAGAATTGGTTGAACCCGGGAGGCAGAGGTTGTGGTGAGCCAAGATCACACCATTGCACTCCAGCCTGGGCAACAAGAGCAAAAACTCCGTCTAAAAAAAAAAAAAAAAATGTTCCTCAGCTGGGCACAGTGGCTCACGCCTATAATCCCAGCACTTTGGGAGGCCGAGGTGGGCGGATCACCTGAGGTCAGGAGTTCAAGACCAGCCTGGCCAACATGGCAAAACCCTGTCTCTGCAAAAATACAAAAATTAGCTGGGTGTGGTGACCGGTGCCTGTAATCCCAGCTACTAAGGAGGCTGAGGCGGGAAAATCACTTCAACCCAGGATGCAGAGGTTGCAGTGAGCCGAGATCATGCCATTGCACTCCAGCCTGGGTGACAGAGCAAGACTCCATCTCAAAAAAAAAAAAAAAAAAAAAAAAAGTCCGGGTGCAGTGGCTCACGCCTGTAATCCCAGCACTTTGGGAGGCTGAGGTGAGTGGGTCACGAGGTCAGGAGTTCGAGACCAGCCTGGCCACCTACTAAAAATACAAAAAATTAGCTGGGCATGGTGGCGCGCACCTGTAATCCCAGCTACTCAGAAGGCTGAGGCAGGAGAATCACTTGAACCCAGGAGGCGGAGGTTGCAGTGAGCGGAGATCACATCACTGCACTCCAGCCTGGGCGACAGAGCAAGACTCCGTCTCAAAAAAAAAAAAAATTGACAGAAAAATGGACAATAGGGATAACCAATTAAATACAAGTATTCAGTCCCAGTCACTGAGGATACGCGCATTTAAATCACAATGAGATACCAATATTTACCCACCAGGATGGCTAAAAAATTGTTTTAACGCTAATAAAACTGAGTGTGGCAAGGATGTGGGAAAATTGGAACTCTCATATACTGCTGATGGGAGTATAATTTGGTACATTACCTACTCAAGTTGAACACAGACAAGTCTGCTCCTGGGTATCTACCTGACGGAAATGCATTCAAATTAAAAAAAAAAACAACCATGTACAAGCAAATTTATAGCAGCACTCAATAGCCACAAGCTGTAAACAACCCAAAAGTCCATTAATAATAGAATGGATAAATTAAGTGTGGCATGTTCATATACTGGAATACTATACAGATATAAGAATGTGCAAATTACTACTATACCAAACAACATAAACGGATCTCACAAACCTAAGAATAAGTGAAAGAAGGCAGTTAAACAGAATATACACTGCATGATCCTATTTGTATAAAATTCTAAAGCAGACAAAACTCACGTATGGGGTTGGAAATCAACATGGTGGTTTTCTCTGGGAAAGAGGCAGTAACTGTGAAAAGGCTTGAGGGAGACTTCTGTGGGGCTGTTAGTGTTCTATTTCCTGAGAAGTGTATGCTCACTTGGTGAAAATTCATTGAGCTGTACACTTATGATTTGTGTACTTTTCTCTATGGATGTCATACATCAACAAAAAGCTTATTTAAAAAGAAATTATTGGCCAGGCACGGTGGCTCACACCTGTAATCCCAACACTTTGGGAGACCGAGGCAGGTGGATCACGAAGTCAGGAGTTCAAGACCAGCCTGGCCAACATGGTGAAACCCCGTAAAAATACAAAAATTAGCCGGGTGTGGTGGCACCTGCCTGTAATCCCAGCTACTCACAGGCTGAGGCAGAGAATTGCTTAAGCCCAGGAGGCGGATGTTGCAGTGAGCCGAGATCGCACCACTGCACTCCAGCCTGGGTGATAGAGCAATACTCCACCTCAGAAAAAAAAAAAAAAGAAAGAAAGAAAAAGAAAAAAGAAATTATTTATAATAGAAAAACAATATAGGATACTTAGGAATTCATTTAACACAATCTTACTCTGTCACCCAGGCTGGAGTGCAGTGGCATGATCATAGCTCACTGCAGCCTCAACTTCTCAGGCTCAAGTGATCTGCCTGCCTCAGCCTCCTGAGTAGCTGGGACCACAGGTGCATCACCATCACACCCAACTAATTTTTTGTATTTTTTTTTTTGTAGACATGGGGTCTTGCCTGTTGCCCAGGCTGGTCTTGAACTCCTGGGCTCAAGCGATCCTCCTGCCTCGGCCTCCCAAATTGCTGAGATTACAGGTGTGAGCCACCAAGCCTGGCCTCAAATATATTAATCCTCTCCAAATTAATCTATGGATTCAGTAAAATTGTTTTCACAATCCCAATAGGCTTCTTCATGGACATTGACAAAATGATTCTAAAGTTTATATGAAAAAAAGAAAAATCTGAGCATAAACAAAGACACTCTTAAAGAACAGGGTGTAGGTATCAGCCTTATCAGATATCAAGACTTATTACTAAAGCTACAATAATGACAATGTATTAGCAAAGGGAGAGACAAATCTGACCTTTAGAAGGATATAGAAGGAAAAAAAAAAAGGATATAGAAGGTGCCCCAACTGTACACTAAAAAGGCCACATTTTATTGTATGTAAATAATCTCAATAAAAGAACAAAATGACCTTATATGTTTGAGTCTCTTTCTGTTCTGTTTTGTTCCACTGATCTATTTGTTGCTTCTTATGCAAGTACTACACTGTTTTGAATATGTAGCTTTATACCAAGGCTTGAAGTCAGGAAGTGTAAGTCCCATAAGTTTGTTCTTTCTCAAGATTGCTTTCAATATTCTAGGTCCTTTGCATTTCCATATACATTTTAAAAGCAAGTTAAAGTTCTAAAAAACAACAACAACAACAACAACAACTAGTGGGCTAGCACGATGGCTCATGCCTGTAATCCCAGCACTTTGGGAGGCCAAGGCGAGCAGATTACCTGAGGTCAGGAGTTCGAGACCAGCCTGGCCAGCATAGTGAAACCCCGCCTCTACTAAACGTATGAAAATTAGCCGGGTGTGGTGACGCGTGCCTGTCATCCCAGCTACTTGGGAGGCTGAGGCAGAAGAATCACTTGAACCCCAGGAGACAGAGGTTGCAATGAGCTCAGATTGCACCACTGCACTCCAGCCTGGGTGACAGAGTAAGACTCTGTCTCAAAAAACAAACAAACAAACAAAAAACAACCACAAAACTAGTGGCTAGTGGGATTATGATTGGAATTGTGTTGAATCATTAGATCAGTTGGAAGATAATTGAGATCTTAATATTGAGTTATGCAATATATGAACTTGGAATTTGGTATATCTATGAATTCCATTTGTTAAGATATTCTTTCATTTATCTCAGCAGCATTTTTGTAGTTTTCAGTTAGAGGTTTTAGATAATTTTTGTCAAATTTATCCTTGCATACTTTATGGGTTTTGCCACTATTATAAATGAAATTCTAAAACATTATTTTCCAATTGTTTGTTGCTAGTAATTAAAATATGACTGATTTTTGTATTTTGACCTTGGATCCTATGGACTTGCTAAATTTACTTATTAGTTCTGGTTGTTTTGCAAATTGGTTGAGATTTTCTATGTAAACGATCATGGTCTCTGCAAGTAGAAAGTTTTCCTCCTTCATTTCTTCTTTTTATGGCTTTCTTTTTTTTGTTTGCCTTACATCACTGGCTAGCATTGCTAATGTTGAATATAAGTGATAAGACTGCCATCCTTGCCTTGTTTCTAATATTAGGGCTAGAGATTTTCATGCATCTTTCATGGAGATGTAAAATAGTATATCCACCTAGAAGTCAATTTACATTCTCTTGCAAATTTGAACACTTGCGTACTCTAGGATGTACTCCTAGGTACATAGGCTACAGAAAGTCTCACCCATAGGTATAAGAAATTTCACAATAGAAAAAAAAAGAAACAATTAAAATTCCTTTGAAGAGGAAAAGGGAAATGAATAAATTCATATAGTGGAATATGACATAGCAGTGAAAACTGGTGTGGTAGCACGTGCCTGTCATCCCAGCTACTCAGCAGGCTGAGGCAGAATAATTGGTTGAACCCAGGAGACGGAGGTTGAAATGGGCTCAGATTGCACCTCTGCACTCCAGCCTGGGCGACAGAGTAAGACTCTGTTTCCAAAAAAAAAAAAAAAAAGTGATCCTCAACACTGGATGGAGTGTCGGATGAATCTTCAAATAAATAAAGCATGCACGGCCACATAAAGCTAAATAGAGTATCACATGATTTTCATAAAATCAAAACCAAGCTGATCTAAATAATACATTCTATAGGCACACACTTAGGTGTGCTAAAAATATTAAAACTAAAAGCAGACTGGGCGCGGTGGCTCACGCCTGTAATCCTAGCACTTTGGGACGCCGAGGTGGGCAGATCACCTGAGGTCAGGAGTTCAAGACCAGCCTGGCCAAAATGGTGAAACCTCATCTCTACAAAAATAAAAAAATTAGCTGGGTGTGACGGCAGAAGCCTGTAATCCAGTTACTTGGGAGGCTGAGGTATGAGAATTGCTTCAACCTAGAAGGCAGAGGTTGCACTGAGCCAAGATCACAGCACTGCACTCCAGCCTGGGGACAGGACTCAATTCTGTTTCAAAGGAAGGATGAGCATAAACATCAGGGAAAATTTTATGTCTTTGTAACCAATAGGCAGAGAGGTGAAAGGTTTGGGGTACAGTAGTAGGTGCAAGTTTTTGGTAATGTCCTAGCTCTTGAGTTAGGAGGAAGATTCAAGGAGTTAAGGAAACTTTTTGCTTTAAAAATTACATATATGTTTTTGTTTTCATAAAAATATCTTAAAGATTAAATAATTAAAAATAGCAAACTAGTTTTTAGCATGCCATACACACCATTCCTGTTGTTTTCCCCTACAATACTCTGGAGATTATTCTAAATTAGTACACATAGATCTACCTCATTTTTTCTAATGGCTACATAGTATTTCACTGTCTGAATATACCATAGTTTATTTAATCAGTCCTCCCTCATGATGAACATTTGATCATTTCTAGTCTATAAATGAGGTTGCAATTAATGTTATTGTTCATGCATCTTGATATAGTATATCTGTAAGATTAAATTTCTAGAAGTGGAAATAACTAGGGCAAGAACTGTGAGTGTTACAATTCTGAACAGATGGCCAAATCATTTGTTCAACTGTAAACACTGGGAGTTCACAGCCATGGTGAGAAATCCAAATGGGAGTGCCCACAGATACTGTCAGCAAGAAGTGCCTGAGTACACCTGCGACTGTGCGCTTGGCTGCTTTGGCACATGAACGGGATTTGCAGCAGAGTAGGTGTGGAAGTTGGGTAAAGGTGACTACTTATGCATTCACCGCTTGAGAAAAGCAACAACTCTGTTGATGTGAGGCCTCTAGGCCTGACGGACAGGTGCTCCATAGACCCACAGACAGCAAAACTCTCGCCTACTCCCTGAGGGTCAGTCCGAAGAGAAGGGAGAGGGAAGAGGGGCGGCTCTTCTGACCTGGGGACCCCTGAGGCATCTGGGCCAGGCTTCCCATACTTGAACTGGCCCAGCACAGATGCCTGGCCCCAGAAGGGCACAAATGGAGATGATCCTTAAAATATCTTTCCTGAAAGAGACAAAGCCAGCTGGATGGGTTAGCCTCTGTACCAGGAGCATTTGATTACAAATCATGAGTTCAAGTGGGATCCCCTGTGGCTGAGCAAGTAAAGCTGGGTGTGGCTTTTCTGCTTTTTGTTTTCTGTTTAAGAGATGGAGCTCACTCTGTTGCCCAGGCTGGAGTGCAGTGGTGCAGTCATAGGATACTGCAGCCTCAAACTCCTGGACTCAAGAGATCCTTTGGCCTCAGCCTCCCCAGTAGCTGGGACGATAAGCCTGCATCACTACAACTGGCTAATTTTTTAAATTATTTATTTATCCAATTATTTTTGAGATGGAGCCTCGCTCTGTCACACAGGCTGGAGTGCAGTGGTGCAATCTCCACTCACTGCAACATCTGACGCCTGGGTTCAAGCGATTCTCCAGCCTCAGTCTTCTAAGTAGCTGGGACTACAGGGGCATGCCACTGCGCCCGACTAATTTTCTTGTATTTTTAGTAGAGACAGGGTTTCACCATGTTCGCCAGGCTGGTCTCAAACTCCTGACCTCAGGGGATCTGCCTGCCTTGGCCTCCCAAAGTGCTAGGATTACAGGTGTGAGCCACCGCACCTGGCCTCAATTTTTTTTTTTTTTTTTTTTGAGACAGAGTTTCGCTCTTGTTGCCCAGGCTGGAGTGCAATGGCACAATCTCACTGCAACCTCTGCCTCCCGGGTTCAAATGATTCTCCTGCCTCAGCCTTCCTGAGTAGCTGAGATTACAGGCAGGCACCACCATGCCTGGCTAATTTTTTATTTTTAGTAGAGATAGAGTTTCTCCATGTTGGTCAGGCTGGTCTCAAACTCCCGACCTCAGGTGATCCGCCCACCTCGGCCTCCCAAAGTGCTGGGACTACAGGCATGAGCCACCGCGCCCGGCCTGGCCTCAATTTAAAAAAAAAATTTTTTTGTAGAGACGAGGTATTGCTTTGTTGCCCAGGCTGGTCTTGAACTCCTGGGCTCAAGCGATCCTCCTGCCTTGGCCTCCCAAAGGGTTGGGATTACAGGCATGAGCCACCATGTCCAACCAAGTTTTTCCTGTTCTAAACAAAACTGTGATGAACAAATTCAGTCCTCCTTTCCACACAGCATCACCCCCAGCCTTTACTCCTGTAGGCCCCTACTTCCCCTTCTGTAATGGAGACAGTGTTCTCTGTTCTCCCCTCAGGTCCTTCCCCAGGGCCCAGGATTAGAGTGAGGGAGTGAGGCACTAACCCTGAGAGCAAAATCTACAGGCATGCCAAAAAACAAACAAAAAAAAGTAACCAAGATAAATAATATTTTAATGCAGTATTGTAAAACTTCAAGATTAATGCAAAAAAATCCATGATGGACAAAATATCAAAATTTTAAATAAAAACAGGAGCTAACCCTGCACTTTCACATCCCTGTCTCAGGAATCCCTGGCCCTGGTTCCAATAAAACTTTATTTACAAAAACAGGTGGCCAATGCCACGCCCCCAACCCCACCCCTCACCCCTGTCTTTTGACAATGTGATTTTTTAAAACATTCTTAAATATTTTGTATTGCGGTAAAATATACATAATATAAATTTACCATTCCAACCATTTTCAGTGTACAGTTCAGTGGCATTAAGAACATTCACATTGTGCAACAAAATAATTTTTTTTTTGAGACAGAGTCTCTCTTTCTCGCCAGGCTGGAGTGTGGTGGGGCGTTCTCGGCTCACTGCAACCTCCAACTCCCAGATTCAAGCGATTCCCCTGCCTCAGCCTCCCAAGTAGCTAGGACTACAGATGCGTGCCTCCACAGCCAGCTAATTTTTGTATTTTTAGTAGAGATGGGGTTTCACTATGTTGGCCAAGATGGTCTCGATCTCTTGACCTCGTGATTCGCCCACCTCGGCCTCCCAAAGTGCTGGGATTACAGGTGTGAGTTACCGCACCCAGCCAACAATATAATTTTTTAAATATTACGTTCAGGTATTAGATATAGTGATGACTGAGTTTTGGGGTGCCCCATTAAATTTTGCCCTCGAACATTATTAAAAAGTCAAGAAACAGTAGATGTCTGCGTGTATGTAGTGAAAGGGGGATGCTTATGCTATGCACTGCTGGTGGGAATGTAAATTAGTACAACTTGTTTGGAAAACAGTACAGAGATTCTTTAACAAACTAAAAGTACACTTTGGGGCTGGGCGCGGTGGCTCACGCCTGTAATCCCAGCATTTTGGGAGGCTGCGGCGGGAGGATCACTAGAGGCCAGGAGTTCGAGACCAACCTGGCCAACATGGTGAAACCCCGTCTCTACTAAAAATACAAAAAAATTAGCCGGGCGTGGTGGCACGCGCCTATAGTCATAGCTACTCTGGAGGCTGAGGCAGGAGAATCGCTTGAACCCGGGAGGCGGAGGTAGCAGTGAGCTGAGATTGTGCCACTGCACTTCAGCCTGGGCAACAGAGTGAGACTCTGTCTCAAAAAAAAAAAAAAAAAGTGCACTATGGGAGGCCATGGCAGGCAAATCGCTTGAGCCCAGGAGTTTGAGACCATCCTGGGCAGCATGGTGAAACCTCGTCTCTACAAAAAATACAAAAATTAGCCAGGCGTAGTGGTGCATGCCTGTAGTGCCAGCTACTTGGGAGGCTGAGGTAAGAGGATTGCTTGAGCCCGGGAGGTCGAGGCTGCAGTGAACCAAGATCGCACCACTACTCTCCAGCCTGGGTGACAGAGTGAGACCTTGTCACGGGAAGGGAAGGGAAAGGAAGGGAAGGGGAGGGGAGGGGAGGGGAGGAGAGAAAAAGTAGATTCACCATTCGGTCCAGCAATCCCACCACTGGGTATCTACCCAAAGGAAAAGAGTCATTATATGAAAAAGACACTTGCACACGAATGTTTGTTTTTTGCAGCCCAATTCACAATCGAAAAGATATGGAACCAACTTAAATAACCATCAACCAATGAGTGGATAAAGAAAATGTAGTTGATATACACGATAGAATACTACTCAGCCATAAAAAGGAACGAAATGAAGTCTTTTGCAGCAACTTGCATGGAGCTGGAGGCCATTATTCTAAGTGAAAGTGATTCAGGAATGGAAAACCAAACACTGTATGTTCTCACTCATAAGTAGGAACTAAGCTATGAGGACGCAAAGGCATACAGAGTGATATAATGGACAATAGGGAGAATGGGAGGGGGTGTAACACACACACACACACAAAACCCTACACATTGGGTATAATGTACACTACTCGGGGGACAGGTGGACTAAAATCTCAGGACTTACCACTATACAATTCCTCCATGTAACCAAAAACCACTGGTACCCCAAAAGCTACTGAAATTTTAAAAACAAACAAATATTTGCACCCGAGGCGAGCACCTCATTCGCCTCTCGCTCTCTCGGGCACCTCCTGGAGCCAGAGGGTCCCATGCGGCCAGCTCCTCCGTGGAAGCAGTTGAAGTTATTCCAGCAGCGATCAGGCCACCGAGGATGTCCGCCCAGACAACCACCCGCGACGGGGAGACTCGCTCCGCCTGTGTCCGCCCACCCTCCTCCCGCGCGGGACACACCTGGCGGGCGCGGCACTCCCTGTCCGCGGCCACCTGGCGCGCAGCTCCCGGCGCCGGGCCCGCCCCTCGCGGCTCTGCCGGGGCTCCCGGCCGGCCAATGGGAGCGCGGTATGCAAATGAGCAGGTGCGGTGGCGGCCCGCCCGGAACGGCCGCGGGGCTCCCGGGATGTTAGAGGCGCTCAGGGTGGCAGCAGAGCAGACGCCGGGCTGCGCGCTGGGAGCTGCGGTCTCCGGCCATGGCCCCCGCTCCGCCCCCCGCCGCCTCCTTCTCGCCCTCCGAGGTCCAGCGGCGCCTGGCGGCCGGCGCGTGCTGGGTCCGCCGCGGGGCCCGCCTCTACGACCTCTCCAGCTTCGTGCGGCACCACCCGGGGGGCGAGCAGCTGCTGCGGGCCAGGGCGGGCCAGGACATCAGCGCCGACCTGGACGGGCCGCCGCACAGGCACTCGGCCAACGCGCGCCGCTGGCTGGAGCAGTACTACGTGGGAGAGCTCCGCGGGGAGCAGCAGGTACAGCCGGGCCGGGGCCCCCCACCCCAACCCAGGCCTCCGTCAGCCTTCCACTCCCGGGCGAGCCCCGTTCACTTGCCCTCTAGCAGGACCCAAGGTGACAGCTTCTGCCCTCCCTTCCCTCGCTTTCCCTCTCTTCTCTCCAGGCAACAGGTCACTGTCGTCCCCTCCAACCCCTCCTTCCTCTCTCCAGGAACTTGCTCTTCCTTTCCACCCTTACCGCCTGGCCCGCCTCCGTGCCAGCTCTCCCATTTCCCCAGCACCCCTCCTTCCAGCGTGTTCCTTCTGCAGCCCCTGCCCTCCGACAACCTGGATTCCCGTTTCTGTCCCCAGCCCCCCATACGCCTCGGCTTTCCTTCCTCTTCACTTATCGGCCTCTCCCTCTTTGCAACCACTCTCCGTTTCTGTTTGGATAATGGGCTCAACCTGTTCCCACCTCCCCATCCCACCTCACTTCTGCTTCAAAGAGGCACAGATCAGTAACTCTTCTCACTAGCTTGGGTTTCCTGGTGCCGCCCTGGCCTTGCCTGGGCCATGTCTGGGGTGGACTGTGTCCTCCAACCTCTCAGACCTTCCCTTATATTCTTGTCCTACACGCTGGCTTGGGACTCCAAAAGAGTGAAATGAAAGGCATGAGCCAGTTTTGCCAAGGAAAAGGGACCAGCACTTTGGACCAGACTGTGTGCTGAGCTGCACGCTTCTGTGCAGTACCAGCTCCCGATGGTATTTAAGTCCTTAACTCAACCTGGGGCAGGTTTTGTTATTCCCATTTCAGGATATGGAATCTGAGGCTCAGGGAGGCTCTGATTAATGCGCCTAAGGTCAAATAGCTAAATAGTGGGAAAGCCACATGTATCTGACTCCAAAATCAATGCTGGCTCCATCCCAAAAGTCTTCGGGTGGAGGAGACAGACCTAGTCCACAGGATTCCAGGTAGGCTCAGGCCAGAGGCAAAGCGACTCTCTTGATGTTCCCCAGGCCTGGCTCTGGGACTGGTATGGGGCCATCATGCTTAGATATACAGTAGTTCCCCCTTGTCCAAGGGGATACATTTCAAGACCCTCAGTGGATCCTTAAAACCACAGATAGTACCGAATCCTATATATGCTATGTTTTTTCCCATATATGCATATCTATGATAAAGTTAAATTTATAAATTAAGAACAATAGGAAGAGATTAACAACAACAATAATAGAATAGTTACAACAATATACTGTAATAAGAGCTATTTGTATGTGGTCCCTTTCTCTCAAAACATCTTATAGTACTGTACTCACTCTTCTTGTGATAATGTAAGATGATAACATGAGGCCAGGCAAAGTGGCTGACATCTGTAATCCTAGCACTTTGGGAGGCCGAGGTAAGAGGATCGCTCGAGCCCAGGAGTTCAAGACCAGCCTGGGCAACATAGGGAGACCTTGTGTCTACAAAAAATACCAAAATTAGCCGGGTGTGGTGGCATGTGGCTATAATTCTAGCTACTTGGGAGGCTAAGGTGGGAGGATCACCTGAGAGGTGGAGGCTGCAGTGAGCCATGATCATGCCACTGCACTCCAGCCTGAGCAACAGAGTGAGAGCTCACCTCAAAAAAAAAAAGATAATAAGATGCCTACATGATGGGTTGGAGTGAGGTGAATGACAGGTGTGGTGATGTGGCATTGGCTACTATTGAAAAGTAATTTAAAACTTATAAATTATTTCTGGAATTTTCCATTTAATTATGTTTTTGGACCCAGGTTGACCGTGGGTTACTGAAACCATGGAAAGTGAAACCGTGGATAAGGGGGACTCCTGAAAACCAACAATTGTCCCCTGCTTCTAACTCTTGCTTTCAAGATGAGCCCAGCAACTACTCTTAGATCTTTGGTTGAAAGGACTTAGCACCCACTGTTTCAGGTGGCTTTTCATTGGGTCATCCTGCCTAATTTCTCCATCATTTATTCAGTCATGGAACTGGTTCCTTAATGGGTTGACAGCACTGTGCTGGGTGTGGGGAGATATCAATGAACAAAACGAATTCGGTTCCTGTCTTCATGGAGCTAATGGGATAATGGGGAAGGAGAGGGAACACACAGATCACATGATAGTTGCTTAATTAATGGTGTATCAGAGTACGGATCTAGAGGGGAGGAGCATAGAGAGCCTTCTTGAGAAAGCGACATTGACACTGAGAGCTGATTGATAGGCTGGGCTTAGCCAGGTGGCATGTAGCAGGAAGAATATTTTGGGCAAAGGGAACAGCACGTGTGAAGGCTCTGGCAGGAAGAGCTTGACATAGTAAAAGACTGCAAATAAAACCAACGTGGCCAGAGGCTGATGGGCAAAGACAGGGATGTGGGGGGAGGCCAAAAGTCGGCCGGGGCCACATCACACGGGGCTTCGTAGGCTGTGGTCAGGATTTGGGACTTGACTCTAACAAAAATGGGAAGCCAGGTGAGCCCGGGAGGTGGAGGTTGCAGTGAGCCAAGATCACGCCACTGCACTTCAGCCTGGGCAATAGAGCAAGACTCCATCTTAAAAAAAAAAAAAAAAGGAAGCCAGGGAAGAGGTTCAGGCAGGGTTCATGGTCAGATTTGCATCTTTAGAAGAGGACGCTGGCTGCAGTTTCAAGGAGGAACAGAGACAGCCTAAGTGGGTGTGAGGAGATCAGGCAGGATGCTGCTGCATGGCTGCCACTGCAGTGGCTGTGACCATGGGGGGAAGGGGGATGAATTCGGGAGAGTCTCTAGACAATATGCTGGGACTCAGCATTGTGTGGTGAGGGCCCAGTTTAATCTGAGAGGTTGGTGTTTGGTGTCGGCTCATGCTGAAGGGTTTAGAAGAAGATATAAGAAAAACTGAGTGCAGGAGGCCAGGCACGGTGGCTCATACCTGTAATCCCAGGAATTTGGGAGGGTAAGGCGGGTGGATCACTTGAGGTCAGGGGTTTGAGACCAGTCTGGCCAACATGGTGAAACGCTGTCCCTACTAAAAATACAAAAAATTAGCCGGGTGTGGTTGTGCACTGGGTGTGGTGGTGCCCTCCCAGCTGCTTGGGAGGCTGAGGCAGGCTGATCACTTGAGGTCAGGAGTTCGACATCAGCCTGGGCAACACGGTAAAATCTTATCTCTGCTAAAAATACAAAAATTAGCTGGGCGTGGTGGTGCATGCCTGTAATCCCAGCTGCTCGGGAGGCTGAGGTAAGAGAATCGTTTGAACCCAGGAGGCAGAAGTTGCAGTGAGCTGAGATCGCACCACTGCATTCCAGTCTGGGTGACAGGTAAGATTTTGTCACAAAAAAATAGAAAAGGAAAAAGAAAAGAAAAGAAAAACTGAGTGCAGGAAATAAGAGAGGTTGAGACTGACAGGTTTGCGGTGGCTCATGGGCCCGCCCTGTGTTGTCACTGTATCCTCTAGAAAGGAGCCTTAGGGTGTGGCTCGTCCTCGCAACACCATCCTGAGTATGCTTACAGCCACCCCTGGCCAGCTGCCCTGGATGGTCCCACCTCCCAGCTCTGCTAACCACCTAGCACCATGGTTTGCCTTGTCTGATGCTTAGAGAGGGACCCAGGGACCCAGTCTCACATGTGCTTCTGACCTGTATGCTCATCTGTTGCCTAAGAGCCCGAGGGCGGGCCATGCTGCAGACATCCTTACTTCTGGGCCCCAACCTGAGCATGTGGAACAAAACTCAAAACAATGCATCTGCAGACGCATAGCCCAAACTTGACAATGGTCACACTAGCCCAGCCCTCCACTGGGCTGCCAGCTTCTGCCTTCAGAGTTCTAACCTAAGAACTAGTACAGGGTTGTCTTTAAATTGAGAGAGAGGAAGGCTGGGCACAGTGGCTCATGCTTATAATTCCAGCACTTTGGGAGGCCAAGGTGGGTGGATCACTTGAGCCCAGGAGTTCGAGACCAGCCTGGGCAACATGGTGAAACCCCGTCTCTACAAAAAATTAGCTGGGTGTGGTGGCTCGTGCCTGCAGTCCCAGCTACTCAGGAGGCTGAGGTGAGAGGATCACTGGAGCCCAGGAGGCGGAAGTTGCAGTGAGCCAGATCACACCACTGTACTCTCCAGCCTGGGTGACAGAGCAAGACCCTGTCTCAAAAACAAACAAACAAACAAAAAACTTGTGGGAGAGGTTGTCAAAGGAGAAATCTGGGGGTGGGATATCCTTTCAAAGAGATGCCTGGCTGGAGACAATTTCTGTTCTTCTCCCTAGCTAAGCCCTTCTAGCAAGCCTCAAGCTGCCTTTTGCACTTCCCTCCTCTCCTGCTGGACCAGGGATGCTGACACCCTTGTGGTTAGAGCCCCCTGTCTCTGGAGGAGCAGGAGGCTTTTGCTGGGGAAGGGGAGTGCCATGAACCAGCTCTGTTGTTTGGGGCTCGTTTCTGAATGGTGCCCCTCCTAGGGCCCTGTCCTGCTGGTTTAGCCCTTGGATGGGAGCATCCTGGCCCTTCCCCCAGGGAGAAGGCCTGGACCCGTTTGTTCCCCCTGCACCCCACTTTGCTGCACCCTCTGTAGGTACACACATTCACACTCACACGAAGGCACATTCACAAAACAAGTCCAACTTGTTTGAGCCAACATGCTGCCTGCCACGGCCTTGGACATGGTGAAGCCAAGCTGCCCACCTTGAGCGAGTGACAGAGCCGTGGCTGAGCAGGGAAGGAGCTCAGGGCGGTGGGGTCAAGAGCCTCACCCCAAGCTCAGGCGAGAGCAGTGCTCTGCCAGCTGCAGCCACATGTTAGCAGAGTATGAAGTCCACTTATTGAGCTGCGACCGGCATTTTTCACAAAAGAAATAGACAAGGAAAGGACTTTAGGTCTAAACCTCCTTCCCAGGCTATATTACTGTGTTTCCCAGACTCTGGGCATCCATGAATCACCACCCCAGGTTTTTTTCCCCCCAGTTTGGTGTACTATACTCTGGTTACTCTTCAGATTGTATAAGTCTTTCGCCTTTTACCAATTTGGTGTACCACTTGAACTGTCATAATGTAATATTTATCTTTAAATTGACCCACTTTATTTTTCCATGTACTCATGCTTGGCGATAATAACAGTAAAATCAAAGCTTTTACGTGCACTTTAAAGGGAATGGGGGCCAGGCACGGTGGCTCATGCCTGTAATCCAGGCACTTTGGGAGGCTGAGGTGGGCAGGTCGCTAGAGCCCAGGAGTTTGAGACCAGCCTGGGCAACATGGTGAAAAACTATCTCTACAAGAAAAAATTACAAAAATTAGCCAGGCATGGTGGCATGCACCTGTGGTCCCAGCTACTTGGGAGGCTGAGGTGGGAGGATCACCTGAGCCTGGGAAGTTGAGCCTGCAATAAGCTGTGATCATGCCACTGCACTGCAGCCTGAGTGACAGAGGAGACCCCGTCTCAATAAATAAATAAAGTGAATATGGAACTGGGGTTTTTCCTGAGCCCCAAGCCTGCCACCCAGAGCGATGATAACTGCCAGAGGGTGGCTCATACTCCCCCATGCCCCACCAATCCTGGAGAGGTCCTACCGTTGGCAGATATCTGACTATGCCAGCTGACCATGCCCTCTGCTTGAGAAGACTTTAGGGAGAAGGCAAGCCTGACTCGTCAGCCACTAGTGTTGGGGTAACCTTGATGTGTGAAGGTCTCGATGCCATGTTTTAATTCCACAGGGCTTGTCTGTCTCAGCATGGCTGAGAAGTCCACAGATTCAGCCACACATGGGTCTGTAAGACTTTGGGCTCTGGCCATTCAGAGCTTAAGGGCTTGAATAATTAAATGGGGAGGGACAATAAGGAGGAGATCTAAGTGCAGAAAGACTTGGAGTTTCCACCCTACCCAGGACCGGGAACATCTTGAGCTCAGCCCATCTTGGAAAGCCGGTCTGATAAAAACTGATGCTTGGGGAATTTGCTGAACTGCCGCCACCTTCTGAGCAGAGTAGAGCCGAGAAGTCGACTTACTGGAGGGGTTGAGATCACTTGGCCTCTAAGGGGGCATCCCAGGGGAGCCTGCCTGAGCAATCAACAGTCACTGCCCTCTACCACCTGCAGGGGCTTCTACACTCTGGCCTGCTGTGGTGCCAGTCGAGTCTCACCTGGAGGACGAAGCTAGGGCCAGCTGGTGGGGCATCCAGGGCCCAGGTCACTGCAGTTCCATGGCCACCCCAGGGTCAGCACAAGCTCCAGGAGTGCTCTCTGGTGTCACCCCACAATTCAGTGAATAAAGAGGCTTTGAGACCCAGAATTGGGAAGAGGGTCAAAAATTAGGATTCTCTGGAGGAAATAAAAAGAAACAAACAGGATTCCTAGAAATACATGAGAGTAATTGTCTTTGGAAGTATTCCCGGGAAATAACCCAGACTGATGCTTCGGCAACAGCATTCATCATCTTCGCTTATTTTTTTTCTTATGACACATGCTCCTCATTGGTCTGTATGTAGTCTTCATTTATTTAGACAGGTGATAAGCATCCCATGCGCTCTGAAACCCACCACATCACAGAAACAGCCCTTGCTGGCGTTACCAGGACCTTCGCCTTCCTCCACCCGGTGGTCAGTGCTCACCTTACCTTGCATGGCCTGGCAGCAACTGGTGACACCATTGATCACCCTTCCTCCCCTCCAGTACACTTTCTTCACCTGGCTGCTGGATGCCATACCCTTTTAGTTTTCCACCTGAATTCATTTTTGATTGCTTCTCTGGCAAATTATCACAAACTCGGTGGCTTAAAGCAACACACATTTACTCTCTTACAGTTCCAAAGTAAAAAATGAATCTGCAGGGAAGCATTCCTTCTGGATGCTCTAGGGGAGATTCTTTTTTCCTGCCTTTTCCAGCTACTGGAGGCTGCCTGCATTCCTTGGCTCTTGGCCCAGCCAGCAATCTCATCATGCCAGCCTCTGCCTCTGTTGCTGCGTCTCCTCCTACGACTGATGCTCCTACATCCATCTTCCACTTAGAAGTACACTCGGGGTCACACTGGACCCACCTAGATGATCCAGGATAATCTCATCTCAAGATCTTTCACTTAATGACATCTGCAGAGTCCCTTTTGAAAAGTCAGGTAGCATATTCACAGATTGTGGCTCACACACCATCCAGACCCCGGTTGTGACTTCTCAGTCTCCATTGTTAGTTTCTCTCACTTCTCATTTCCCAGAAAGGTGCACAAAGTTTAAACATACAGCTCAGTGATTTTTTTTTTTATGAGTCTCCCTCTGTCACCAGGCTAGAGTGCAATGGCACAATCTCGGCTCACTGCAACCTCCGCCTCCCAGGTTCAAGCAATTCTCCTGCCTCGGCCTCCCAAGTAGCTGGGATTACAGGCACACACCACCACGCCCAGCTAATTTTTGTATTTTTAGTAGAGACGGGGTTTCACTATGTTGGCCAGGATGATCTTGATCTCTTAACCTCGCGATTTGCCTGCCTCAGCCTCCCAAAGTGTTGGGATTACAGGCGTGAGCCACCATGCCCGGCCAATTTTTTTTTTTTAACCTAGGTAAACATCTCTGTTGCCACCACCCAGATCGAGACCTAGAACTCTTCCAGCACCTAGCACAGGCTCCTGCCTCCTCCCAGGCAACAGCGCCTCCCAGAGGCAGCCACTGTTCTAATCTCTATCCCCATAGGATAGTTTTGTGAATCCCTCATGTTTATATGGGCATCATGCACTCTGTTGATGGCTGCTTTCACTCAGTATTATGTCTGGGGTATTATTGATGTTTTTCTTACTCTTCACAGTAATCGTTTCCATTGGCTACTCTGTCCTAGAGAATCCATAGGCAGAGGGAGAAAATGGGGAGTAACTGGAGCAAGAAGAGCCAATGGCTTGGACCACCTGTTGATCTTCAGGAGCCCCCCCCCTTAGTTTTCCTTCTGGAACATTCCCCTCACTTCTGCCCTAGTTTGGCTAGAGCCTCGCTACACTCACTATTGTCGCAGTCTCTTGGGCAGGTCTTCCTCTGTTCCCCATTGTCTCTGAACCTTTCTGAAGAGAACTTGATCATGTTATGGCAGGGCTCCTAAGTATTCAATGGCTCCCTATTGCCATATCCCTTAAGTCCAGCTTGAATCCTCTTTCTTCCACAGAGATTCTCCTTACCTCCTCACCTATATCTGCTTTTTTCCCCTTCACTCAGACTCTCATAGCTCTTTACCTGAACCTATCTTACAGCATTCATAACTTTTTTTTTTTTTTATTGAGACAGAGTCTTGCTGTGTTCCCCCGGCCCCAGGCTAGAGTGCAGTGGCACGATCTCAGCTCACTGTAACCTCTGCCTCCCAGGTTCAAGTGATTCTCCTGCCTCAGCATCCCGAGTAGCTGGGATTACAGGTGCCCACCACTATGCCCAGCTAATTTTTGTATTTTTACTAGAGACAGGGTTTCACCATGTTTGCCAGGCTGATCTTGAACTCCTGACCTCACCTGCCTCGGCCTCCCAAAGTGCTGGGATCACAGGTGTGAGCCACCACACCCAGCAGATAACATTCTTTCTTATTTAACATATTTCCACTGTGGCTCTTGTCTTCCCTATTGTTTTGTCTACTAATCTGTAAACTCCCCAAGGACTGGACTTGTCTAGTTCACCTGGATTTCTCTAGCACACACAGGCACCACTGGTACATACCAATAGGTACTAATAAATATTTGAATGCTCTGGGTATGGGCTCATACCTGTAATCACAGCACTTTGGGAGGCCAAGGCAGAAAGAGAGCTTGAGACCAGGAGTTCAAGGCCAGCCTGGGCAGCATAGTGAGACCTTAGGTCTACAAAAAAATTTTCCAACATAGCCAGGCGTGGTCATGTGTCTGTAGTCCCAGCTATTTGGGAGATTGCTTGAGCCCAGGAGGTCAAGGCTGCAGTGAGCCGTGACTGCACCATTTGTACTCCAGTCTGGGCAGCAGAGTGAGACCCTGTCTCAAAAAAATGAATGAATGAATAAATAAATGTTTGAATAAGTGGATGAATGAGTTGCTTGGAAAACTGAGGTACGTGCATAATTGAAAAGGAAATATTAGCATATGCAAGATACTTTAAGAATGAAACATAGCCGGGCACGGTGGCTCATGCCTGTAATCCCAGCACTTTGGGAGGCCAAGGCAGGCGGATTACCTGAGGTCAGGAGTCCGAGACCAGCCTGGCCAACATGGTGAAACCTCGTCTCTACTAAAAATACAAAAATTAGCCAGGTGTGGTGGCGCATGCCTATAATCCCAGCTACTTGGGAGGCTGAGGCAGGAGAGTCGCTTGAACCCAGGAGGCGGAGGTTGCAGTGAGCCAAGATCGCGCCATTGCACTCCAGCCTGGGGGACAAGAGCGAGACTTTGTATCAAAAAAAAAAAAAAGATTAAGAAAAATCTCTTTTCTGTGTCTTGTTAAAAGGTTGGGAGTTGATGGAAAGGATGGAGAACCATCAAGCAAGTCACTCATTTCTGCCTTTGTCCTCGGTTCTTTGCAGCCGGAGAGAGTTAGCAAAACCTCTCCCTTAGCAGGCTCTTACAGTCTACCCGTCCCATGAGTCTCCTTCAGGGGTTAGAAGTGAAGTTAACCATAGAAAATCTCAATCAAGACCCACATTGCTCTCAGGGTTAAGACCCCCCCAGTCCTCATGTAGCTATAAGTACCTGGGTGACACTCATAGGTATGTCCCAGGTTGCCTGGGTTTCTAGTCCTGTTTACTCTTTCTGGTGTCTTTTCATGCAAAATTCTCTAAAGCACATAGACTCAGAACAGTGGTTCTCAATCTTCTCTAATTGCTCCTATTCTTTTTTTTTTTTTAAACTTCTAAGTTCAGCAATACATGTGCAGGTTTGTTAAATAGGTAAACTCATGTCATGGGGGTTTGTAGTACAGATTATTTTGTCACCCAGGTGTTAAGTCTAGTACCCATTAGTTATGTTTCCTGCTCCTCTCCCTCCTCCTATCCTGCACCCTCGGGTGGAGGCCTCAGGTATCTGTTGTTTCCATCTTTGTGTCCATAAATTCTCATCATTTAGCTCCCACTTATAAGTGAGAACATGTGGTATTTGGTTTCTGTTCCTGACTTAGTTTGCTAAGGATAATGGCTTCCAGCTCCATCCATATTCCCTCAAGGGACATGATCTCGTTCTTTTTTGTGGCTGTATAGTATTCCATGGTGTATATGTACCACATTTTCTTTATCCAGTCTACCATTGATGGGCGTTTGGGTTGATTTCATGTCTTTGCTGTTGTGAACAGTGCTGCAATGAACATACATGTACATGTGTCTTTGTGATGGAATGATTTATATTCCTCTGGGTATATACCCAGTAACTGGATTGCTGGGTGACATGGTATTGTAAGGTGGGCAGAAGACTCTAATGACCACTTTCCCCACCTGCTCTTTCTCTCTGATGGAAAAAGAGCTCAGCCACAACAACAAAATTCGAGAACAACAAACTTGATGCTAGCAACACTCATAAAGCTTATAACTGAGAAATATGAACTTCCAACTCAGTACTTTATATTGTGAAACACTGCCTCCAAAACACTATTATCCAAATAACTTCAGTTTCTTACCTTGATGGTATATTGCAAAGTATTTAAACAGCAATACCAGGCAAGCAAATTTGAAGGTGGTGGGATTTGCTTTAACATATTTGAAGTCTGATGCATAGAAAGTATTTTTAAAATCCTGTTACAGTAAAACTAGTAGCCACCAATTTCATTCATGAAAGTATGTCATTATATACTTAGAGTGAACCATGCAACCTGCAATAAACTTGCTTGAAAATTACCTAAGTAAATTAGTTGTAATTTCTCCTTTAAGAGGGGGAGTAGAATTCTAGTTCTCTGTGTTCTCTTGTGCCCAGTAGGACCTTTCCAGTGTTGCTTAGCATTGAATGATGTTCAGATTACCTAATGAGAAATGGAATTAGAGTTTTTAGGGATCTCTAGAAATGGCTGGTTTTAGTTTATAAATTCCAGGCCGGGCACGGTGGCGCACGCCTGTAATCCCGGCACTTTGGGAAGCTGAGGAAGGCGGATCGCTTGAGGCCAGGAGTTCAAGAACAGCCTGGCCAACATGGTGAGACCTCGTCTCTACTAAAAATACAAAAACTAGCCGGGTGTGGTGGTGCGTGCCTGTAATCCCAGTTACTCGGAAGGCTGAGATACGAGAATTGCTTGAACCTGGGAGGCTGAGGTTGCAGTGAATGGAAATCACGCCACTGCACTCCAGCCTGGGTAACAGAATGAGACTCTGTCTCAAAAAAAACAAAAAAAAATTCCAAACGTTAATAACTTATAATAACCCACTTAGGTACTTGTACATAGCCCCTAGTCTTAGGTAATAACAGAAATCTATGAAATGGCATCGTTTACTCACAAAGATCAAAGAAAGACCTCAAATTTTAAAGTCAGTTTGATCAAGGCCTACACTTTGGGACCCTGTTGTGGAGGAATAAGGAGCACCTCGCTGGACTGAATAAATCCAGCTTCCATGATCCTGTGTTGCCCCCAAACAGGGAAAAGGACAGATCAGCTTGGTTTCATGGTTGCTTTCTCTTGTGCCAGGCAAGGTCTTCTGGAAACAACCATAATGACTTCTGCTGGTTGGAGACAAGGTGCCATAAAAAATTCAGTTGTTCCTTAGACCCAAGTAGAAGAGTCCTTGAATCCTAATAAAAGGCCACTTTTTTAAGTTTTTCTACTCTAGGCCGGGTGCAGTGGCTCATGCCTGTAATCCCAGAACTTTGGGATGCTGAGGTGGGTGGATCACAAGGTCAGGAGTTCAAGACCAGCCTGACCAATATGGTGAAACCCCATCTCTACTAAAAATACAAAAATTAGCTGGGTGTGATGGCATGCACCTGTAGTCCCAGTTAATCGGGAGGCTGAAGCAGGAAAATTCTTGAACCAGGGAGGCGGAGGTTGCAGTGAGCCAAGATCGTGCCACTGCACTCCAGCCTAGGTGACAGAGTGAGACTCCATCTTGAAAAAAAGTTACTCTATTCTAAATGAAGACCAATATTTCATAGACATAGGACAAGGGGTTGGGAGAGGGAAATTGATTATCTTTAAAAAAGAAACTGAAAAGGACTTAAAGTTCGCAGTGTTGCACTGATTTTTAGTTGAGCAAATAATGAGTCAAGTCGTGTTGGTTTTGTGCACATGTGTGGTTTTTCCAAAAAAATTGTATGGGCCGGGCACGGTGGCTCACGCCTGTAATCCCAACACTTTGGGAGGCCGAGGCGGGTGGATCACGAGGTCAGGAAATCGAGACCACCCTGGCTAATACGGTGAAACCCCGTCTCTACTAAAAATCCAAAAAAATTAGCCAGACTTGATGGTGGGCACCTGCAGTCCCACCTACTCAGGCGGCTGAGGCAGGAGAATCACTTGAACCTGGGAGGTGGAGGTTGCAGTGAGCCGAGATCACGCCACTGCACTCCAGCCTGGGTGACAGTGAGACCCTGTCTCAAAAAAAAAATTGTGTGGAAGCACAATGTGACATGCCATAAACTCCAATTTGAACATTCACAGCTTACTCCTAAATGAGTCATCTTATTAACAAGTGTATTTAAGGGCTAAGGGTCTCTCTTCATCCTTTAACAGGTCTATCTCTTTTGAAAGGCTTCTTCCTTCATTCATTGCCCCTTTTTCAATACTGGCCTCCTTATTTGGCAATGGAGTTGTGAGTCAAACAGTTCTCCACTGCTTTCAGTGACTTCATGAAGTTTTCTATTTTTTTTCTGCATGGATGTTTATCTTACTTTGCATTTTGATACATTGCATATTGTTGGATGATAGCACCCTCTAACCATCAAAGAGAGAACACTTTGCCTAGATGGGCAGGGCAAAGTTGGGGTAGGAGGTGGTCAGTATTTGAGCAAGGGCCAAATTTATTAAACAACTGACTCATAAATATCTACATGATTTTTGCTGTCTTTTGCAACTTGAATCTTCAGGAACGCAGATAAAGAACAGTTGGATAACGATGATCCCTGTAGAGCTAATAGTAACACACCTTAAGTGTATATAGTGATCTACGTTTTTCTTTCTTTCTTTCTTTCTTTCTTTCTTTTTTTTTGAGACAGAGTCTTGCTCTGTTGCCTAGGCTGGAGTGCAGTGGCGTGATCTCAGGTCACTACAACCTCTGCCTCCCTGATCCAAGCGATTCTCCAGTCTCAGCCTCCCGAGTAGCTGGGATTACAGGTGTATGCCGCCATGCCCGGCTAATTTTTGTATTTTTAGTAGAGACAGGGTTTTACCATGTTGGCCAGGCTGGTCTCGAACTCCTGACCTCAGGGTGATCTGCTCGCCTTGGCTTCCCAAAGTGCTGGGATTACAGGCATGAACCACCGCGCCCGACCCTATCTACATTTTTCAAAGTATTTTTCCATAGACTTTTTTTCCCTTCCAACTTTTATTTTAACTTTAGGGGTACACGTGCAGGATGTGCAGGTTTGTTACACAGGTAAACGTGTGCCATGGTGGTTTGCTGCCCAGGTCATCCCATCACCTAGATGTTAAGCCCAGCATCCATTCTCTGTCTTTCCTGATGCTCTCCCTCCTCCCACCCCGCCCCATAGATTTCTACTTGAACTCTTAAAGTGGGTGGAGTAGATGTAGGAACCTGTATTTCAGAGAGATCCTGCAATATGGGTCTCCAAGTGCCCAGTATTTTCAATGCATACTCATTAGGGACAAATCTTAGACATGAGATTAAGCCGAGGGGTACCAAATACATTTCTTTCAGATCTAGGAGGGATGAGGTACCATCCAAGGTCACCTCTGATCCTTCTGACTGGGCTGAAGTCAGGCCTCTGAAGACAGAAGGAGAAGGATCCTTAGGCGGAAGCTGTTTGCTTTCTAGACTTCATAAACTTGTCTTCTAGGATGACGTGAGGCAATGAGTATACTCATGTGATGGGGATTTCCTGGGGGGAGCAGGCATGCCTTCCTCTGACGTGTCATTGACTCCCTGCACGCTCAGTTACTGATCAATCAGCGGATCACTCCAGCTTCCTGGCAGCTGCCCTTTCATGGGGTGAGGGAGTGTGGGTCAGAGTGTAAGCTGGGATGATGTGTTGGCTTGAAAAGCTTTACCTGCCATCACAGGCGCTTAGGAAATGCCTGGTTGCTGCAGTTGTATCCCAAAGTCTTTAATTTAGACAATTTTAGTTTAGCCAGTCTAGAGAATACTTCCTTTATGAGCATTAGGGCCTGCAAAACACCCCAAATACATGGGAAACCTGAAATAATAATGATTTGTGGCTCCCAGCATGCTCCCTCGGGGGCCTGGTGTCCTGGAGGCTGGTCTGACTTGCCCGGAGGTCACTGGTGTGTGGCTCAGCTGCAGCGGCAGCGTAGTGGGTGTCCAGGGGAGTGGACAAGCAATTCTCCTGTCATTTGCAACTTTCTTCAGGAACTCAGATAAAGAACACTTGGATAACGATGATCCCTGTAGAGGGATTTCATCTGTACCATCACACATGGAAGAGGAGTTGCTAGGTCAGGAAAGGCAGCTGCTAAGCTAAGGTTCTTGTCCCTTTGTCCTTGCATGCCTAAGGAGGGGCTGTCCAGGACAAGGTAACTTTGTAGATCCTCACCTCCTTCCTAAAAAAACTTGCCATGGGGTTGCAATGTGCCATGTCCATCAGTGCTCCAGCAGACACCAGGAGAGGAAGAGGGGACCCCTAGGAGGTGGCTGCTGCTTCTCCTGTCCAAGATGCAAGTCCTGTCCAGGTGAAATAGGGCAGGCGAGGCCCTGGCTGCACTGCCAGACAGTATCCCATAGGCAGACAGAGCCTCAGGCCAGCACCTCGCCTTCCAGCCAGCATGGCTGTGACTCCCTAAGCAGCCTGATCCAGGATTGCTGTTACCTCTGGAGTGTCTTGCTAGCAGAGGTGACCTTCCCGGGGAAAGTAAGGGAATTTTAAATGCTCCTTCTATCTAGGTTTCTCTTGTTTAGAAAACAAGGAAGTACATGTGGGTGACACAGGTGTGCTCAACAAACAGGTTTAAGAAGGGTCTTTAGTGGGAAGAATGGAAAAAGGAGTGGGAAACTCTTACTTCCTCCACCACTCTTGATCTCACCCACAAAGGTGAGTTCACCTTGCACCCTGAGTGGGTTGGAGCTGATCCCAGCCAATCAGCCGATGGCATGTTGCTACCTCATAGCCAGGAAAAGCCCATCTCAGCAGTAAGACCTAGGGCCTTCCACATCAGACCTTCTCTACGGCAGTGGCTGGTCTGACTTGGGAAAATGGAGGAAGATAGATGTGTCATGAATGAAACGTGTGTAGTATGTTGGTGCACATTTAAAGACATTGAAGACTGACATCGAAGTTCCCTTATAGAAATAAATGAATCCTGGAGTTCTAATTGCTGGTCCCACCTAAGTATCTTCTCCTTCAGGATAAGAGTATAAAGAATGTCCCAGACTAGATGTCATGAGTCTAGACCCGTGTTAAGGGAGAACCTGCCAGGTGCAACAGAGTGGGACGTGACCTGATAAGGCAGGGGACCAAGGTGACTCATGAACTTTAGTGCAGAGCCAGGCAGCCATGATGAGAGCATAGTTTGTAGGCAGCTACCTGGCTTTGAGCCTTGCATGCAGCCAAGATCCCAAGGCCTTCAGGAGGATTCCCCTGGAATGTTCTAGATACAGGAAGCGGTACCTGCTGAAAGGGCTGGGAAGGAGATTTTTCCTGGACTGTTTCAAATCCACTGTGTCCTAGACACTTGCATTTTTTTAAATTATTTTTTAATATTTTGTAGAGATGGGGTTCTTGCTCTGTGGCCCAGGCTAGTCTCGAGCTCCTGGCCTCAAGTGATCTGCACACCTCAGCCTCCCAAAGTGCTGGGATTACAGGTGTGAGCCACCGTCCTGGCCTAGAAACTCTCATTCTAATCGACATTAATTAATACTCTCTAATGGCATTTCGTTAGGATTGATGTCAAAGTTTTATCACATTCTGCAGTATTCTGTTTGTTCAGGGAATGGATAGGATAGTTGAATAAAATTAGAGTAGATTTTTTCTATCATAATAATTACATATTAATATAGTTCATAAAAATTTAAATAGTTAAGACGAACGTGCAAAAAAGAATTGTTTCCAGCCGGGCACGGTGGCTCATGACTGTAATCCCAGCATTTTAGGAGGCCGAGGCAGGCGGATCACGAGGTCAGGAGTTCGAGACCAGTCTGGCCAACATAGTGAAACCCTGACTCTACTAAAAATACAAAAAATTAGCCGGGTGTGGTGGTGTGCGCCTATAATCCCAGCTACTCAGGAGGCTGAGGCAGGAGAATTGCTTGAACCCAGGAGGCGGAGGTTGCAATGAGCCAAGATCACACCATTGCACTCCAGCCCGGGCGACAGTCCGAGACTCCGTCTCAAAAAAAAAAAAAAAAAAAAAGAATTGTTTCCCTCTCACTCTAGTCCCTCTATAAATACCATCATTTTTTGTGTAATCTCACAGAGATTCTACCCATATACATGCGTATATATATATTTAAAGACAGGCTCTCACTCTATCACCCAGACTGGAGTATAGTGGTGCTATCTCAGCTCACTGCAGCCTTGACCTCCCCGGCTCAGGTGATCCTCCCACCTTAGCCTCCCAAATAGCTGGGACTACAGGCACAAGCCACCACTCCCAGCTAGTCTTTGTATTTTTTTTGTAGAGACAGGGTTTTGCCATGTTGCCCAGGCTGGTCTCAAACTCCTGGGCTGAAACAATCCACCCACCTCAGCCTCCCAAAGTGCCAGGATTACAGGCATGTGCCACGACGCCCAGCCACACATATAGTATTATCTTTTTATTTCTCACATAAAGGAATCATATGAGGCAGACTGCTTGACAACTTGCTGTCTTTTTCACCCAATGACATATTTTGTACCTCTTTCCATATCAGCAATATAATTTTACTCCATTCTTTTTAACAGCTGTTCCTATTGATGCTTTTATCTATTACGTCAGTGTCACAAGAAGCATTCTTACACAATCCCTTTGCATATATATGCAAATCAACCATAATACAGAGTCCTGGATTTGGAATTTCTGGATCCAAATAATACACATCTTATATTTTAATAGATAGTGCCAAATTGCCCCCAAAACAGTTGTACCAATTTTAACTCCCTCCAAAAACGTGTGAGAATGCCTGTTTCTCCACACTTTCACCAATTCTGTGTGTTAGCAGTCTTTTCAATCATTGTCAATGGATGAAAAAATTGCTCCCTGTTTAAATTCTTATTTATATGAAGGATAAGGGAGGTTCTGAGTCTTTCCATGTTTCTGAACTTTTTGCACGTTTTTAGTAAACTGCCTTTTCATGTCCTTTATCCATCTTTCTATTGATAGTTGTCTTTTTCTTACTGATTTATAATCTCTCCTTAGAGGTAAAGGGTATTAGCCTGTTTTTTGGCATCTGTGTTACTATTTTTCTTCCACTTTTCATTTGCCTTTTGCCTTGCTTAATGTTTTTTTTTTCAACGCAAAACCTTTAAATTTCCTTGTAGTAAAAGACACCGGTTTTATTCTTAGAAGGTTCTGCCCCTACTTTAAGATTTTATACATAAAAACAAAATATTTCAGTTTCCTACTAATAATTGTATGCTTAGTGTTTTTCTTGTGTTTGTTTTTGCTTAAATATTTTGCTTCCCTGGAATTTTTTTTGGAGGGATGGGGTGTAAGGAAAAAAATAGGTATTATTTTAGGTTTATATTTTTCCAAATTACTAACCAGTTTTCCCAGTAGATTTATTGAATGATCTATCTTTTTCCACTGATTTTTTTTAAAAAACCTACTCTTTTCACATATCAGTCATTTACATATATAGTTATTTAGGTCTGTTTTTGGACTATATTCTATACCAATGAAATCACTACTGTTTTATTAGGTTTTAGCCATTTGCGTTTTTCCTCCTTGCATTCCCTTGCAGCCAAGACTCTGCTCCGCTAGAGAAAGAAAAGGAACAGGAGGTGGGAGTGATTCTGGAGCCTGTCACCAGCCTTGGCGAACACAGTCAAGTTTGACTTTCAAAGGCTAGGGCTGCCGGGCTTGCCCTGGGCCCTGAGGTCATGTGGCTGGAGCAGATAAGAAGCCACTTTGGAGAAACCCTTGCAAGCGGCAGCCCCCAGCAGCATGTGTGTGGCCCACAGTGGTTGTCCGTCCAAGCAGTGATGGAATAGTAGTGATTTCAGCCAGGGGATGCGGGCATGGGGAGGGGTGTGGAAGGAGCAGGTAGCTGCAGCTTGTCCTGGAACTCAGCATTCAGGTGGGTCCTGCTTATTCTTCCTGCTTTGTGTTCACAGCCTGTGGTTAGAGGGGAGGCCTGCAGGCCAGATTCCACGTGTGCGTGGATGACCAAGGCTAGGACGGCAGAGGGGCAGCCATGATTGCTAGGGGGAACATGGCACCTCTACTGGAAAGCCACTTGAATCTCAAACTTTACTCTCCCTCTGGCCGAGGGAACTGGACATGTATTCCGCATCTCCTCCTCGTTCCTTTCATCAGAATTGCATGAGGAGCATATTAAAATAGATTCCTGGGACTTTCTGGGGAGATGGAACTGGTCTGTATCTTGATTTGGGCATTGGCTGTAAGGAGGCATATCGTTGTCAGACTATACCCTTACGGTTGATTTTTTTTTAACTATATGAAAATTACGCTTAGTAGGGGGAAAAGAGAGCCAAATAAATTTAACACCAGCTTTATAGTCACTCCTAAGCAGGTGACCTCACATTTGCAAGAGTTAGTGCTGGTATACACAAGCCTTATAAAGACTGCTTTGGAAAGAAAAAGTAGAATGTGAATGGTGAAATCCAGGTTAGAGGGGATGCAGGTGCTCCTGGTGAGATTCTCCCAGTTTGCTGTATGTTTGAAATTTTCCTAACAAAATGTTGGACAAAATACTAAGTAGTTACCCTGTGGAAATCATTCACAGACGTGTTCTTAAAGAATGAGTAGAAAAATAAAATAACAGCACATGAATGGTTATATGCAGCAAAGGATCACATTTCCAGTGATATTATGTTGGCCATCACAAAGCACCGTACACAGGATGGCTTAAAACAACAGAAATGCACTTTGGGAGGCCGAGGCGGGTGGATCACCTGAGGTCGGGAGTTTGAGACCAGTCTGACCAACATGGCGAAACCCCGTCTCTACTAAAAATACAAAAATTAGCTGGGTGTGGTAGCACATGCGTGTAGTCCCAGCTACTCTGGAGGCTGAAGTGGGAGAATCACTTAAATCTGTGAGGTGGAGGTTGCAGTGAGCCGAGATGGCATCACTGCATTCCAGCCTGGGTGACAGAGCAAGACTCCATCCCCACCCACCAACACCCCCCAGCCCTGCCAAAAAAAAAAACACAAATGTATTCTCTCACACTTCTAGAGGCTGGACAGCGGACATCAAGATTTCAACAGGGTTGGTTCCCTCTAGAGGCTGCGAGGAAGAATCCACTTCAAGCCCCTCTCCGGGCTTCTAGGGGGGCTGCTGTCCTTTGGTGTTTCTTGGCTTGTAGTTGTATCGCTTCCATCTCTGCCTCCATCTTTATGGGTGTTCTTCCCATACGGGTGGCTCTATGTCAATGTCTCCTCAGTCCCCTCTTAGGAGGATGCTAGTCATACTGAAGTTAGAACCCACCCTAATCTAGCATGACCTCATCTTACATTGATTACATCAAAGATCCTATTTCTGACCAGGGGTGGTGGCTCAGGCATGTAATCCCAGCACTTTGGGAGGCCGAGGCAGGAGGGTCACTTGAGCCCAGAAGTTTGAGACCAACCTGGGCAACATAGGGAGACCCTGTCTCTATAAAAAATACAAAAATTACCCGGATGTGGTGGCGTGCACCTGTAGTCTCAGCTACTCAGGAGGCTAAGGTGGGAGGATCACTTGAGCCCAGGAGTCAGAGGTCTCAGTGAGCTGAGATCACGTCAATGCATTCCAGCCTGTGTGACAGAGCCAGACCCTGTCTCAAAAATAAATAAATAAATAAAAATCCTGTTTCCAAATAAAGTCACATTCACAAGCTCTGGGCGGACATGAGTTGGCAGGGGGAATTGGAGGAGGAACACTATTCCTCCCAGTAAATTTTTTTTGTTTTTTGTTTTTTGTTTTTTGTTCTTGAGATGGAGTCTTGCTCTGTCACCTAGGCTGGAGTGCAGTGGCCCAATCTTGGCTCACTGCAACCTCCACCTCCCAGGCTCAAGTAGTTCTCCTGCCTCAGCCTCCCACATAGCTGGGACTACAGGCACGTGCCACCACACCTGGCTAATTTTTGTATTTTTAGTAGAGACAGGGTTTTGCCATATTGGCCAGTCTGGTCTTGAACTCCCGACCTCAAGTGATCCACTCACCTTGGCCTCCCAAAGTGCTGCAATTACAGGCGTGAGCCACTGTGCCTGGCCCCAATACAGTTATTATTAAACAACTTCTGCCACTCAAACAACCTAGATGAAAGTGAATATGAATGCTCATTGGAGAACTATGGTCTATTGAAGAAAAATGACTCCAAGACAGAGAGTTCAATGTCGAAGACTCATGTGAAAAGTTTGATGCTTCACTTGAGTGAAAAAAATCCGTGTGTAACTAAAGAATTAATGTGCGTAGATTATATTTTTAAAAGATTATAAGGCCACCCTCCAAACCTACAAAATGTAAATCTCTGGAGTCAAGACCTCAGAAATCTGTATTTTTTGTAAATACCCTTTGTGACTCCGGAGCACCATGAAGTTTGTTGTAACCCATTGTCCTAGAAGGATAAGGACAGAAGAAAAATGGAGATGGGGAAATTGGAGGTGCTGGGTGTGGCTTGGCAGGCAGTGCTTATGGGGTTATTTATTTATTTTGAGCTGGAGTCTCGCTCTGTCACCCAGGCTGGAGTACAGAGGTGCAATCTTAGCTCACTGCAACCTCCAACTCCTGGGTTCAAGCGATTCTCCCACCTCAGCCTCCCAAGTAGCTGGAATTATTACAGGTGCGTGCCACCACACCCAGCTATTTTTAGTAGAGACGGGGTTCACTATGTTGGCCAGGCTGGTCTTAAACTCCTGACCTCATGATCCATCCGCCTCGGACTCCCAAAGTGCTGGGAGGCATGAGCCACCTCGCCCTGCTGTTCGTGGGGTTATTAAAGAAGCCACATCCTCAAGCTCTTGTCGTGGTGCGTAGCGTTTGGTGCGGAGCAGTTGAGCTGTGGACACTGACCGGGCAGCCCATGCTCTTGCCCTCTGAGACAGAGGAGGGAGTCTAGGATCTGGAGCCTAAGACTGTGCTCTAGTTCTGGCTCTGTATCTAACTGGCGGTGTGACTTTGGGCAAGTTAATCAACCTCTCTGAGCAGTGTGTTCCTCACGCCCTGCCTCCCCTGCAGGATTCTGTGTGGCTACAGTGAGATAATATGAGAGCTGTGGAACAGGACGCAGGGATCACACCCACACAGGAGGGCAAGGAGTCCCTTCAGCTCCAGCTTCTGCTAACCAGGGGTGGGTCTCTGCTAGGTGGTGAGGGACGGGTGTTTTCAGAACCTGAGCTGCTGTGTGCTTGGACCCTCCTGGGCAGGACTGTGCACCCCTGGAGGAGCCGGAGAATGTGACATTCTGGTCTCTCTGAGTCATCCCTCCAGGCCTGGCCAGGGAGATCTGCGATGGCCTCCCGCCTTCACTCCATCTTCACCTGGACAGGTGCAGCACTATACCCAGGACACTTACCCTGGTCAGGGAAGGACAGTCCCCAAAGGTGAGGCTGGCCAAGGCCCCAGTTTGTCTTGGGGGCTCACGGGGCTGCCTCCTGCTCCCCACCATCCCTTCCTCCATTCAGCCGCAAATATGCTAATATTTCCTCTGTGCCAGGCACCCTGCTTGGTGCTGGGGACAAAAAGACACCTGGCTGAGACACTCATGGGGATTACCTCAGAGGAGTGAGACAGACATGATAATTACAGGTGGCAGCAAGTGATGCAATAGAATAGAAACATTCTGTATGGACCAATACCCTGGGTCAGAAACATTCCAGGCAGAGGGAACAGCAGGTGCAAAGGCCCTGAGGCATGACAGGACCGAGAGGAGACTCTGGCATTGCTGGAGCATGGGGAGGGATGGAGTCTGGTGGGGGCTGAAGTGGAAGGAGGTGGGCAAGAGCCCTACTTGGTGGGGCTCATGGGTCATGGCCAGGGATTTAGATTTTATGCTGAGAACCAAGGGCGGCCACTGGAGGATTTTAAGCAGAAGACTGACAGATTTTCTCTACATTTGATCAGTTAGCTCTGGCTGCCATGTGGAGGGCAGATTGGGCTTGGGGGGAGTCAAGAGTGGAAGCAGCAAGAGAGTTAAGAGGCCATTGCTATTGTCCAGGTGGCAGATGGGGGTGGCCTGGATTGGTGACTGTGAGGATGGAGAGAATTTGAAATTGTCGTGGACATGGAACCATTAGAACTTGCTGATGCATTGGATGTCAGCAGCGAGGGAAAGGAAGAAGTTGAGGATGACACCAAGGTTTTGGCTTGAGCAACTGGGCGATTTGATTTATGGAAATGATTAATACTGGGGTGGGTGTCCATGTTTGGGATAGGACTATCAAAGCTCACCGGGGCCAGGTTTGAGATGCCAGGGAAACATCAGTAGAGATTTTGAATACTGATTGAATATGTGAGTCCAGAGCTGAGCTGTCCAAGGTGGGAACCACCAGCCATATTAGACAGCACACATATAGAACATTTCCATCACTGGACAAAATCCTGCCGGGTGGCACTGGTCTAGAGCTGTGTCCCAGCCCAGCACCATAGGCATTTCTCTCTGGGATAATGGCACCCAATCTGATGGTGCTGTCTACGAAGCTGCTGTCCGTGTGTCATTTGCAAATGGCTCTTTCTTGCCCTCTCTGCTTGATCACACCAGAATGTGTATTCAGTGCTGTCCCTTACCTGTGGCCATGTCAGGCAGGCACTGACCTCCCAGAAAGACAATTTACCCTGTGGTCATTTAAGGAAGTCACTTCCTGGGGCTGAAGCATCATTATGGTGACGAGTGTAACACATAGAATGGAGGCTATACCCACCAGGCGTCACCAGTTGTCATGAATTCTAGGACTCACTGCGTAGACTTTGCTAATTGAAGAAATGTGTGATGGGGCCAGGCGCAGTGGCTCAAAGTTATAAACCCAGCACTTTGGGAGGCCAAGGCGGGTGGGTCGCCTGAGGTCAGGAGTTCAAGACCAGCCTGGGCAACATAGTGAAATCCCATCTCTACTAAAAATACAAAAAATTAGTCAGGCATGGTGGTGCATGCCTATAATCCCAGCTACTCGGGAGGCTGAGGCAGGAGGATCGCTTGAACCCGGGAGGCAGAGGTTGCAGTGAGCCGAGATTGAGCCACTACACTCTGGCCTGGGTGACAGAGCGAGACTCTGTCTCAAAAAACAAACAAAAAGAAATGTACAGTGGGACCAGGCACAGTAGCTCATGCCTGTAATCCCAGAAGTTTGGGAGGCTGAGGTAGAAGGATCCCCTGAGGCCAGGAGTTTGAGACCAGCCTGGGCAAGATAGCATGACCTCATCTCTAAAAAAAAATAAACAGATTAGCCGGCCATTGTGGCATGTGCCTATAGTCCTAACTACTCAGGAGGCTGAGGTAGAAGGATTGCTTGAGCCCAGGAACTCGAGGCTGAGGTTGCAGTGAGCCATGATTGCACCACTGCACTCCAGCCTGCTGACAGAGCGAGACCCTGTCTCTTAAACACACACACACACACACACACACACACAGTGAAAAAAAAGAGGACATAGGCCTGAATCCAATGGACTTGTCTTCTAGAACACACCATGCCACCTGAGACAAGTCAGCCAATCTTTCTAAGCATAAACATCCTTAACTGCACAGGGAGGAGATTGCATGGCCAGGCATGGGGAGAGGGAATTGCTTGAATCAGCAAAAAGAAGTAGGAGGTATGAGGGAGGGTGTTGTTGTTGTTGCTGCTCTTGTTGTTTGGGTTTTTTAAATAAAACAGTTCAGTGACTATTATTGTTTTTCGTAGTATAATCATTTGCCATTTTGTAAACAGTGGCAAGAACAATATTTTTCTTTCTTAAATTATTAGATAATAAAAGACGCATTTCAAAATATTGTTTCTGGAATAATGGCATATGAGGTTGTTTGTAAATCAATAGTCTTGATTCTCCTTTTAAAAATAGCAAAATACAGGATAATTCTTAGATTGGAGTGTTGTGCAATAGATCTGAAATTTGTTTTATTATACTAGTTGGGTCAGTGAGGAGATAATATATTTTAGGTGTCGTACGTGTATTTTCCTTGTGGAATGCACATCCTGTAAACCTACTTGAGGTGGCTTGAGGTCTCAGTCTTGAGAGACTACGGTCCAGAAGTGGTCTCAGCAAGTCTGCAAAAGGACATGTTTTAAGGAACTCATGTCCTGTGAGCTGTTGATGCTGCTCATTGGAGTTGAAACTCAGATCCTCCCATTTTACCCGTGCAGCAAGAGGCAGGATTTTGTAAGGAAAGACCCAGAAGGGAAGCCTCCAAAAGCCCCTCTTGTTTACCCTGACAAGCTCTGGCCGCGTCCCTTCCAGCTGTGCTCCCAGCACGGAGACTTTCCCTGGGGGCCTCTCCAGATCCCCAAGTCCAGCATTCACTGGAAAAACCCACGTGTCTCCCTGACTCAGTGCATTCTTGGAAACTTTGCCCTAATCCGAGGTTAGAGGCTGGAGGGCTAAGGATCCCGGTGGCTGCCAACAGTCAGTGGCAACATTTGGTAAAGAATGGAGTTAGTGGCTTGAAAACCCACAGGGGGTATCCTAGCGAGTGGTAATTTCATTTTTTCAAACCACTGGCCCCTTTTCCTACGTCCTGGGTTGCCTGCCCACCTGTGCTGGCTTAGGCTTCCGGTGTCGAGGTTGCTGGCAATGGCATCAGAGGGAGTTCACTTCACGAGCAGAAGCAATGCTGGGTCCGTGGTGAATAGAGTCAACGCCCCAGGGCCCAAGACTGTCTTTTTGTTCTCCACACACCTGAGCTGGAGAGTTGGTCACAGCTCAGGCACAGGTTTCCTGCTGGTTTTCTTTCCTCCTTTCCTCTTGCTCCCGTGAATACCAGGACGGTGGCCTGCAGGGCCCATCGCCTTGCAATGACTGCGGGGAGGGCGAGGGGTGGGTGGGCTTCGGGGGTTCTGAGGCTTCTCACTTGCCAGATATGGTTTCTTAGGCCACCACAGGCATCCAGAGCTCAGCTCCTGGCCGGTCCTGACTCCTGGATTGGATCTAGAAAGGCAGAGGGCAGCTTATTAAAGATGGAAGCAAGCGGATCCGCTGCCTTCATTTCAGCCGAAAGCTTTTACCAAAAACAACCAGCTCGAAGGGGACTGCTCCCTGGGGGCCGCAGAGGTGGGCTTGTTAATGCAAAAGGCTCCTCCCCAAGAAAGGCTCTTGCTGCAGATACAGATAACGGCTTGGAACAGCCTTGGCACCATCATCTCCCTCTGGGGCCTGCCCCTTCCTAGCTGCCAGGGGCCATGTGCCACCCAGGGGCGCTGCGACACCTGGACCCCCCACCTTCCCCCTGGGCCTCCATGGGGTGGGGGCAGCTGGACCCAAGGCCCGAGGCAACCATTCCCTTTCAGAAAAAGGGTTTTCAGGCAAAATCCAGGCTATGGGATAAAAGGCCATCTGTCCGTCCCGCGGTGCCCAGCCCCAGCTTTCCCGAACAACATGCCTTTATGCCGGCGCCCCCGCCCCCAGCCCCCGCCCGCCGCACACTGCCTCCTTTCACGCGGCCTCTATGGTGGACTTGTTTGTTTGTGGTGCAGAGCGCAGACTTTCTGTTGTTCTTCTCTGTTCTCTCCCCCGTGCGCCGTCCAAGCAAACCCTCTCTAGGGAGGACAGGGTCTGGGACCCTGGAGGAAGCTGGGGGCTTGGGGACCTCCCAGAGAGTCCTCCACGAGGGGAGAAAGGAGGCTACTGTGAGGAACCTTCCCGGGAACAGCCCTCGGAGTGGGCTGCTGTGTGCTCCCCCCGCCCGTCCAGCAATCACTTGAGAGATCTTGAATAAGTCATTCGGGCCGCCTGTGCCTCAGTTTCCCCCGTGTGTGGAATGCCTCCTGCCAGTCTCTCAGGGAGAGTTGTGTCCGCCCCAGTGAGACGCCGCCACATGTGCGCCTCGGTGAAGGTGCTTGTGGTGGAGATGGCAGGGCTGTTCCAGCTGCCACGTGGGGGGTGGGGGAAGTGCAGAATAGAACAAGGTTTGCACTAAAGAGGGCGGCGTTTGCTTCACTGCTCCACGCGCAGCGTTTCCATGTAGCGAAAACTGCGAAGTGACCTCTCAGGCCCTAAAGAAGGGGAACAAGGCCGCCCCTGGCTGCAGATGGGCAGCAGTGGGCTAGGAACGGACCTATTTGAATGCCTGTCCTATTTGAATGCCTGTCCCCCCGGGGCCATCTGTGTGGCCTGCCCCTGCGGGCTGGGTGGCAAGGCTGTGCTGACTGAAAGAGCCTGGTTTCTGCCGCGTCCTCAGCATAGGATGAGGGGCAGACTCCTGGCTCCACGGCTCCTCGGATGCCTCCCTCGGTTGTCCCCTCTTCTGGTTGGATTCCCTCTCCTTTGGTGGCGGTCTTGATCCCAGATGAAACTGATTAGCTGATTCAGGCCTTGTTACAGGTTTTCTAGGCTGCTGTAACAAACTGTCACAAAGTGGGTGGTTGAACAACAGAAATGTATTGTCTCGCAGCTCTGGAGGCCAGAAGTCTGAGAGCAAGGTGTTGGCAGGGTTGGTTCCTTCTGAGGACATTGAGGGGCAGTCCTTCCAGCCCTCCCCTGAGCTGCTGGGGGCTGCCAGCTGCTCTTGACCATCCTTGGCTTGGAGAGGCATTGCTCCCATCTCTCCTTCCATCTTCACACGTGTGTGTCTGTGTCCAAATCACCCCTTTTATAAGGCCCACCGTAATGATCTCATCTTAACTACATCTGCAATGACCCTGTTTCCAAAGAAGGTCACATTCTGAGACACTGGGGGTTAGAACTTCAGCATAGAGTTCTTTGTGAGGACTGGCATAGCTCAACCCACAACCTCTACACTGGGAAGCGAGACCCTGGAGGTAACGCCCTTGGTGCATGGCCTGAGACTCTACTGTGATTCCTTACCCCTCACAGATTTTGTCACTTTTCTTTCTTTCTTTCTTTCTTTCTTATTTATTTATTTATTTATTTTGAGGTGGAGTCTTGCTCTGTCACCCAGGCTGGAGTGCAGTGGCGAGATCTCGGCTCACTGCAGCCTCCATTTCCTGGGTTCAAGCAATTCTCCTGCCTCAGCCTCCCAAGTAGCTGAGATTACAGGTGCCTGCCACCATGCCTGGCTAATTTTTGTATTTTTAGTAGAGATGAGGTTTTGTCATGTTTCCCAGGCTGGTCTCAAACTCCTGACCTCAGGTGATCCACCTGCCTCTGCCTCCCAAAGTGCTGGGATAACAGGCATGAACCGCCATGCCTGGCTAATTTTATCACCTTTCTAGACATAAGGGGAGGAGAACCGGGAAAAACCAGGTCCAACCCCCACTTCTGCTCCCTGACCCGCTGCTTCCTCTAGAAACCAGTCCCCACCTGAGGTTGCCCTTCATCAGACCTTGCTGGGACTCTGGTCCCTCTGGTGCCTACCTGCCCTGACCCCACCTGGGCCTTGGTACAACTGGCCCTGAATGCCTGCCCCATGAAGCTATATAGCCCAGGCTCCCCATTGGAATTCCCTGTTCTGGGAATTGACAGAGAGAAGAAAACCCCTGCTCTCGTCTGTCTCTGCTCATCCTTCTCAGTGGACAGGGCATCCCAGGGAGCAGGAGGCCTGCAGCTTGCCTGGGAGTTTCAAACTGGCAAACCAAGGGCCACATTTATATTCATATGTGTTGGTTCGGCCCACATCATTTGTTTTAAATGCAAGTCAAATTTTAAAATCTGGAGATTTTACATAAAAATATATTTTTCCAGCTTTTCATAGAAATCAGGGCCAGGCGCAGTGGCTTATGCCTGTAATCCTAGCACCTTAGGAAGCCAAGGTAGGAGGATCACCTGAGGCCAGGATTTCGAGGCTAGGAGGTTGAGACTAACCTGGGCCACATAGCGAGACCCCCTTTTCTACCAAAAAAAAAATAATAATAATAATAATAATTGAGCCCAGGAGTTCAAGGCTGCAGCAAGCCATGATCACACCACTCCACTCCAGCCTGGGCAACGAAGTGAGACCCTGTGTCAAAAGAAAAGAAAAAGAGAAAAGAAAAGAAATCTGAAGGTCTGACAACCCTTGGTCCCCATCCTCCTATGACTTGGACCTAAGTCAGAGCTGCCCTCTTGTAACAGGGTGTGGCCCCTCTATTTCACTGTAGTCTGCTTCATTCCCTGCAGCCTCCTTGATACGAAGATGCAGTGACAGGCCAGGCACTGTGGCTCATGCCTGTAATCCCAAGGAGGCCGAGGCGGGCAGATTGCCTGAGTTCACGAGTTCAAAACCAGCCTGGGCAACACGGTGAAACCCCGTCTCTGCTAAAAATACAAAAAATTAGCCAGGCATGTTGGTGCATGCCTGTAGTCCCAACTACTCAGGAGGCTGAGGCAGGAGAATTGCTTGAACTCAGGACACAGAGGCTGCAGTGAGACAAGATGGTGCCACTGCATTCTAGCCAGGGCTACAGAGCAAGACTCTGTCTCAAAAAAAAAAAAAAAAAAAAAAAATCCATTGACAGTGACTCGATACCATCCTTGTGGCTTGGACTGACCAGAGAGGAAATAACGCCTGGTGATGAGCCAGGAATTGGCGTTGTGCTGGGAGCAGTGAGGGTTGGTACTTCTGTCTCAAAGGCTTCTCTCCTGTGTGGCCTTGGACTGTGGCTGGAAGGCTCTAAGGAGGTTGAAGTGCCCTCCCTACCCTCCATTGCCCGGCACGTCCAGTGGCTCTTGGCTGGGAATGAGCAGTGCCTGCTGACCCCGTCTCCTTGGCAGAGCACCTTGGCCATTGCTTGTGCCCATCCTTTTCTCTCCAAGTAGACGTGGGCTATGGAAGGCTCTTTTCCTGCCTGCCCTCCCCACGCATCGGTGGCCTCTCCAGGCCTGGGGCAGGGGGTTGGGGAGGGCTCTCAGAGTCGACCCAGGCCACCCACCTGCTCGCTAATGGATCACTCAGCAAGTATTGGCAGGGCCAAGCCTGTGCTGGGGACTAGGGAGTGAGCAGTTAGCAAGATTGAGTGGGGTCTCTAGTGCACGGTGCTTATGGGCTAGCTTGGAATACAATCAACAGGTAAATGCGGTATCAGGAGAGCCAGGTGCCCCCTTGCCACTCAACAGCCCTGGAGCTGAACACAAGAGTGTCAAGCTGTCTCTTCTGCCTACCTTCCCAAGGCAGAGAGGCCTGGAGGGACTGGGATGAGGGCTTCTGTCCTCAGCACCAGACTGTTGCCCTGGGACAGTCTCGTTCGCCTCAGGGTACAAGAAAGCAATCACCTGACACAGATGGGTTGGACACCCCCTGTCAAGCCACACTCATCAACACTTGTGCTGATCACTCCTGTGAAAGCCAGTGTGGGTCTAACTACAAAATTGTTCACTTCCCTTACCAAATACTGAAACCTACCCAGTTCAAAGGCATCACCAGCCAGGCGTGGTGGTTCACACCTGTAATCCCAGAACTCTCGGAGACTAAGGTGAGCAGATTGCTTGAGCTTAGGAGTTTGAGACCAGCCTGGGCAACATAGCAAGACCCCGTCTCTATAAAAAATAAAAAATTTGGTGGACATGGTGGTGCACACCTATAGTCCCAGCTATTTGGGAGGCTGAGGTGGGAGGATCACTTGAACGTGGGAGTTCAAGAGCAGCCTGAGCAATAGATCAAGACCCCATCTCTACAAAAAAATTAAAAATTAGCTGGGCATGATGGTGAACACCCATCATCCCAGCTACTTGGGAGGCTGAGGTGTGAGGATTGCTTGAGCCCAGGAGGTTGAGGCTGCAGTGAGCCAAGATCATGCCACTGCCCTCCAGCCTGGGTAACAGACTGAGACCTTGTTTCAAAAAAAAAAAAAAAAAAAGGCATCATCTGGAATAATTTCCAAATACTGGAAAAAAGAAAGCACACATATCTTCATTTGAGGCACTTTTTGGTTTTTAAAGTGTTTAAAAACCACCCTTTGGCTTGCTTCCAGGACCAGGAGAACCTTTTAAATAATGAATGTGAAAGTTTCCAAGAAACTTTCTAAAAGCCTTTTAAAGCTGGGGTTGTACCCTAGTTCCCAGGAATGACCTCTACACACTCCTGATTCATGGATGGTGTTCGCCTGTGGAATTCAAGGGTGAGCTGGCTCAACTATAAAATAAACACCGGGGCGGGAGTCTGGAAAACGTGGCCCAGATCAACGTGTGTGGCATGCGTGCGGCACAGCTGCTCCTGGCAGGACCCAGTTCCTGGAGTCCTGGCGTGCCCCAGGTGGGAATGGGAGACCTTCTTCAGAAGGGTCTTTGTCTTAGCTGTGTGTAGGGAGGGTTTTTAGACCTAGAATCTCACAACTAGACTTGAGAAAATCGATTAATGAACAATGCACCGGAGGACGTGTCCCTGTACCTAGGAGTATTCCTGCTACTGACACCGCGTGACGCTGGCTCTGGTTTTCCTTGGAGTCTCCTCCCATGTTGGAGGTGTGTCCCATCTTGTGATAAGAACCTGGGCTTCTGCCAAGGAGGGGTGTGGTCCCAATGAAGCCACCCAGGAAAGCACCTTGCTTAGTCAGTCTGGGGCTTATTTGCCAGAAGCATATCAGTCCTGACATTGCTCCCTGGGGTGGCCCTAGGACCCGAGAGCAGAAGCAGGAAGGAGGATAGAAAGAGGCCATGCCGACCCCCTTCCCCTTTGTCCCTCTTTTCCTCAGCCTCCATAGAGAGGGTGCCCCCTCTTCCAGCCCTTGACTGGTGCTGGTCCATGATTCAGAGGAATTCTGGAGAGAGAATCCCTGGCCCCTCTGTGCGGGGGATGGAGCCGCTCGAGGCATGACCCACTGCCCTTCCCCCTGTCTCCCAGGAGCAGGACAGAAATCCACAGAGCAGGGACTCCTCCGGTTTCTTCATGTCACTCAGGATACTTCCAGTTGAATGAAGCTTTCAATGTGCTGTTTCTATTTAGCCAGCATCTCTCTAAGAAACAGGATTTTTGTAATTTTTGAAGTAGAACCTTAGAACCAGGACATGGTGAACATTTGATTTACTTCCTGTTACAGATAGATCATCGAGCCCCACATCAACCAGCTTGAGCCAAAAGAACAATTATGTGTAGTTAATGCTCATAAAAACAGAATGTTGTTGTAATTGTTCTGCATTCATAAATACTGTAAAATAGAGGTCGGGCATGGTGCCTCACACCAGTAATCGTAGCACTTTGGGAGGCAGAGGCAGGAGGATCACTTGAGCACAGGAGTTCAAGACCAGACTGGACAACATAGTGAGAGACCCTATATCTATAAAAAGAAAATAATTAAAAAATAATAAAATAGAACCTTTTTTGGTAAATGTCAGTATAAAGTTGCCAACTGCCTTCCTTGGAAAGAACTGCCTTTTATCCTGAAAACACATACTTCCTATATATTTGGTATTGAAATTTCCTCTTGTTTATGAAATGTTGCTGATAGTAAATTAAAAAAAAAATTTTTTTTTGAGACAAGGTCTTACTCTGTGGCCCAGGCTGGAGTGCTGTGGCACAATCATAGCTCACTCATAGCCTCAACCTCCTGGGCTCAAATGATCCTCCTCCCTCAGCCTCCTGAGTAGCTAGGACTGCAAGCGCACACTACCACCACACCTGGCTTTTTTATTTTTTCTTTGATAGAGACAGGGTCTTGCTTTGTTGCCCAGGCTGGTCTCGAACTCCTGGCCTTAAGCAATCCTCCCACCTCAGCCTCCCAAAGTGCTGGGATTGCAGGCATCGGCTACCGTGCCTGCCTTTGAAATATTTTTATTTGGCAAAATAAAACGCTGGCAATCTCATACCAGTCTTATATACTTTTCATTCTGCTCGTGCCTGTCCTATGTACTCGGCCGAAGGGCACTGAGAATCTATGATCTAGGTTGTTGGAGTTTTGATCCTTTTATCTGGGCACTGTCCTATCCAGCCCAGAGTGCAAGATGCATGTTTTGTGTCCTGGCCCACCCCCTCAGGCAGACAGCCGTATTTCCCCACCACGTGGCAGGGTGGGCAGATGCACCCACTCCATTTGTTTCACATCCCCAAGGAGTGTGAGTCCTGCAGAGCTTCAGGGCTTCGCCCCCACAGCCAGGCCCACCACATGGCAGGAGTCTTGGAAGACGTTGGCTGCTTGCAGAGACCCAGCATTGAAACACGACCCACTGGGGAAATGTGGGTGGAGCATCTGGTATTTGCAAGACCCGTGCTAGGCGTGGGTCTGGAAACAGGAAACAGAAATCCACAAGGTCCCTGCCTGTTGGAACCTATCACACCACTGGAGTATTTTGAGGTTAAACAGAATTGGAACAGGATTATTGAGCTGCTGTCACGGGAAGAGGGAGGACATTTATATTGGATATTTAAGGCATTTCCATGTATGATGTGCTATAAAATCTACTCTTCTTTGTACTCAAGACAGCATGATACACACACACACACATACACACACACACATACACACATACACACACATACACACACACACACACACACACACACACATATATATATATATATATATATATATATATATATATTTAATCAGGTGTTGGCCCAGCACGGTGGCTCACACCTGTAATCCGAGCACTTTGGGAGGCTGAGGTGGGCAGATCACCTGAGGTCAGGAGTTCAAGACCAGTCTGGGCAACATGGCCAAACCCCATCTCTACTGAAAATACAAAAATTAGCTGGGTGTGGTCATGTGCACCTGTAGTCCCAGCTACTTGGGAGGCTGAGGTGGGAGGATGGCCTAGGCCCAGAAGACAGAGGTGGCATGGGCTGTTGCACCCCAGCCTGGGTGACAGAGCAAGAGTCTGTCTCAAAATAATAAACAAAAAAATTCAGATATTAGCTTGATGATACAGACTAAATATGCTGAGACACACAGACTAAGAAAGGACCACAAAAGCCGACTTTTACTTGGGTTACGTGTGGGTTTTCCCATAAAATGCCAAAATAGTCACTGTCACCATCAGGTTCTCTTGGGTCCGTTTGGAAACAAAAATGTACAAGTCATGACAGTAGCCTCTTGGCCGCCGGCCAATGCCCAGCTTCCAGCTCCCTGCCATGGCCACCAGCACCATGGCTTCCTTCAGTCACAAGGACACAGAGAAGGCAAGCGCTCTCTCTGCCCCTCCTTCGGGGCAGCATGGGTTTCACTTACGTGCCAGCCTGCTGTCTCTGGCCTCACCCTCCGTGACGTCAGAGCTGGCTGGGGCTGTGTGCTTTTCCCAGCACATCCCGTTTCCCTCTGACTTTACCTCTTTGTGAGTTCGATTTAACCTTGAGCCCACTTGGGCACTGCTCTGCCAATCCCACCCCACGTGTGGCTGCTGACTGGCACTCGGGTGTTGCTGCAGGGACAGCCTCCCTCGCTCCCTGCTGCCTTTCTTTCTTGTGGGTATGTGGCCCTAGAAGCCACAGCCTGTGACTCATCAGTGTGGCCCTGTGAGCCCCACCAGGTGCCCTGGGCGCTACCCTGGGACTCCCTTTGCCTGGCACCTGCCAGGGACCTGAAGGAGAACCGGCAGGGACCCCTTTCCCGGAGGGCTCCCACTAAGCAAGCTTCTTTCCCTGCAGTCTCTCCACTGGCTCACTTCCTCTCCCAGATCTTTCTGCCTCTTTTATTTATGCAGAAATTTTATTATTATTATTATTATTATTATTATTATTATTATTATTATTATTATTTTGAGATGGAGTCTTGCTCTGTCGTCCAGGCTGGAGTGCCAGGCTGGATCTCGGCTCACTGCAACCTCTACCTCCCGGGTTCAAGCGATTCTTCTGCCTCAGCCTCCTGAGTAGCTGGGATTACAGGGGCGCACCACCACGCCTGGTAAACTTTTTTTGTATTTTTAGTAGAGACAGGTTTTCACCATGTTGGCCAGGCTGGTCTCAAACTCCTGACCTCGGGCGATCCACCCATCTTGACCTCCCAAAGTGCTGGGATTACAGGTGTGAGCCACTGCGCCCGGCTGGAAATTATTTTTTTAAGGGAAATGTAAAATACAGAGAATAACAATGCTCACATCAGGGTCTCTCTGTTTTCCAAAGTACCCAGCGTCCTTGATCTCCACCACCCTGCCCCACCCACGGGGCTCTCACCACTCCTGGCTGCCTCTTCTCGGGGCAGCTCGGGGCTCTGCCCTCTTCCCTCACCCACTGTGTATAATCCTCTTGTATCTTCTCCTTCCAGGGCTCCATGGAGAACGAGCCTGTAGCCCTTGAGGAAACTCAGAAGACAGATCCTGCTATGGAACCACGGTTCAAAGTGGTGGATTGGGACAAGGTACCTGGCATAGGATGGAGTGGGGTGATGACTGGGGGCTGGCGGGAATGAGGAGAGGAAGAGGGTGTGTGGAGCCAAAGCTGGGAGTGGGCATGACGTGTGCCCAGGGGAGAAGGGGAAGGAGAAGCAGGTGTCCACAGCCCAGAGGCATGACCTGGGACAGCAAACTCCGGCAGGGGTGTGGGGGTGCCTCACTGGTGGAAAGTTCAGAAAAATAGCAGACAAGTTCTGAGCATGGAACCAGATCCCAGACACCCCTGGAGAAGAAGAATTCTCCCGCCAGGACCCCTGAAGCTGAGAAGGGGCTGTGACAGGCTTGGCAGGCCCAGACATGCCCATTTTGACCAGGGCACAAGGTAGAGCTGCCCCTGGCACCTGCAGCCATGTGGAAGCGACATTGGCCAGTGCAGGGCACAGGAGACTGCTGAGTCCAGCAGGAGACAGCGCTGAAGCCATCCTCCGTGTTTGGGAGGAGTCAGAGATGCCTGCAGTCTTAGGATAAGCCTCTTTTGGCATCAAGAGGCCAGTGCCTTGCTATGGCTGAGCAGACCCCATAGACTGGTGAGATGAGCCCTGGAGGAGCTGAGCGGTCACGGTGGAAAAGGAGTCACTCAGCGGCAGGGGAGAAGCAGCTTTGCCTGGAGGGGTCACTGGAGGGGGTCACTGGAGGGGGTCACTGGAGGGAGCTGGGCTTGGTGCCATTTCCTTCCAGCTTAGGAACAGACACAAATGTGCATGTCCATAAACCCCTACCCTGCATGCCCTCTGCCTAGTTTGGGCCTCAAAGACACAGAAACAAATGGGACAGGCCCCTCCCTGCGAGAGCTCACAGCCTGGTGCAGGGGACAGTAACCCCTCCCCACCACCGCCATAAAGAGTTATTACCCCAGGAGGTGGCATGGGATGCTCGCCCAAGGAACACAGGTGAGCAGAGTGGGGTGGGGACCCCACAAAGCTGACTGTCTGCTGGGCCCCCTTGGCCCTGACACTGGGAACACAGAGATCCCACCTGTCGCATGAGATCACAGCCGCCTCTGGGAGAACCCATCCGCCCACAGCACAGACGCCTCAGGATCCAACCAGAGAGGCCGAAGGAAGTTGTGCTGTGCCATGTCCCCTCCTGAGAGGTGCAGAACCCAGGGCAAGATGGAGGCCAGCCAGAGGAAAGGCTGCCCGGCCATGCAGCCGGCGAGCTGGGACCTGGTTTCCGAACCTCAACCCCCAGCTTGGGCCCTGGGCACTGGCAGGGTCAGGACCTCAGTCTGGAACAGGGGGAGATCGGAGGGGAATGGGGAGAGTTTGGGGACTGATGAGGGGACCAAAGGGTGAGCTACAGTGTGTCCTGGCTCAGGGTCCTGTCCTGAGTGGCCAGTGGATGGTACTGGAAGGAGCTGCAGAGAGAGGCATCTGTGAGCTTGGCTTAGGGCTTGAATTCTGAAAAGAGCTGACCGGGACTGAACAAATGTGGCAGCCATCAGGGTGATGTGACATGAACAAAACTGTCCTGGAGGGAGGAGCTGGGGTCTGAGGCTGGCTGGGGACGGGAGATCCAGCCCACATTGCCAGCTCTGTGGTCAGCTCCTCCCAGTCTCCCCGAGCTGTGGTTCAGGGCTGACCCCGGCCCCATCACTGCAGGAGGCAAGGGGAGGATTAACCCAGGCTGTGCCACCGTCACCTATGCTGTCACCACGACCACACCCAAGGGGACGAGGGGCCCCTCCTCCCCCATGGACTGCTCCCTGCCTGGCTCCGGGCCAGCTGTCCAAGCAGCCTGACTCACCTTCCCCACCTCTCTCTCATTCTCTCTCTACACACTCACTCTTCCTCCCCTTCCTCCTGTGTCTCTGGGCTGAGACGGAAGGGCGAGGGCTGGGCCCTGGGAGGATGTGGAGGCCTACTCTGGACGGAGCCCCCACCTGCCCGGGTGTGCATGGGAACCCCTTCAGCGCCCCAGAAAATCAGCACAGGGAGCAGGGCTTCCCAGGAGGGCAGAGGGTGCTTTTCTGCTTTTTTCTTTTCTTTTCACTTTTGACTTTCCAAAAAAGGGTGCTGCTGCTGCCTCGTTCACCTCACGGGCAATCCCAGCTCCGTTAGTGGGAACAGAGAGGCTGGGGGAGCCCGCGGTGCTCCAACCTGAGCCCTCTCTCTGTTGCTGACCCAGGCAGCGGGGGCTGGGGTAGGTCTTTTGGATCGGGACATGGAGGAGCTGGGAAAGAGGCCATGAAGGTGGCAGCTTTGTCTCAGCCGAGGGTCCCCAGGCCTGGGGTGGGTTTGCACACCTGCCCCTGGGGCAGAAGGGCTTGCTGGTGTTAACTCTTCTGGCTTTACCTCCAAGCTCAGTACTGTGATTGCTGCCAAAGACTGGAGTCCTGGCCTCCCGGGGCCCAGTTTCCCTGGCCCTAGAAGGTGGGGACAGAGTGGGAAGGTGTGTGTGAGAAGGGGTGAGTGAGAATGCTGGGAAGAGTGAGAGGACAACAGGCCAGGGGAGCCAGGGCAGAGTTAGAAGGATCTGAAAAGACAGGAAGAAGGGCCAGGAAGCAAACCCTGGTGCCCCGCTCTGCTCAGAGGTGAGGGATGGTCTTACTTTTGGGCTCTGTGTGGAATTTTACCAGAACAGTTTCTAAATCATCCCTTCAGTCACCCAGCCAGGCAGGGTCCAGGCTTCCTTATGGGACAAGAAGCCAGGTTGTGGATTCTCACCCTCCACATCCCTCCCTGTTTCTAGAACACAGCCAGGTGAGGTGGCCAGAGCTGCCCACCACTCTCAGCTCCTGGACACACGTGTCCCCCTGGTCCAGCAGCCTCTTTTTGCCACTTCGCCATGTCCTTTTCGGAGCCCTCCCTTGGGAGCCCTCTCCACCCTTTCCACCCGGGGGACCAGCCTCCCTTTGGGGAGGGGGCAAGAACAGGTGTGATTTGAGGGGTTTGCAGAAGTTCGCTGCCCAGATGCTCAGCAGCGGAGTTAGCCCTGAATTCACATCTCTTGTACTGAGCCCTCACTGTGTGCCAGCCGCTTTCAATGTATTATTGGTTATCTGCTTTAATCCTGCTGACAGCACGAGGGATAAGGATTATAATTATCCTGATTTAACTGATAAGGAAGAGCTTAAATCTCCCGCCCAAAGTCACCTCTGGGCACACTAGCAGCCCAGATAGCGGCCCCTCCCCTCCACAAGGTCCTGGAACCTTCCCACCCCAACAGCTGACCATGAATAAGACCCTGAGGCCGGTGAGTAGGAGAGGGAGTGGCAGAGGGAGGGAGGAGGCTGAGCAGATACCAGCAGTGTCTCCCAAGCCAGCCACATCCTCTTCCCCATCCTTCCTCAGGCTAAGCCAGATGCTGGCATAACCAGCTGCTGGGGCTGGCCAATGGGTGTGATCAGCCTCTTCCCTCAAGGGACAGATAGACGCATCCAGCAGGCATCCCCAAACTCCCTGTCCCTGCCCCCTGCCTGACATAACACAGACCACCAGGGTCCCCAGGGCCTGGAAAGGCTATTGAAGTTGGCCATAGTGTTTTGCCCATTTAGGACCCCCAGATCAGTCACTGAGAACTCAGGAAGATAGCATCCAGATCAGAGAAAGGGCCCTTTTGGCCAACACACTCTCGGGGGGACCAGCCTTGGCACTGTGGGCACTGGCCTGGCTCTCCTCTAGGCACCCTGCCTGCCTAGTCGCCTTGGGTCCCCTTGGGCCTCCTTTCTCTCTATAATCCCTCCCAGCCAGAGTAGGGGTCTGGAGGGCCCAACATCCAAAGGGCCTCCCCAAGGCTGTCCATACTGGGCTTAGAGTCCCTGAGTCTCCTCTCTGCCTGCCTCCTTGCTCAGAGCTCCTGGCCCCTCTTCAGAGGAGCTCAGCGGTGCTCAAAAAATACCCCAAGGCAGAAAGCAGGCAGGTGGGCTGGGCACTGCCCTCTGCTTCCGTGGGTCTTAGAGGACACCCTGGGAGGGCAGTGGACAGGGCAGGCTGGGAGGCAAGAGATGCCACAGTGTTCCAGTATGATGCAGAAAGCTATTCCCTCTATCTTTTTTATTTTTTTAGAGACAGGTTCTCACTCTGTTACCCAGGCTGGAGTACAGTGGCAAGATTGCAGCTCACTGCAGCCTCAACCTCCCAGGCTTGAGCCATCCTCCCACCTCAGCTTCCTAATTAGCTGGGACTACAGGTGCATACCACCATGCCTGGCTAATTTTCTTAAATTTTTTTGTAGAGATAGGGTCTTGCTATGTTGTCCAGGCTGGTCTCAAACTCCCAGCCTCAGTGATCCTCCCACCTTGGCCTCCCAAGGTGCTGGGATTGCAACCCTGCATCTTATTATTGCGTAGGATTATCTGGAGGATCTAGTGGAATGTACTAAAGGATATCAGAAAGTGTGCTGCAAGGGAAAGACCACCCTACCTGGTTTTGGGGTGGGGCCCCTGGGCAGGCTCCCTTCGCTCGTCTTCAGCCCTAAGGGCAGAGGTCATGCCTGCTTTCTGCCAGCGCTCAAGCTGTCTTTCATCTCTCCCTGTGTCTCTGGCATTTTTGCTCCCTATCCACTCTCCGCTGCCTGAATCCTCGTGGGGTGAGCCTGAGGCCACCTCCCTGTCCTCACATCCCCTGGGTGACGGGAGGGTCATAGGGCTCAGGGGGAGGAGGCAGGTGATCCGGAACCACCTCTGTGGACTTCAGCTTGTCCCAGTTAGACCGCGCAGGACGGGCCTGCAGCCACTCCGGCAACGCCACCAAGAGCCCCACCTCACTGCCCCCACTGACCGCTGCTGGCTGTGAGGAATCACAGCCGTTGTGCTGAGGAAGTCACAGCCATGGGATCCCAATCTGGCTGACAGGAGGCCTCCTGGCCGAGCCTGGGCTGTGAGTGGGGCACTCGAGTCCAGGCCCTGCCACAGCATATGCAGCCGAACATCTGACCCTGTCTTCTCATCTGTCAAAAGAGGTCATCATCGGCCCCAACTCCCAGAATTAAGGCTCATGAAGGATAGGGGATGTGAGGCCTGAGCCCCAGCTGACCAGCGACCAGGTTGCAGACAACCGGCCCCCACTCCTCTCCCGCAGCCCCGGCTGCCTGGAAGCCTGTCTCCACCTCTGCTCAGAAAGCTGCCCTGGGGCAATATGCCTGAGTTTGGGTGGACATTTCTTTAAACAATTGCCTTAGCTCATCGCTGTGGGGGTGAGCAGTGCTGCTGACACTGAGCAGCTACCCTGCCCCCGCCGCCTGCCCCCGCTCACCACATTTGCCACCTTAGGGAGAAGCAGATTCTGGGCACACCCTTCCCCAGGAAAGCGTCCTATGCCACCTGGCCCTGTGCTGCCCAGGAGGAGGGGTCCTGGGGAGGGGGAGGAGGAAAACAGGGAAGGCCCCCTTCTACCGGGGCACCATGCCCTTCCGCCCACCCTCTGGGCAGCAGGCTGCCCTTTCCCCCTGCCGTGCTGCTGTGGGCCACATTCCTGGCATAGCCTGGGAGAAGCCCTCCCCTTCTCTCTAAGGCAGGGACCGAGCAGGCTGGGGGAGGGGCATGGACCCCACACAGTCGGCACAAGGTGCTTTGGCCGAATCCACTCCCCCTTGCATCTGCTTCCTGGGCCCCGGCCCGTTGGTCGGGTCTTTGAATCACCAAAAAATCCCTCCACCCCAATGAGCTGCTCATTCCAGAGCAGTTTCGGGCATAACCGTGCTGTCGCCCATGCAGGCCAGCTTCCTCTGGACGGCCCTGAGTGCTGGACATGCCTCTCTAGCGTCGGGTTCCACTGCTGTAAAAGGGGACTTGTTACTGTAGGGGGAGCCGTGGGAGCCCCCAGATGCCTGGGAAGTGGAGGCATCATCAGTGTGGCCTGATCTCCCCTTCTCCCCCACCCGAGCCACGTACATAGCCCACAGACCCATGCCTTCCCTCTGTCCCCCGAGCCTTGGGACATAAGAAGTAAATGGGGCCCGGACCAGGAACGAGCTGGAAGGAAGAGACCCACTAATGTGGTGGGAGTAGGAGAGGGGTCTTCGGTCAGGTAGAAGAGGGTGGGTGGAAGGGCGTGGTGCCCAGGTAGAAGGGGGCCTTCCCTGCTTTCCTCCTCTGCCTCCCCAGGACCCCTCCTCCCAGGCAATACAGGGCCAGGTGGCATAGGACGCTTTCCTGGGGAAGGGTGTGTCCAGAATCTGCTCCCCAAGGTGGCAAATGTGGTGAGCGGGGGCAGGCGGGGGACGGGGCAGCTGCTCAGTGTCAGCAGCGCTGCCCACCCCCATGGCAATGAGCTAAGGCAATTGTTTGGTCAGGTAGAGCAGGAAGCGAAATGTGTCTTGCATCGCTTCCCATCTCATTGGATCCCAAGCCGTCATCGTCTGCTGTCCTCCCATCTCAAAACCCGGTCCCGCCAACTGCCATGTTGGAAACGACCAGCAAGTGAGAGGCCTGGAACCTCTCAGCACCCAGCTGAGCCTTTCTCCTTCAGTGCTCACGACTGGAAGATGATTAAGAAAGGACACCCTATCAGTGCATGTACCACCTAAATCAAGGTCAAGTGCACAGGGTGCCAGTCCCAGCTCTTGGGAAACTGTGTGGAGGCTGCTACAAGCTGGGGGAAGGGGGAGGGAGGCTTCCACTTCAGGCCCAACCAATCCTATCTCAAGAGCCGCTTGACCTCTCAGGCCTCAATATCCTCATCTATAAATTGGGTCGGGGGTCGGCGGGCCTGAATTTCTGTGCTTATCTGGAAGGCTCACGGGGCTTCCCCTGGAATAGCGAGACTGAGGCCCCAGTCATAGAACTATAGGTGTTGGCCTTTGATGACTGAGGCGGGTGTTCACAGAAGGGAGAGCGAGGCCTCCCTGGGATTCCTCCAGGGTGGTCCTTCAGCCCCAGAGTGAAGTGGGCACCTTCCCTGGGCACCCAGGTGGGCTTCCTCGTGGAGACACAGCGTAGGCTAGATACAGAGCTCGGGTGTGAGGCCCTCCACGGCCCCAGACAGGCAAGAGGCAGCTTGGGACTGACTCTCAAGCACAAGTCCACCATGTGTACAGGTGGCAGTGCTTGCGGGTCTACCCAGGGAGTAACTGAAATCAGGTCAATCCAATGACATCAAATGACAGACCCCTGTGCTGGGGCTCTGTTCCCACCACACCTGTAAACACATCTTCCACGGTCTAGCTCCGGTTTCCACGACAGTTCTGTGCTTTTGTTCTGTTTCCTGTACATCCAGGTGTGAGATCTAGGCTGAAGTCCCTGCTTATAGCTTACCTAGACATTTCTTCTTGTGGTTCAACTGAATTCAACGTATGAATCCTATGCCATTTTCAGCTGGGGACAGTGGTTCACACCTGTAATCCCAGCACTTTGGGAGGCCGAGGCAAGATCACCTGAAGCCAGGAGTTCAAGACCAGTCTGGTCAACATGGTGAAACCCCATCTCTACTAATAATACAAAAAAATTAGCCAGGCATGGTGGTGCATGCCTGTAGTCCCAGCTACTCAGGAGGCTGAGGCAGGAGAATCACTTCAACCGGAGAAGTGGAGGTTGCAGTGAGCCGAGATCACACCACTGCACTCCAGCCTGGGTGACAGAGTGAGACTCAATCTTAAAAAAAAAAGAAAAAGAAAAAGAAAAAGAATCCTATGCCATTTTCTACTTGCTTCACAAAATAAAGACAAAATAGATCAATAGATTAAAATTTGCCCAAACCACTGCTAGGCTGAGAGAGGGGCCCCCTGGCCACATCCCTGTGCTATAGCTGGAAAAGATCATAGTTCAAGATCGCTCAGTCTGTGTAAAGTGCACAAGTGAATCACAGGATAGCAGTATCTGTCATGTGTAACATGCAAAAGTGGGACATAGAAAAACCAGGGGCGCTGGCCAGGCACAGTGGCTCATGCTCATAAGCCCAGCACTTTGGGAGGCTGAGGCGGGAGGATCACTTGAGCCCAGGAGCTCGAGACCAGCCTACACAACATAGTGATACTTCGTCTCTAAAAACAAACAAACAAACAAAAAACAATTAGCTGGGCATGGTGGCGTGAGCCTATAGTCCCAGCTACTCGGGAAGCTGAGGTGGGAGAATTGCTTGAGCTTAGGAGGTTGGTGCTGCAGTGAGCCACAGCCATGCCACCGCACTCTCACTTGGGCAACAGAGCAAGTCCCTGTCTCAAAAAGAAAAAGAAAGGACCAGGGGATTCATTTGAGAGAGATGGTCGTAAGCTACAGATGTGTATTATTATCTTTACAGCAACAACTGCAAGGAAAATACCAAAAGCATAGCTAAAAAGTCAATAGAGGAGATAGTATGGAATATTGTTAAATATTTCATACAAACAAGACAAAGGAAGAACAGAGGAGACAAATAGAAAATAGCAGCCATGTGTGGTGGCGCCCACCTGTAGTCCTAGCTACTCAGAAGGCTGAGGCGGGAGGATTATTTGATCTTCAGAGGTCAAGGCTGTAGCGAGCCAAGATTGGGCCACTGCACTCCCACTTGGGTGACAGAGCAAGCCCTGTCTCAAAAAAAGAAGGAAAGAATGAGAAAAGAAAACCAGAGGAGACCTACTCCAACATTAAATGTAAATAGATTTAATGCTTCAATTGAAAGGCAGAGATGGCCGGGTGTGGTGGCTCATGCCTGTAATCCCAGCACTTTGGGAGGTGGAAGCGGGTAGAATCACCTGAGGTCAGGAGTTCAAGACCATCATGGCCAACATGGTGAAATCCCATCTCTACTAAAAATACAAAAAAAAAAAAAAAAGCCAGACGTGGTGGTGGGCGCCTATAATCCCAGCTACTCAGGAGGCTGAGGCAGCGAGAATCGCTTGAACCCAGGAGACGGAGGTTACGATGAGCCGAGATGGCAAAAAGAGTGAAACTCCTTCTCAAAAAAAAAAAAAAAATGGCAGAGATTGTCTGACTAGATTAAAAAGGAAGACCCAACTATATTCTGTCTGCAAGAGATGCACCTTAAATGTAAAGACATACACAGGTTGAAAGTAAAAGTATGGGAAAACAGGGATCCTGCGCACAGCAAGCTTCAGGAAACCAGTGTGATTCTATTAATACCCAAGCGGACTTCGGGAGAAGGAGTATTTCCAGGGCCCAAGATGGCTCTTTCCCAGTGGTAAAGGGGCCAACTCATCAAGGAGACATAACTGGGCGACCTTGGGCAGATTACTCAGCCTCGGTTTCCCCAACTGCAAAATGACAATAGTTAGAATACACGCCTAGTTAGGGGTATGGCGAGGATCAAGTGACTGAACCTGTGTCAGGTGTTTAGAACCATGCTTGACACATAACCAGGGCTCCATGGGGATTAGCTCTGAGTGCTACTGTAGCTGGGACAAAGCCTTACATTCTCGCCTTGACCCTGGCCCAACTTCTTCTAAGGTGGGGCTCTGCAGACTGCCGCAAGATAAGGTGTAAACACAGGCCACCAGCTGGTTCCTCCAGTTCTTTTTCCTGATGGTGGTGGTAGCGGTTGTGGTGGTGCAGGGTGTGTGTGTGTGTGTGTTTACAGACCTAGGGCAGAGGACTGGAGGGAATGAGACAGCACACTTCCAATGACTCCACTTGCTGCTAGACTCAAGGGCTGAGGTCAAGGAGACTGGGGTAAGGAAGGGAGCAGCGACTAGGTGGAGTTTGGATGATTGCTTGATTTAGTTAGTGCCAGGGCGGGATAGCTCCAGGCTGACTTGGATCATCTTCCAGCCTGAGAAGCAGGAAGTGAACCCCCCAACCCCCACCCCTGCCACAGGAAGGCAGCCAGTACCTGGGACCTGCCAAGTTCACATGGCAGAAGCCACAGCTTCCTTTGGGCCCTTCACCCTGGTCACAGGCACAGAGAGAAACCCAGTGGCCTTGCCTGCTTGCTCCCAGGACCCCCACCCCCCTGCTCCCAGGCTGTGATGGGCGAGACCAGCTCCACCTCCAGAGCAGCTGGGGGGCATGTAAGGGCTAGTTCCTGGAAGACCCGCTGTGGCTGCAGGCTTTGGTGGAGAGGCCTGTACAAGGATGAGATTGCAGCCAGGGCCAGGGGAAGGAGGTTTCTGGAATCACTGATGGCTGTTTCGTCCAGGCTTGCAAGCTCTTCCACGTGCAGCCCTTGCTCCTCTCCCCTCCTCTCCCTGCCTGTGGTTCCCCTACTTCCCACCTGCAGTGGCTGCCTGACTCCCCGTGCTGAAGATTGGCTGAGCATCCACCGAGACACCCTCATCCTCACTCCGATTGTGTGTGGCAGATTGGGGCCCACCAGCATCACAGATGAGGGCACTGAGGGGCTCCGGGAGGAAAAGATGCACGTCCAGGATCTCACAGCTGGTCAAAGGCACAGCCAGGCTCTAATGGTGTTCCCCTGACTCCAGGTTCATTGTTCTTTCCTGGATTCGGTCCAGATTAACCCAGCACTGGCTTGTCAGAAATCCTCAAGGGCTTCTAGTTGCCTGGAGCTGAAACCTGCAAACTTTTCTGAGCTTGCATCCCTATGAGTGAAACTTTCTGCACACACTCTCCATTATGTGTCCATTTAAATTATTTCTAAAGTATTTGCATGTGTTAATGTACTCTCACAGTCTGTGCATTAGAAAACATTCAAATGCCGTGTAAAGGTGAGATAAAGCCTGCGTAGTGGCACGCTCCTGTAGTCTGAGCTACCCAAGAGGCTGAGGCAGGAGGATCGCTTGAGCCCAGGAGTTCAAGTCCAGCCTGAGCAACACAGCAAGACCCACCTCTTAATAAAACAAATAAGAGGCCGGGTGTGGTGGCTTACGCCCATAATCCCAGCACTTTGGGAGGCCGAGGCGGGCAGATCACGAGGATCGGGAGATTGAGACTATCTTAGCCAACATGGTGAAACCCCTTGTCTACTAAAATACAAAAAATTAGCGGGCGAGGTGGCATGTGCCTGTAATCCCAGCTACTTGGGAGGCTGAGGCAGGGGAATCACTTGAACCCGGGAGGCGGAGGTTGCAGTGAGCTGAGATCGTGCCACTGCACTCCAGCCTGGTGACAGAGCAAGACTCTGTCTCAAAAAAAAAAAAAAAAAAAAAAAAATCAAGACCATCCTGGCCAACATGATGAAACCCCGTCTCTACTAAAAATACAAAAATCAGCTGGGCGTGGTGGTGCGTGCCTGTAGTCCCAGCTACTCAGGAGGCTGAGGCAGGAGAATCACTTGAACCCAGGAGGCGGAGGTTGCAGTGAGCTGAGATCATGCCACTGCACTCCAGCCTGGCGACAGAACGAGACTCTGTCTCAAAAAAAAAAAAAAAAAAAAAGAAAGAGATAAATATATTACAAACACAAATAAATAGAAATAATAGCAATAGAAATAGGGTCGTTAATATTTTCTCCCTGCCTCTGGGGATTAGCCTGTGAGTACCGATGGAGTACACGTACATCCTTGCCTTGGAGACAACAGGCCTGGAGAATAAGCAACTCCTGGATGTGGTACAGGGTGTTCTATCATCTAAGCCTTCAGCAGCTTTTTTCCTGCTGCCCACAGAGCACTGTTAAGGTGCCAGAAAGGCCACAACCATATTCAACTTTACATCTGTGCCCACACTCCCTGTCATCCTTTCCTCTCTCCCCCTTGTCAAATCCCCCATGTTGATGAACTCCAAACCAAAACCCAGATCCTCTGCAAAGCCCTCCTCGCCTACCGTGACCCGGGCATTTGTACCAGCCATTCTGCCTCTGGATCTCAGCCTGCTTTGTATCTCCACTAAACTATCCTGCTTGGCATGCCACATCTCATTGAGCACTTAATGCAGGTACCGTTATTATTTTTTTATTTTTGAAGAGACGGAGTCTCGAACTATTGCCCAGGCTGGTCTCAAACTACTGGCCTCAAGCAGTTATCCTGCCTCAGCCTCCCAAAATGCAGGGTTTACAGGCATGAGCTACTGCAACCAACAATTACTTCCATTTTATAGCTGGGGAAACTGAGGCTCAGAGAGGTTAAGTAATTTTCCAGAAATCACACAGTAAATGGCAAATGGATTTGTACCCAGGCCTGACTTCCGAGTCTAACTGTAAGCACTAAGCTACATGAAACAAGGTTGGCCTCTTTCATTCCTGTTGATTCTTCCCAGCACCTAGCATAGAAATAAATATATATATAAAAAATAAATTGCTGAATAAATGATTGAATGAATTAATTACCCAGGCCAACACCAAGAAGCCTGGGGAAAAGAGCCCACTTCATTCCTGATACAAAATGTATTACCTCCTGTACCTCAAGAGTCCTGAGCAAGACTTTAAACTTCAGATGTGGCTGAATCTGGATGCTCAGATATCATCACTGAGATTCTGTCTCTCTAGCTCTTGGTTTGGCCATCTTCTGTGCTGGTGGCATCTTCAGGCAGGCTCTGCTAGTAAATCCAGGCTCATGCCCTGCCGATTTAGCACCTCCAACAGAAAGAGGGATCATCTGATGGCTCATCACACCAGCTTAGGTCGCAAACCTTTACCGGATCCTATTGCTGTGGCTGGGGGCTGGGATGAGCAGCTTGGTCAGTTCTTGATCACTGAAGCAGGAGGGTGGGTGGCCCCACACAGATCACAGGAGCTGAGGTAGGAGCAGGGGATTGGGATGCTGTAACGAGGAAATGGGAGAACGAATATGGGAAGACGTGAATATCAAACGTCCACTTGGCTTCATCTCTTGCAGGACCTGGTGGACTGGCGAAAGCCTCTCCTGTGGCAGGTGGGCCACTTGGGAGAGAAGTACGATGAGTGGGTTCACCAGCCGGTGACCAGGCCCATCCGCCTCTTCCACTCAGACCTCATTGAGGGCCTCTCTAAGACTGTCTGGTGAGCTCTTCCCTGAGCCTGTGGCAGGCTGTCCCTCTCTTCTGACGGTGCCAATCAGATATGGAAAGGGAGGGGGCAATTGAGTCCCTCCCCAGAGCCCAGGTCTATGCTGTAAAGCTGTCAGGGAGGGAGGAACATGCCATGGGAATAATTCATCCCTATGCATGGTTTTGTCCACTGGGTGGGTCACAACCCAGCATGTAGCCAGAAACTACATTGAATGCCACCTCTGGTCTATTCCAGACTCTTATGAGGAGTTTCTTGCCCACGATGCGCATGGGAACAATTTTGCCTGCAATTAGCTCCTCTGCCACAAGAGGTCAGCATCTGACCAGTTGCATAGAGTCAGTAGCCCTGGGGACACAGTTCTTTTCTGCCAGTAACTCATCTCAGAGACAGGAGGCAGATGGACTCACAGCCTCTCTCCTCTTTTCTCTTCCCCACTCCCTGTACCAGTGTCCCTTTGACCCCAGGTCTCCATAGGCATTCTGCATATGCTTTGGTGTCATCTTGTCCCCAATCCAGTTGAGTTATGTGTCTCTAAGAAAGCTGGACCCTGCCGGGCATGGTGGCTCACGCCTGTAATCCCAACACTTTGGGAGGCCAAGGTGGGTGGATCACCTGAGGTCAGGAGTTCGAGACCAGCCTGACAACATGGTGAAACCCCATCTCTACTAAAAATACAAAATTAGCTGGGTGTGGTGGCACATGCCTGTAATCCCAGCTACTTGGGAGGCTGAGGCAGAAGAGTCACTTGAACCCCAGAGGCAGAGGTTGCAGTGAGCCGAAATCACGCCATTGCACTCCAGCCTGGGCAACAAGAGTGAAACTCCGTCTCAAAAAAAAAAAGAAAGCTGTACTCTGTCAAGCTCCTGTGCATGTATCTCTCTCACCCTGATGGCCTTCCTGCAGGTACAGTGTCCCCATCATCTGGGTGCCCCTGGTGCTGTATCTCAGCTGGTCCTACTACCGAACCTTTGCCCAGGGCAACGTCCGACTCTTCACGTCATTTACAACAGGTAATGCCAGTTTCTTTCCTGACTTGCCCTGAGGATCCTAGAGGGAGGAGACCTCAGTGCTTTCCCTGGCCCAGAGTTTCTGAGAGCACAGAACCCCAAACTACATCACAGACATTTTTGGTGAAGCCTCTCTGTAGAAATAGTCTTCCAAAGAAGAATTTTGTCTGACTCCCATCTACCCCCCAAATGGATACAAAACCCAACAACACATCAGCAGAAACTAAATGGAATCATCGGGTGGCATAGCAATAAAAAAAGAGAGAGAGAGAGATTGAGTGCCTCTCATTGAGTGTCACACCAAAAGACACATGATGTGGGATTCTTTGCTAAGAAACTAAATGAAATCACTTCATCGGGTGACACAGCTGAGAGCTAGACTCGGACTGGCCTATGAACCCAGCACAGATTAGCAGAGAACTTGGGAGAGAAAGATCTGGGAGTGTCCTAGAGTGTGTCCAAGGCAAAGGCTCAGGCAGCAGACCCCCAGACTGGGAGTAATGGCCCACTAACCTCTATGGGACACTTGCCATGTGCGGGGCCACGTGTTCTCCCAGGACCGCCTCATTTACCCCTCCCAGCAGCCCCATAAGAAGGGTCCTGTCATTATCCCCTTTTAGAGCTGAGGAAATGGAGCCTCAGAGATATCAAGGGAGTAGCTGAAAGGCGTGTGGCTAGGATGTGGATACCAGGTGCGCCCCAGCTTCTAGCTGGGGGGCAGAGGATGAAAAGACAGGCTGATATGGGGCAGTGTCTAAAGAGCCTATGAGACTGGGGTTTAGGATGACTGTGGGTTTAAGTATAGCCGCTGGGACAGCCAGCCCCACAAGCATCTTGCCTACCTTGGGCCTCCAGGTACATGCCACCTGCCCTGTGGTCTGTCTGTCCTGGCTCTGAGCTTCCTGAGCTGCCCTCACTCTGCCAGGGGAAGCTCTTTTCCCTGCACTCTGCAAGTCAAGTGCCTGAATGGTTGACATGAGAGGGGCCATGGTCACGGCATCAGGAACTTCATTTATCCACCTGACCCAGGATGAGTCTGGTGAGCGAGCTGCAGGAAGTTCCCCCAAATCCAGCCCAGAGCTCCTCCCGGTCACCGAGGGTTACTGCAGGCATCCCTCGAGCCATGGTTGCCCTGTTCTGCTCACGCTGAATAGCTCAGGCACAGCACGGAGCTTGTTGCTCAGAAGGCCTGCTCGCTGAATCACCCACTGTCCGCCCGGCACTCCCCTAACAATCACAAACAGTGGCAGGGCCGCCAGGGCTGGCAGCCGGAGGGGGAAGGGGATGCTGAAGCTTTGGCCCAGGTCCCTCCGCCGGATTCCTCCAGAGATGCCACTCAGTACCAGCTCCGGCCGGATGGGCAGACAGGGGTGATGCTGGGGTGAGGGGGCGGGCAGAGGCTTGACCTATAGGAGAGGTCTTTCCTGCATGGCAGGGAGGATGATTTGAGGGCTCTATCAGCCACACGGCCTTGGCAGAGAGCTAAAATGTGCCTGTCTTATAAAGGTCCAGTGTAGAGGGTTAGTAAGCCTGTGACCATGATGCCAGTGATGGGGGCATGAGAGATAACGTCTCCACGTGCCTCCCTCAGCCCCCAGCTTGTCATGCAAGGCACAAGCCACAGGCAGAGAAAATAAGAGCCCACAAAGCAAGGCAAGGGGAGACTCGGCGGGATCCTAGTGCAGCTGCTGGACAAAGGACGCACTGGAATCAATACAGAAGAGTCAGGGTGCCAAGAAGCAGTGGAAGCTGAACGCAGACACCAGTTCAAGGCTGACATTCCTAGATGCGCACATGAAAATGCTTTCAAAAGCTGAGGAGACGGGGGAAAGGGGGCGGCGCTGCATACTCAGGATGGCTCCAGAGCAGCTTCTGAGAGCACGTTAGAGCGAGTGGCATCCCTGAGAGGAGGGGAGGCAGGCTTCCAGTGGGGTGGTGTGCGGGGCCCGGCAGAGGCCAGGACCTTAGTCTGCGCCGGAGAGTGCTCCCGTACGTCCAGTCCTTTCCTTACCAACAAGAGAGCTAAGGCCAGGCACGGTGGCTCACGCCTGTAATCCCAGCACTTTGGGAGGCCGAGGTGGGTGGATCACCTGAGGTCAGGAGTTTGAGACCAGCCTGGCCAACATGGTGAAACCCAGTCTCTACTAAAAATATAAAAATTAGCCAGGCATGATGGTGTGTGCCTGTAATCTCAGCTACTTGGAAGGCTGAGGCAGGAGAATCGTTTGAACCCAGGAGGCAGAGGTTGCAGTGAGCCAGGATCATGCCACTGCACTCTAGCCTGGATGACAGAGTGAGATTCCGTCTCAAAAAAAGAAAATATAATATTAATATTATTATATAATACAATGTATATACTCATCATATAATCAGATACTCTGTTACCTCCATCCTAACTACACCCCTCCAAGATGGGTAGGGTGTTTCCCTGAGGAAACTGTAACACCTAGGCGGTGCTGAGCCAGGATTTGAATCCAGGTCTGCAAATCCAATGCCTGTGCTCTCTGCACTTCACCGGAATGACCTTATGGACCCCAGAGGTATCAGGGTTTCTCTGGAAGCAGGGTCTCTCACCAACCAGACCAGCCCAGCTAAGACTCCATGGGAGAGGGGTCACTTGAACCTGACTCCTTTGGTAATATGTGGATGTCAGTAACCACAGCCTCCCAGGAAGGAAACCCAAGAGGAGGTGGGCGGGAAGAAGGAGGAAGACGGTTGGCCTCATTTGGGAGGTGTTCACGGTGGGGACTGTGGACAACCACATGGAGCTGTCCAGTAGGGCGTGGCCACCCAGGGTGGAGTTGGTGTAGAGCTTCGGTCGTCAGCATGTGGGAGAGGAAGGGATTGAGCTGAGAGGCAGAGGGTCCAGGTTTGGACCCTGGGGACAAAGGGCAGAGTTTCCAAGATGGAGCCTGAGCAGGGAGATCCAGGGAAGAGGAGAAAAGCCAAGTGTGGCGGCAGGCAGAAGGGGGAGCTATGGATTCCAACCTTATTGCTCCCGGATCCTTTGAGAATTTGAGAAACTGTGGACACAGTACAGAGAAAAAATGCCCATAGGTGTACAATTTGATATATTAGCAAGTTCACAGACACTCTGCAATCCAACGTAGTACCCTCGGATATTCATAAGCCTCAGGTTAAACGCCTAGGCAGCTGCAGATTGAAGAAGAGAGTAGAGCTAATGTCATATGCCACAGCCAGCTTAGAGGTGGACTAAAAAATATGCTTAGATTTGGCAAGAAAGACATCATGAATAGCCTTTGAAGTTCTGGTGGTTTGGGGCAGAAGACAGATTTTTTTTTTTTTTTTTTTTTTTGAGATGGAGTTTCACTCTTATTGCCCATGCTGGAGTGCAATGGCACGATCTTGGCTCACCACAACCTCTGCCTCTCGGGTTCAAGCGATTCTCCTGCCTCAGCCTCCCAGGTAACTGGGATTACAGGCATGCACCACCATGACCGGCTAATTTTTGTATTTTTAGAGACGGAAGTTTCTCCATGTTGGTCAGGCTGGTCTCGAACTCCTGACCTCAGCTGATCCGCCCACCTCAGCCTCCCAAAGTGCTGCAATTACAGGCATGAGCCACTGCATCCGGCCCAGAAGACAGATTTTTAAGGACTTGACAAGCCAATGGGAAGTGGCAAAGTGGAGCCATGAGTCCAACCTACGTTTTCTTTTCTTTTTTTCTTTTTGAGACAGGGTCTTGCTCTGTCATCCAGGCTGGAGTGCAATGGTGCAATCACAGCTCACTGCAGGCTTGAACTGCTGGGCTCAAGTGATCCCCCTGCCTCAGCCTCCTCAGTAGCTGGGACTATAGGCATGAGCCACCATGCCCAGCTAATTTTTTTACTTTTTGTTGAGGCGGGGTCTCACTGTGTTGCCCAGGCTGGCCTCAAACTCCTGGGCTCAAACGATCCTCCCACCTCAGCCTCTCAAAGTGCTGGGATTACAGGCATGAGCCCCCATGTTCAGCCTAGCCTGACTTTTTAGGAGCCTTGATGATGAAGGGGCTGAGTCCATGATGGGAAAGTCTTGCCTACCTCAGAAAGATGAGCAGAAGAGCCAGGAGAAAAGGAGAGACTGAAGGAGCCCAGAGGAGTCCCTTGGGAGGGAGGGTGGGAGGAGGCGGCTGAGGGCTTTGCACTGCCGAGCAGGGGGAGCCTGGCAAGTCATGGACTTTGGGCCTCCACGTCCTCAATCATGCAGGCAATGCAGGGCTTCCCTTGTAAGGCTGTGGTGAGATGAAATAGGAAGTAATCCATGGAAGGCCCTTGGGCGGTGCCTGGCACACAGGAATCAGTCAGGACACATCTGCCGTTACTGTTGCTCTGATCATCCAGCGCCCGCGTGCCGGTGCACACCTCTTCCCTGAGAAGCAAGGAGGATGCGCCAGGGTACCGGCAGAATGTGGTGTGCTTGGAAGTTGGGGGAAGTATGTGGAGGGGATAGTTCCTCCCCAACCCCAGGGCCTCTCTTCTCTGTGAAGTAGGAAGCTGGGTGGAAGGAGAGGCAGTAAAGGGGAGTAGAGCGTGTTCAAGGGCAGTGGGGAGGGAGCTGAACTTGAAGATGCACAGGGATCATCCATCAGGCTGTGTCTAGGGTCTTGCAGAGGTTAAAGGTGCCAGACCCACAGCTGTGTGAGTCTCCATGCTCAGCAGCTTGGGTATGGGGTACAAAGGCAGGTTCCTGCGCTGACCCAGGGGTGAGGGTTCATGGGTGCAGGTGAGGGAGATGGAGTAAGGGTTAAAAGAGAACGGCTAGGCCAAGCATGATGGCTCACTCCTGTAATCCCAGCCCTTTGGGAGGCCAAGGTGGGTGGATCATTTGAGGTCAGGAGCTCAAGACCAGCCTGACCAACATGTTGAAACTCTGTCTCTACTAAAAATACAAAAATTAGTTGGGCATGGTGGCGCACACCTATAATCCCAGCTACCCGGGAGGCTGAGGCAGGAGAATCACTTGAACCCGTGAGGTGGAGGCTGCAGTGAGCCGAGATCGTCCCATTGCACTCCAGCCTGGGTGACAAGAGCGAAACTCTGCCTCACAAAAAAAAAAGAGAGAGAGAATGGCTAGCTTTGGAAAACAGTCTGGCTATTCTTCAAAAGGTTAAACATAGAGTTATGATATGAACCAACAGTACCACTCCTGGGCTTGTACCCAAGAGAAAGGACAACATCTTTTCACACTGAAACCTCTACACGAATGTGCATAGCAGCACTATTCACAATAGCCAAGAGCTACAAACAGCCCAGGTGTCCCTCAACTGATGGATGGATGAATAAAGTTTGAATATCATTCAGTCTTAAAAAGGAATGGAGTTGTAATACATGTTACAACATGGGTGAATGTTGAACATATTCGGTAAGAGAAGCCGGTCATAAAAGACCATATGTCATATGATTCAATTGACGTGAAATGTCCAGAATAGGCAAATCCAACAAAGAGGAAGTAGACCTGTAGCTTCCTAGGGTTGGGAGGGTCTGAGAAGAAATGGGGAGTGGCTGCTAATGGGTACAGGGGCTTGGCGGGGAAGTGATAAAAATGTTGTAAAATTGACTGGGGTGACGGTTTAACAACTTTGTGAGTGTACTAAAAAGCACTGAATTATATATTTTATTTGGATGAATTATATGGATGTGAATTAGATTTAGATAAAGCCGTTAAGAAGAGAGAAGATATGGCCAAAGCTATGGTTTGTAGAGAAAAGAAACAAAGATAAGAGGATGAGGATGGGCTGGGCACGGTGGCTCATATCTGTAATCCCAGCACTTTGGGAGGCTGAGGAGGGCAGATCACTTGAGGTCAGGATTTCAAGACCAGCCTGGATAATATGGTGAAACCCCCTCTCTACTAAAAATATAAAAATTAGCCAGGTGTGGTGGCACACACCTGTAATCCCGGCTACTCAGGAGACTGAGGCAGGAGAATCACTTGAACCCGGGAGGTGGAGGTTGCAGTGAGCTGAGATCACACCACTGCACTCCAGCCTAGGCAACAGAGCAAGACTCTATCTCACAAAAAAAAAAAAAAAAAAAAAAAAAAAAAAAGGATGAGGATGAATATATGGAGCAAACAGGAATGAGAGCTGAAATCTCCATGAGGTCAAAGAATGAATGAGGTGGAGGAAAGAGCTGAAAGCCGCTAGGACTGCAGGCTGTCTCCGGAGGGTGGTGGGAAGCATGTGCTTGAAGATGGTGCCCTGTCTCCAGTCTTCTCCTCTCCACCTAGGCTGATCATCTTCAGTGTTTTCACATCTTCCTCCTGTGCTATGATTTCAGGTCTTGTCTGTTGAGATCTCGGTGCTTGTTTTTTCTTGTCCTTCCTGCCCCATGGTCCCTGGTGGGTCACACTTCCCATCATTAACACCCTGGAGGCCAGGCACAGTGGCTCCCTTCTGTTATCTCAGCACTTTGGGAGGCCAAGGCGAGAGAATTGCTTGAGTCTGGGAGTTTGAGACCAGCCTGGGCAACATAGCAAGATCTCGTCTCTACAAAAAAAATAAAAATAAAAAATAAATTTAAAATTAGCTGGGTGCGGTGGCATGCACCTGTGGTCCCAGCTACTTGAGAAGCTGAGGTGGAAGGATCGCTTGAGCCCAGGAAGGGAAGGCTGCAGTAAGCTGTAATCACACCACTGCCCTCCAGCACTCCAGCACTCCAGTCTTCCAACCTGGGCGACACAGAGATACCTTGTCTCAAGATAATAATAACAACGCCCTGGCTCAGGAGTGTCGCCTTCTCTTCTCCAATGTCCTTGGGGCAAGGTCACCCTTCCAGGTAAAGGCCCAGCCCCAGCCACAGCCACTCCTCCCACAGCCTCTGTAAGGAGGATGTCAGGCCTCCAGCCAGTGGCCCATCACTCCTGTAAAGGACTTCCCAGACCCAGACCAGAGTCCTACAGCCTCCTTCCCATTTTGACTCAAGGACCCCAGCAGTATGGCCTGGCCCTGTAGCTGTCCAACAGAGGGCAGCAGCTCCCGAGCTGATGGGGATGGTGAGGCAGGGACACCTGGAGCTACCAGGCTGCTATGCACCGGTCCTCACCTCGCTCTCCCTGCCACCCTGCAGAGTACACGGTGGCAGTGCCCAAGTCCATGTTCCCCGGGCTCTTCATGCTGGGGACATTCCTCTGGAGCCTCATCGAGTACCTCATCCACCGCTTCCTGTTCCACATGAAGCCCCCCAGCGACAGCTATTACCTCATCATGCTGCACTTCGTCATGCACGGCCAGCACCACAAGGTGAGCGGGGCGGGGTCCCAGCCCGGACCTAGCATGTGCAGCCCGAGAGGGCCCGGCAGCCAGCCGCAGCTTCAGGTGCTGCGGAGCCTCCTGGGAGTCTGGCTGTGGGTTGGGAGGGACGGGACGTTTGATGTGACTCACGGGGCAACTGGGTTGGGCATCCGAACCTAAGCCAGGCGGGGACAGCGTGGGTGTGCAGCATCAAGCTGACCCCAGGCCCTCTGCACCCTTGTTTACGCATCACCTTTAATCCTCAAAACAACTCATTCATTCGTTCATTCATTCAGCAAATGCCCAGTGAGTGCCTCCTGTGTGCGAGACACTGTTCTAGACATCATTGAACAAAACAACAAAAAGCCTTGCGCTCCTGGAGCTTGTGCTGAAAACAGCCCCATGGTTCTCCCCGTTCCACAGAGCAGGAGACTGAGGCCTAGGAGGACTAAGGAACTTGCCCCAGGTCACACTTGGCACAGCCAGGATGTCGTACCCCATTCTGGGGATTCCAGAGTCTGCGCTCTCAATCACCCTTCCCCTGAGGCCCTTCAAGGACTCCACGACAGTCCCAGAAGCTGGCCCGAGAAGATAGGTCTGCCCAAAGGAAGCTACCTCCCCTGTACCCCCCGCTGCTTCTCTGTCCCTGCATTGTGCTGTCCTTGGCCCATCCCAGGCTGTTCCCCAGCCCGTCTCCACACTCTGTTCTCTGCTGGGCATAAATCAGAGAAAATATGGCAGATATGATACTTTCGGGACACCAGTTTAGACCCTGATGTCGCTGATACTGAACGTGGGTTTCACCTTGGTTTCCCAGCAGCAACTTAATCCGGTTCATCTCGATGAGCCGATTCGGGGTTTGATCGGCCGCCTGGGACAGTTCTCAGGTTGGTTGGCTGTGGTCCTCCCGGCTCTCCCCAGAGTTGATCTGCATCCTAGGGGGCTTTCCTAGGGGCCAGTATCAGGGTGGGTGCCCAGTCCTGGGCCAACCTGTCTCTCAGGTATGCTCTCAGAGGTAGCGCAGCCCAGGCCTGGCCTGTGTCCTCCAGCCTCACCTGGCCTCTGCTCTGCAGAGCTCACTGCATCTGCTTCTGTGTCCCTTGCCCTGTTTGTGAAGCCTTTTCAGATCCACTGCCCTGTCCGCTATCTTTCCCATCCACAGGGGACACCAGAACCTTCTGGGAACCTGCTCAGGCCATTCTGGGGCCCCAGGGGCTGTCTCAGGCTCCCTCTTTTGAGACACTTCCACCCCAGTCTGTCCAGTCCCCTGCTGCCACACCATGAGGACCCGAGGAGACTGTATGGCCTGTAGCCACGTGGGCTCCAATCAGGAACGTGTTCTCAGATCCCCAGACCTATCCATCTAAGGATCCTGATCCAGCTGTGACCCGGATCTGGCCCATACCAGCTCACAAGAGCACCCATGCACATCCTTTCCTGTTTCTGTTCCAGTGACGCCACCTCAGCGCTTGAAAGCGCCAGGGCAGTTTTCACACTGCAGGAATTGGCAAACACTACCAATCAGGGCTCTCCCTCCCTCCCTTTATTTCCCCCTCCCTCATTCCCCAGCTCTCTCCCTTCCTCCTTTTCCTGAGAGCTGGTTTTCCAGCACATCACTGGTCCTGTTGTTCCTGGTCTGAAGGGAGGGAGGCCCACGCCAGCATCTCATTGTGTCACTGTCACCTGCTTTCTCTCTCTCTCCTCCAGCCCAGAGAGGCTGCAGGATTCTCTTCTCAGACTCCTCACCAAGCCATAGCTAAGATCTCACCTCTATGCCAGGCCCTTGGCTTCTGAAGCTCGAGGGCCACGGTGAAGCGGTGTTCTCTGGTTCACTGTGGCGACACCCCCTTGGAACAAAAAAGGCCTCCTGTTTGGACATGGGGGTGGGGAGGACACCTCTAGTGACACTTCCGGGTCATCCCGCCACAGAGGCTGCATTAACCTCAGTTGCCCTCAGTGCCTTGCTCTCCCAGACAACATCAGGCCTCAGTCTAGGTGCCCTGTCTCCAGAATGCCCCTCTAGCCAGGGGCACGGCATTTAGGGATGGGATACCTGTCTAGCACCTGACAAATTCCAGAGTCACAGTGGCCTCTATAAGATGGGCTCTGAGCCGCCAGCACACCCCACCCATCCTGCCCATCCTGCCCATCCCGCCCATCCCATGTTCCTTTGCAATCTGCCAGGTCCCTTCCTGGCTCACAAATGGGAAGTAAGACAGTCTCTCCAGATCTTCCAGACGTGGTGGCCCGCCCTCCCCAAAGCCACCAAAGGTGCCAAGCCTACGCAGTGGAATGTCTGGGCCGCTGTGCCCCTGTCCTCTGCAGGGAGTGGCCAGGGTTTGGCCAGCTGCCGGGGCCCCTGGCTGCCTCCTGATGCCCAAGCCTCTCCATCTGCAGGCACCCTTCGACGGCTCCCGCCTGGTCTTCCCCCCTGTGCCAGCCTCCCTGGTGATCGGCGTCTTCTACTTGTGCATGCAGCTCATCCTGCCCGAGGCAGTAGGGGGCACTGTGTTTGCGGGGGGCCTCCTGGGCTACGTCCTCTATGACATGACCCATTACTACCTGCACTTTGGCTCGCCGCACAAGGGCTCCTACCTGTACAGCCTGAAGGCCCACCACGTCAAGCACCACTTTGCACATCAGAAGTCAGGTGAGGATGGGCCTGTGCTTCCCAGCCCCCTATGTGTGTTCATTGATTTATTTGCCAACTACCATCGAGCTCCTGGGAACGGCAAGGCACTGTTCCATGTACGGGGCATATACAGAGGGTTCCCTCTACTCTCTTCCCTGGTGCAGACAGCTGTGCAGAGACAGGCAAGGACATCAATAAATGGCAAAGATTTCAAACTGTGATAAATGCCATAAAGAAAATAAAGGGGCTGGGTGTGGTGGCTCACACCTGTAATCCCAGCCGAGGGGATTGGGAAGCCGAGGCAGGTAGATCACTTGAGGTCAGGAGTTTGGGACCAGCCTGGCCAACATGGTGAAACCTGTCTCCACTAGAAATACAAAAATTAGCGGGGTGTGGTTGTGCCCACCTATAATCTCAGCTACTTGGGAGGCTGAGGCATGAGAATAGCTTGAATCCAGGAGGCAGAAGCTACAGTGAGCTAAGATTGCACCACTGCACTCCAGCCTGGGCAACAGAGCAAGGCTCTGTCTATAAAAAAAAAAAAAAAAAGAAGAAGAAGAAGAAAGTAAAGCAAGGTGATGGAATATCACATAGGTGGGGGAGGGTCCAGCGATTTCCACTGACATATTATGTGGGCCACATATGTGATTTTAAATTTTCTAGTGGCCACACTAAGACATGAAAATAAACAGATGAAAAGAATTTTAATAACATTTACTTAACATAAGCAAATTATTATTTCAACATGTAATCAACATTAAAAAATCATTAATGGCTGAGCGCAGTGGCTCAGGCCTATAATCCCAGCACTATAGGAGGCGGAGGCAGGGGATTGCTTGAAGCCAGGAGTTCCAGACCAGTCTGGGAAACATAGCAAGACCTTGTCTCTACATAAAAAAGTTTTAATTATCCATGTGTGGTGATATGCACCTGTAATCTCAGCTACCTAGAAGGCTGAGGCAAGAGGATCATTTGAGCCCAGGAGTTTGAGGCAGCAATGAGCTATGATCATGCCACTGCACCCCAGCCTGGGTGACAGAGTGAGACCCTTTTTGTAAAGTCTCTTTAAAAAAAAATAATTAGCAACTCTTATACTAAGTCTTTGAAATCTAAGGTGTATTTTGTACTTACAGCACATCTCAATTCAGATACTAAAGTTTCATTAGAAATACTAGATCCATATCTAGATTTTATAAAATTTGCAAACAGTAGTTCACATAGGTAAGTTGCTCCAAACATGCTTAAACATTTTCCGGTAACACACTTGAGGAGGCCGAGACGGGCAGATCACCTGAGGTCAGGAGTTCAAGACCAGCCTGGCCAACATGTTGAAACCCCCTCTCTACTAAAAACACAAAAAATTAGCTGGATATGGTGGTGCGCGCCTGTAATCCCAGCTACTCAGGAGGCTGAGGAAGGAGAATCTCTTGGACCCAGGAGGCGGAGCTTGCAGTGAGCCAAGATCACACCAGTGCACTCCAGCCTGAGCAACAAGAACGAAACTCCATCTCAAAAAAAAAAAAAAAAAAATTCCAGTAACTCAATCAAGCATCAGTTTTTACATTGACATGTTAATTCATCAGAATTAAATGAAGTTAGAAATTCAGTTTCTCTGGAGCTCTAGCCACATTTCTAGTGCTCAGTAGCCATGTGTGGCTAAGGGCTAGTTGGACAGCAAAGAGATTAAATGGTCCAGGTGTCATTGCAGAGGTGCCATTAGAGCTAAGACCCTAATGAAGAGAAATCAGCATCTGGCGTCCCAAGAGCGACTGGTGCAAAGCCCTGAGGCAGGAATGAACTTGGGCCCCAAGGAAGGGGAAGGAGATGGAGGTGGGGGGTGGGAGGGGGCCACGTAGCCTAGAAACGAAGGCCAGATAAGGAATTAGGGTTTATTCCAGCTTCATGCTGGGGACAATAAAAGACACAGGTTCCCCACCCTTGACTTCTGCCAGAATGGCCTCGGGAGTTGGGAAGGCCAAGGGGACAGATATTGACATTGTCTCCACCTCTTATCCCTACCCTGGCACCCTTCCCAAGCCAGCGCACGCCTGCTCCTTCAATGCCTCATCTTCTCCCCGTTTGTCTCCCTCTCTAGGATTTGGTATCAGCACTAAATTGTGGGATTACTGTTTCCACACCCTCACTCCAGAGAAACCCCACCTGAAGACGCAGTGACAACTCCCACCCCCTCCGTCCTGCCCTCAGCCCGGCCCTGGCCCCTTCCCGACCCCCACCCGCCATTCAGACCCCATTAAGAAGGTTGGCTTGGCCAGGCAGGATGGGCTGTGTCCGGCCCTGCAGCCTAGTGGAAGGTGCTGAGGGGGCCCTGAGGCAGGACCGCCCTCCTGACCCCTGGTAGGAGGGTCACATCCACTTGGTGGCCAGGTGGCCCTTGGTGACCCACTTCTTCCTGGAGCGTCCCTGCCTAGAGCTCAGCCCACAGGACTGCTTCAGGCCGTGGCCACAGGTAGCAGCCGCAAGGGGAAATGAAGAAAACTGAGCCCTCGTGGCCACCTGTGTCACCCTTGTGCCTTAGCCTCATGGGCTGCCTAGGAGCTGCCTGCACGGCACAGCTCGCTTTCACAGTCAGAAGTGGGTCTGTGGGATCTGTGGTCCCTGTCCTCCCTGCTGTCCCTTCTGGGGAGGCTTTGGTGGCTCTGAGGTGGACAAAGAGCTCTCGCAAGAAGAGACAGCGTGATGCCTCCCACAGTCCACCCCAGACCCTGGGGCAGCCCCTCTGGCCCTGCCAGCTGCCTGCGTCGTTGGGCCCAGGGTGGCTGGCAGGAGTCCCAGCTGCTTGCTTTAGGACCTGGCAGCTTTTCTTGCCGTCCCTCCCCTGCCTCCAGAATCACAGCCCTTCTCCCCAAGGGAGGCTGAGGAGGCTTCTCCACCAGTGGCAGCCCCACCCCGTCCCTGGCCATTCTTGGCCTCCACCCCGCTCAGGCCCCTACTCGGGCGCTCCCAGAAGGAGCCACCTCTCAGTGCCTCACCTCCCCCTGCCTCCCAGCCTCCGCAGATGAGGTTCCTGCCCCTTCCTCCTCGTAACCAAAACCCTCACTGCTCCCAGGACGGTCTTATTTATAAACCAGATACATGTTCTTAGTCTGGTCCCAGACCAAGGAGCTGGTCAGACGGCCCTTTCTAATCCTACATGTTGAGCTTATGTAAAAAATGTTGTTTCCTCCTGTTTTTGGTTCCTTTCTTACCCACAAACCATTACTACTTGAAACTTAAAAAACTCGCCAAGTGTAAAGGCTAAAGAGAAGCAGTTTGACGGACCTTGTGATTTGTACTGTTTGCTGCGGAGCTATTTAAAGATTTTGGAATAAATATACAAAACTACGGTTGTGAAATAAAAACTTAAATTGTATATTTTGAAAAATAAAACACTGAAAAGAAACCAACAAAAATGAGTTGTTCATCAGACTCCCTCGTGGTTGGGAAGGGGCAGTGGTGTGGGGAGGGATAGAGGGGCAGAGGATTGGTCCCCAGGGAGGGAGATTCTAGCCCTGACCAGGGTGGGTAGAATTGCTGGGGCATGGTGATGATTAAAAGCTGACCAACTCTCAGCTGGGCGCGATGGTGCATGCCTGTAATCCCAAGATTTTGGGAGGCCAAGGTGGGAGGATCGCTTGAGGCCAGATGTTCAAGACGAACCTGCCCAAAATAGCAAAACTCCATCTCTAAAAATAAAAGAAAACAAGACAAAAGAAAACAAAACAAAAGGAGAAAGCTGACTGACTCTTATTCTCTCACTCAGCTTTATTCTGTTTCTAAATTCTCTGCAGACAGCATCTCCTCTTATTGCCTGCACCTGGGATGCATTGTGCCCACAAACCACTTTGATCCGCCAATGGGGAGGGATCTCTTCTGGAGTTTATCTAACCCCAACTGAGCTTCCAGTCGACTTTCCTAAAACAGAGGGAGAAAGGCTCCAGCAACAAATGCCCATAGTGGGAACTAGAACCTCAAGCAGCTCAGTCTCGGTGAAACTGTTGCTTGTCTTTCTCTGCTGCCCTATCGGAACCACCTAGGAAGCTGTCGAAGTGCAGCTCCAGGGCCTCGCACTCAGGGTCTAGTTCAGTAGGTCCAGGGGGGTAGGCCCTGGACTCACCTGTCTGAGGACACGGAAGCGGAAGCAAGCTGATGTTGGGGAGCCTCGGAGGGAGCCCAGAACTCTGCTGTGTCTCCCTGCTCTGGCAGTCATAGGGGCAGCTTTATGCCTGCAGCTCCCAGCCCGAAGATAAGTAGGACCCGTCGGAGCCACCCATCACTCGAGTCCCTGAAGCCTGTCACCGGAACCCAGCCCGTCCAAGCAGCAGAACTCATAACCTTCATTTACTGATGGAGCTGAGCAGCTCACCCTAGACCATCACACCCAGGGGGAGGGAGGCAGAGGAAGAACACAGGAGGAGCTCCGCAAGTGTAAACACACATGGCCACAGCAGGAGAAAAAGCCTAAGGTGAGCAAGATTTAGCAAAAAAAAAAAAAAAATTGAAAATTTTCTTTAAGAAGAGTGAAACAGGCCGGGCGCAGTGGCTCACACCTGTAATCCTAGCATTTGGGAGGCCGAGGCAGGCGGATCACTTGAGGTCAGTAGTTCGAGACCAGCCTGCCCAACATGGTGAAACCCCATCTCTACTAAAAATGCAAAAATTAGCTGGGGGGCGTGGTGGCATGCACCTGTAATCCCAGCTACTCAGGAGGCTGAGGCAGGAGAATTGCTTGAACCTGGGAGGTGGAGGCTGCAGTGAACTGAGATTGTGCCACTGCACTCCAGCCTGGGCAACAGAGCAAGACTCCATCTCAAAACAAAACAAAACAAAACAAACAAACAAACAGTGAAACAGACGGGACATGGAAGCTTATGCCTATAATCCCAACACTTTAGGAGGCCAAGGCAGCCAGATCGCTTTAGGTCAGGAATTTGAGACCAGCCTGGGCAACACAGTGAGACCCCATCTCTACAAAAAATAAAGAAAATTACCTGAGTGTGGTGGTGCACACCTGTAGTCCCAGCTACTTGGGAGGCTGAGGTGGGAGGATCACTTGAGCCCAGGAGGTTGCGGCTGCAGTGAGCCGTGATCACACCACTGCATTCCAGCCTGGGCAACAGAGTGAGACCCTGTCTCAAAAAAAAAAAAAAAAAAAAAAAAAAAAAAAGGAAGTAAAACAAAACTAATAAGAAAGGCCAAAAAATAAAGTGAGTTTCTAGCATGGTAATGAGAAGATTTAGAAAAAAAGTGACAACACGAAACCAAGCCCACCTATTAATGAAAAGTCCAATTGGTGAAAATCTGACAGATTCTCCCAGAGCTCCCCATTGCACCGCTGTAACTGTCCAGTGGGGTTGGGAGTATCCACAAGGCCTTTTGGAGAGAGAGCAAGTCCCACCTCACAGGGACTTGAGAGTGCAGAAGTAATTGCCTGCATTTTCTTTCTTTTTTTTTTTTTAGACGGAGTCTCGCTCTGTCGCCCAGGCTGGAGTGCAGTGGCGCGATCTCGGCTCACTGCAACCTCCGCCTCCCGGGTTCACGCCATTCTCCCACCTCAGCCTCCCAAGTAACTGGGACTACAGGTGCGCGCCACCACACCTGATAATTTTTGTATTTTTAGTAGAGATGGAGTTTCACCATGTTGCACAGGCTGGTCTCAAACTCCTGTGCTCAGGCAGTCCTCCTACCTCAGCCTCCCAAAGTGCTGGGATTACAGGAGTGAGCCACCGCACCCGGCCATATTGCCTGCGTTTTCACAGCAGGGCAAAATACAGGAAGGCCACGAGGCCTGCAATCCCCAAGCAGTTAGTGCTCACGGAGCAGCCCCCACCTCAGTGAGCATCTAGGGGAGCTGGAGGATTTTGCCATCAAGTGTAAGAGTCAAAGATTAGATGTTAGAGCAAGCACAGGATATTATCAAAATGCCAACACATCTGGCCTGATGGGAAAAGCCTAGACCTGTGACGTGGGATTGTGTTTATTCCTGCAGTGGGAGAGACACTAAACCAAAAAAGTTTTATGTTTGCTCAGGGAGGTAGCTATTGATTTATTTATAGAGAGAGGTTCTCACTCTGTTGCCCACGCTAGGGTGCAGTGGCGCGATCATAGCTTACTGCAGTCTTGACCTCCCAGACTCAAGAGATCCTCCTACATCAGCCTCCCAAACAGCTGGGACCGCAGGCATGTGCCATCGTGCCCAGCTAATTTTTTAATTTTTCTAAGTAGAGACAGGGTCTCTCTATGTTACTCAGACTGATCTCGAACTCCTGGCCTCAAGCAATCCCCCCAGCTCAGCCTCCCATAGTGCTGGGATTACAGGCATGAGCCACAACACCCAGCCAAGAGGGCCATTTAAATTCTGATCAGCATAAAGTAAATCTGCAGATTGACTGACCCTCAGTGGCCCTACAAATTTGCCTCGCCTGATTCTCCAGGGATGACCCAGCTTCCATGGTCAAGAACAGACCAAAAAATAGCCATCATATTTATTTCTGGTATTGTGTTTGTATTTCCAGACATGCTGTCTTTGGGAGTTCCTTAGTTGATCTGAAGAACAGCCCTCTTAATTCTGCTCTGTTCCACTCCCCCGTTGGCTCTGACCTCTGATCTCTGCCTTTGAACTTTGTGTGATTTTTTATTGTGCCCAGCACAATGACCAACTTGTAACAGAGCCCAATAAATGCTTGTCTTGTCTGCATCAGATCTCAGACGGTAAGAATAACTGGGCCTTGCCTCTCCACCTGTTCCCGGCCTCTGCTGCCCTCTGGTGGCAGCATGCAGCCCTACTCCATTATTACTGCCCTCGCGGGGACTGTTTTGGAAGCAGGTATCTGTGATTTCAAAATTCTAGCCTTTCCCAATTTACCCGTTCTGTTGACTTACATTCTTGACTCATCTGCCATTTTTGAGAGGAAGTTGGAAATATGTATATGAATAGTTCTAACTTTCAAAAAAGCCATAATGGTTGCAAAATTTCAACTGGAGTTTTCTTTACAGTTAGGTGTTTTGCCCAAAGACCACACCAGGCTCCAATGAATAAATGTTATCTATAAAGAATGCCACAAGATGAATGTAAAATTTGGAAAATTCCAGGACTCTCATCTCATAAGTGTCTGTCCCATCTCAGACACCTATAGCGGAGAGGAAGAAATTTAAAAGAAGAAAAAAATTTTTGTTCTGGCAAAAGCAGTGGGGTTATATCTTCTTTTAGGTTCCCTAAAAATGGGATTACAGGCGTGGTGGCTCTTGCCTGTAATCCTAGCACTTTGGGAGGCCGAGACAGGCAGATCTCCTGAGGTTGGGAGTTTGAGACCAGCCTGACCAACATGGAGAAACCCCGTCTCTACTAAAAATACAAAATTAGCCGGGCGTGGTGGCCGATGCCTGTAATCCCAGCTACTTGGGAGGCTGAGGCAGGAGAATCTCTTGAACCCAGGAGGCGGAGGTTGTGGTGAGCTGAGATCGCACCACTGCACTCCAGCCTGGGCAGCAAGAACAAAATTCTGTCTCAAAAAAACAAACAAACAAACAAAAATCAAAACCTAAAACAAGCACATGGATGCAGGCAGTCTATTTGGGAGGTGATTGCAGAAATAAAGAGCGAGAACCAGGGAGGTCTAGAAAGGGAGAAGTTGGAGGAGCAGTGTAAGGTTGAGTATGTGAGGTTCTCCTACAGATTCTGTAAGGGCATCTTGAGAAGCACAGAGAAAATGTATCGGAATTGTCCAATAGGACAGGAGGCTGGAGCATTTATCACCAGCTTCCACTCCTATGGGTGAGGACTGTCTTCAGTGACATCGATTCACCCTCACTTAGGGACTTCCCAGCCATGCAAGCCAAGCAGATGCTGGCTTTGGCAAAAGTCCTTGGACAAAAGCAGGAACATAGAGGTATGCATTTGTAGTGGGATTCTATCAGTACAAGTTGAGTATGAGCTTGTTAGGCAGGAGCTAGCCACTGGAACTGTGGCTGAAATGAAAGCTGAGACAGAGTTCACACAGAACCTTCCACCGCAATTGAGGCTAAGACCAGAGGCAGACAGAGGGGGCATGATGAGGAGGAACAGATGTGTTTGCTACAGACCCCAAAGGGTCATATCCTCAATGTAAGAGTGAACCAAGAGGAAACCCACCTCCCCAGGGCACTGCAAGTGAAATCTCCTGCGTGGAGTGGGTAAAGGCTGAGGATGCAGAGCCACAAGGAGAGTCCTCACTGAGGTCTGAAGCCTGAATTCGTGCAAACCGGGTGATCTGAAACACCTCAAGCCAAAATTGTGATGTAAAATAGCCCGGTTGGTGGAGCCACAAGGCTCTCAGAGGAAGCAATTAAAATTGTTTTATGGAGAAATGTATCTTCAATTCAGGCCTCAAAAAAATCCCGCAGGTAAAATTCCAAAGACTAGCCAGGCACGGTGGCTTACGCCTGTAATCCCAGCACTTGGGGAGGCCAAGGCGGGCAGATCGCGAGGTCAGGAGTTCGAGACCAGCCTGGCCAATATGGTGAAACCCCATCTCTACTAAAAATATAAAAAGTAGCCAGGCATGGTGGTGCATGCCTGTAGTCCCAGCTACTCGGGAGGCTGAGGCGGGAGAATCGCTTGAACCAGGAAGGCGGAGGTTGCAGTAAGCCGAGGTTGCGGCAATGCGCTTCAACCTGGATGACAGAGTGAGGTCTTGAAAAAAAAAACATAAATAACTTAGGTAAATGTAATAGGATAAATGTCTATAAATGAACTTTTCATGTAATTTGAAATTTTGAAGTTATGTTAGGTTAAACAAAATAATAGATATTCGTTAAATGTCTGGGTCAATTTGTTTCATTAAAAAATAGTATTTTTTAATGAAATACAAGAACACATTATTTTTTATGAACCATATGAAAAATATTATTTTTTAATGAACAAAATTACTGAATATAAATACAAGTGTGTTCTTTGATGCTTACATTTTGTAAAAGATTACATTTATTGGGTCTATTAATACATCCAAAAATTTTATTATGGAAAAACATGTTTTTAAAAATTATGAAATGGGAGCCAGGAGGACTACTTGAAGCCAGTTCAAGACCAGCCTGGACGACATAGCAAGACCCTTTCTCTATGAAAAAATTTAAAGATTAGCCAGGTGTAGTGGTACACCACCTGTAGTGTTAGCTACTTCGGAGGCTGAGGCAAGAGCATCACTTGAGCCCAGGAGTTTGAGGTTGCAGTGAGCTATGATCACACCACGGCACTCCAGCCTGGGCAATAGAGCAAGACCTTGCCTGGGATAGTGACTCTTTCCTTCAACCTTTTCATCACCTCTTATAACTTTTTTTTCTCCAGTCTAACTCTGCCCTTATAGCCTGACACTGAAATGTTTATCTTAAAGGCCTGGAAGAACAATGCTTTCTTTCACTATACCTTGATTCTGTACTCTTGGCTACTCTTGATGTGTCTGAATTTTTGCCAGAAAACTTCCCATCCTGTTGCTAAGAATCACCTATTCCCCTTATCAAGGTACAAGTTTTCTTGTTTGTTTACTTTCTTCCTTTTTTTTTTTTTTTTTGAGATGGAGTCTTGCTCTGTCGCCCAGGCTGGAGTGCAGCGGTGTGATCTCGGCTGACCGCAACCTCCGCCTTCCGGTTTCAAGCGATTCCCCTGTCTCAGCCTCCCAAGTAGCTGGGACTACAGGCGTGCACCACCATGCCCAGCTAATTTTTTTGTATTTTAGTAGAGACGGGATTTCACCATGTTGGCTGGGATGGTCTCAATCTCCTGACCTCGTTATCCTCCTGCCTCAGCCTCCCAAAGTGCTGGGATTACAGGCATGAGCCACCATGCCTGGCCTACTTTCTTCTATAATACAGTGTACCCTCATAACCTTGGACACATTCTTCTTATGTCTGATTAAATTTTATTACTCTTTTCATCAGGTGTAACTTTCAGGTTATCTAAACAGCCTTCCTATAAAGAGAAGCAATCACAGTACAGGAAATTTTTCTTAATCTTTTTGGTAACTGGCCTTAAAAAAAAAAAACAAAGAATTTATGTTTTACCAAGACAATTTCCTATGTTGTCTTTATTAGGTTTCAGTTACTCAGGAAAACTGAGCTTTAAATTGGTTAAGGTTTTTACATCCATGTAACTTTCTGTATTGCTTTTTATTATTATTATTATTATTTTAGACAGGGTCTTGCTCTGTTGCCCAGGCTGGAGTGTGGTGGCATGGGCTCAAGTGATCCTCCCACCTCAGCCTCCCGAGTAGCCGGGACTACAGGCGCACACCACCATGCCTGGCTATTTTTTTGTATTTTTGGTAGAGACTAGGTTTCACCATGTTGGCCAGGCTGGTCTCGTATTCCTGGGCTCAAGTGATCTAACTGCCTCAGCCTCCCAAAGTGCTAGAATTATAGGCATGAGCCACTGCGCCCAGCTAGCCTCTGGATTCTTAAGGTATATTGGCTTGTAGTTTTCGTTTCTTGTGTCTTTATCTGGCTTTAGTATCAGAGTAATGCTGGTTTCTTAAAATGAGTTAGGAAGTGTTTCCTCCTCTCCTATTTTTGGAAGAGTTTGAGAATGATTGGTGGTAATTTATTTTTAAATGTTTGGTAGAAAACACCGCATGTTCTCACTCATAAGTGGGAGTTGAACAATGAGAACACATTGACGCAGGGAAGTGAACATCACCCACCAGGGCCTGTCAGGTGGTGGGGGCTAGGGAAGGGATAGCATTAGGAGAAATACCTAATGTAGGTGGCGGGTTGATGGGTGCAGGAAACCAGCATGGCACGTGTATACCTATGTAACAAAACTGCACATTCTGCACTGTACCCCAGGACTTAAAATATAATAAAAAAATATAATAAATACAATAAATAAAAGTCTCCAAGAAAGAAAAAAATGTTTGGTAGAATTTACTGTAAAACTATTAGGCCTGGACTTTACTTGTTTGGAGGAGTTTTGATTATTAATTCAATTTCTTTACTTGTTGTAGGTATGTTCAGATTTTCTATTTCTCATTGAGTGAATTAGGTAAATTTTGCGTGCCTGGGAATTTGTCCATATCCTCTAGGTTACCTAATTGGTTGGCAAACAATTGTTCATAGTTTTCTCTCATAGTCCTTTTTATTTCTGTAAGGTAGATAGTAAGGTCCCCACTTTCATTTCTGATTTAAGTTATTTTCATCTTCTTTTTGTTTTAGTTTAGCTAAGGATTCGTCAATTTTATTAATCTTTTCAAAGAACTAACTTTCAGTTTCATTGATTTTCTCTTTTCTGATCTTGGTAATTTCCTCCCTTCTGCTAGTTTTGGGTTTGATTTGTTCTTCTTTTACTAGTTCCTTAAAGGGTAGAGTTGGGATAATGATTTGAGATCTCTCTCTCTCTTTTTTTTTTTTTTTTTTTTGAGATGGAGTCTCACTCTGTCACCCAGGCTGGAGTGCAGTGGCATGATCTTGGCTCACTACAACCTCTGCCTCCTGGGTTCAAGCGATTCTCCTGCCTCAGCCGCCTGAGTAGCTGAGATTACAGGTGCCCGCCATCACGTCGGGCTATTTTTTTTTTTTTTTTTTTTGTATTTTTAGCAGACGGGGTTTCACCGTGTTGGCCAGGCTGGTCTTGAACTCCTAACCTCGTGATCCACCCGCCTCAGCCTCCCAAAGTGCTGGGATTACAGGCATGAGCCACGGCACCAGGCCTCTCTCTTTTTCTCTTTTGTAGCCATGTAGCTATAAATTATCCTTTGAGAACTGTTTTTGCTGCATCCCCTAAGTTTTGGCATGTTGTATCTTTTATTTGTCTCGAAGTATTTTCTAATTTCCCTTGTGATTTCTTCTTTGTCCCACTAGTTGTTTAAGTGTATGTTGTTTAATTTCTGCATATTTGTGAATATTCCAGTTCTCTTTCTGTTATTTATTTCTAGTTTTATTCTATTGTGGTCAAAGAAGATGCTTTGTATGATTTTGATCTGTTTAAATTTATTGAGCAAAATATATCTTCATTTCTCTTGAGAAAATGTCCTTTTTGACTCATGAATTATTTAGAAGCATATTATTTGACATGTGATTTGCAAACATTTTCTCCCAATCTGTAACTTGTCTTTTCATCCCCTTAAAAGGGTCTTTGCAGAGCAAGTTTCAAATTTTGATCAAGTCTGATTTATCATTTTTTAATTTTAAGAATAATGGCTTTGGGGCCAGGCGCAGTGGCTCATGCCTGTAATCCCAGCACTTTGGGAGGCCAAGGCAGGTAGATCACTTGAGGTCAGGAGTTCGAGACCAGCCTGGCCAACATGCTAAAACTCCATCTCTACTAAAAATACAAAAAAAAACTAGCCAAGCGTGGTGGCACATGCCTGTAGTCCCAGCTTGTTGGAAGGCTGAGGCAGGAGAATTGTTTGAGCCCTGGAGGTGGAGGTTGCAGTAAGCTGAGATCACAGCACTGCACTACAGCCTGGCAACAGAGGGAGACTCCGTCTCAAAAAAAAAAAAAAGAAAGAAAAAGAAAAGAAGAAAGAATAATAATGGCTTTGATGTTATGCCTAAGAATTCTTCGCCTAGCCTTAGGTTCTGAAGATTTTCTTCTACATGTTCTACAAGTTTTTTTTTTTTTCAAATGTTTGTGATTTTTTTTTTCAAATGGCAACTCCAAGATAAAGCCAAAGAAACTGGGAATTATTTTTAATATTGTACAATTTTTAGTATGAATAGCCATTCTTATTAAATAGACTCATTTGGCCAGGCAAGGTGGCTCAAGCTCGTAATCCCAACACTTTGGGGGGCCAAGGCATGAGGATTGCTTGAGTTCAGAAGTTCAAGATCAGCCTCAGCAACACAGGGAGACCTCTGTCTCTACTAAAAATAAAAACATTTTAAAGGGCTCATTTAAACTTTTTTCTTTTCTTTTTTTTTTTTTTTTTTTTTGAGACGGAGTCTCACTCTGCCACCCAGGCTGGTGTGCAATGGCGCGATCTCGGCTCACTGCAAGCTCCGCCTCCTGGGTTCACATCGTTCTCCTGCCTCAGCCTCCCGAGTAGCTGGGACTACAGGCACCCGCCACCACATCCGGCTAATTTTTTTTTGTATTTTTAGTAGAGATGGGGTTTCACCGTGTTAGCCAGGATGGTCTTAATCTCCTGACCTCGTGATCCGCCCACCTCGGCCTCCCAAAGTGCTGGGATTACAGGCGTGAGCCACTGCGACCGGCCCTAAACTTTTTTCAAACATTTACATTTTCTCAACAGGAAATGTCCTTTCATTCTGCACAGTTCTCTCTGCTTTCTTCTAAAAGGTTCCTTGTTTTACATTTTACATTTAAATCTCTGATCCATTCAGGCAATTTTTGCATAGAATATGAGGTTTAGGTGAAGTTCATTTTTTTGTTCAGTTACTCCACCACCATTTGAACACCACCTATCTGGCAAAGGATTAATATCTAGAATATTTAAACTCTCAAAACTCAAGTTTTTTAAAAAGAATTCAACTAAAAATGGGCAAAAGACATGGACAGACATTTCACCAATGAGGCTATACAGATGGCAAACAAGCACATGAAAACATGTCCATCATCACCAGGCACTAAAGAAATGCCAATTAAAACCATGATGAGACCAGGCGCAGTGGCTCATGCCTATAATCCCAGCACTTTGGGAGGCCAAGGTGGGTGGATCACCTGAGGTCAGGAGTTCGAGACCAGTCTGGCCAATATGGCGAAACGCTGTCTCTACTAAAAATACAAAAAATAGACAGGTGTGGTGGTGCACGCCTGTAGTCCCAGCTACTTGGGAGGCTGAGGCTGGAGAATCGCTTGAACCCAGGAGGTGGAGGTTGCAGTGAGCTGAGATGGCGCCACTGCACTCCAGCCTGGGCAACAGAGTAAGACTCTATCTCAAAACAAAACAAAACAAAAAACCATGATGATATATCACTATTCACCTGTTAGAATAGCTAAAAATTCAGGCAGGGACAAAATAAAATGCTGCTGAGGATGCAGAGAAACTGAATGTCTTGTACATTGATGGTGGGACAGTAAAAAAAAAAAAAAAGAAAAGAAAAGAAAAAAACTTCCAAAAGGTTATACATTGTATGATTTTGTTTATAGCAGATCAGTATACCCATCCTGCAGCTGCTATGAGTGTTGACAGCTAAACACTCACACAGCTTCCCCCTCGTCCAGAAGAATTGCCCTGGGCAGAAAGGAGGCTGCCTCTTGTTCCAGACCTTCACATTCCAGACCTCCCCATGGAGCCTCCACTGACTACATACTTGTTTCACTTTTTCTTCCTCTGCCCTATCATACCCACCACTCTCCTAAGAGTCTTCCTTCAATAAATCACAGGCACCTGTGTTACTTGTTGAAGGTGTCCAGGTTCTTGGCATCTTGAACAAAGAAATGGGCAAAATGCACAAAGCAAGGAAAGAATGAGGCAACAAAAGCAGAGATGTATTGAAAACAAAGGTACACTCCACAGGGTGGGAGCCAGCGTGAGCATAGGGGCTCAAGAACTCCGTTACAGAATTTTCTGGGATTTAAATACCCTCTAGAGGCTCCCATTGGTTAATTGGTGTACACCCTATGTAAATGAAGAAGATGAAGTGAAGTTGCTCAGTCACTTACTCAGTGAACGCCATATGTAAATGAAGAAAATATTTCCTGTCATAGCTGAAATGTGTCCATTTTATTTAGTTCTAAGAAGTCAGCGTGAATCAGCTTTATGTTCCCTGCCTGCAGACCCTATTCTCCTGCCTCACCTCAATCTCTTCACCTAAGACAGGAAGAAAACTGATGATGCAGGAGACGAAGAACAATAGCAAGGCGAAGAAATGAATCTCCAAGGCCGGCTTCAAGCGATTCTCCCCTCTCAGGCTCCCGAGTAGCTGGGATTACAGGCATGCACCACCACGCCTGGCTAATTTTTGTATTTTTAGTAGAGACAGGGTTTCCCCATGTTGGCCAGGATGGTCTTGAACTCCTGACCTCAGGTGATCTGGCCACCTCCGCCTCCCAAAGTGCTGGAATTACAGGCATGAGCCACCACACCCAGCTCCCAGTTCTGTTCTTTTAGAGGCAAATAGTCTGTTGAGTAAATGCATAACACTACTTAGACTTTCTAGCTGAAGATGTAGTTAATCTTAAGAAAACCTGACTCACACTGTAACAGGATGTTCTGCAATGACCTTAGAAGAGGAAGTGACTTTTTTCCCACTTTGGTGTCTCTTCCCTCGTACCCTCCCCACCCCGCCAATATTATCCAGCACAGAGAAGCAAACACCAGAAGCTTCTCTCCAACTTTCAGTTTTTCTCTAAACTTCCAGTCCTTCTCATACTGTGTCCTGGTTATAATAGTTGCTGGGACCTTATTCTATTCTGAATCCCCAGCCCCTAAAGAAGGCTTGGTACTGACGTGTACAGCGTAGTTACCCAGTGACTTTGGGGAAGGCAGGAAGAGTGTGGAAAGGACAGGAGGAAGGAAGGGAGGGGCCGTGGCTCCGAGCTGCCTAGAAAGCGGCTCCAGGGAGCCAGGGCACCGTGAGCCTGGTGGTTGGCAGCTGGAGCCACGTCGGAGGGGGAAGTGTCGCAGCATTCTCTGCAGGCATCACAGACCTGAGGCAGTGGCCTCCGGAGGGCACTGGACAGAAACAGCCATCCAAGTGGCTGAGTGGAGGGACCCTGCTCAAGTGCAGCTGCAGTGGCCGGGGTTTCCCTCAGGTAGGGATCGGGGCGCCTTGTCGCCGCCAGCCACGTGTGGCGTCCGGTACAGTCAGCAGAGTGCAGGGTGCGGGCACCAGGAAAGGGGGCGCAGGGGAACTCCCGCGGGCCTCGCGTTTGCAAACTTCTCGCCTGGGCAGGAGGCGGTCGTGGGAAAGAAGGTGGAAGAGCGAGCTTTTTGGAACTGTGCACGGGACAGATTGGACGCACACCCCTCGGGAGGCGCGAAGGTGAGCATGGGGTCTTCCCAGGAGGCGGCGGGGCCGAGGGGCTGCAGCCGAATTCCTGGACGGTGATGGGAAGAACCAGGGGTGAGGGTGGCCCGGTCCGAGTTCCTGGAACTCAGGACCGAGTTGGTTTCATTTCCTCAGCTCTGATGGTGGAGCTGCCTGCTCGGATCTCGCACTACCTTCCGCCAAAGCGAGACGCCCAGTAGCAGTGGGGGTCGTGGAGGGCAGGGGCACGGGAACAAGTTACCTGATGTCTTCTCAGAAAAAGGAAGTCTTCAGGTTTGCAGGCTGAAGGCGTGAGAGAGAGACAGAGTGAGAGAGAGAGAAGAGGGAAATGCCTGATAACCTTTACTTATTTTATTTTATTTTTATTTTTTATTTTTTGGAGGGAAGAGGTGAATTTGCATTGTTATTACCATTTAAAGATTTTTCACTTTTAAAATTAGTAACCTGTTTTCTCATCGTAACATATGAACATAATCCCCTTTTTCTTTTTATTTATTTATTTTGAGAGATGGAGTCTTCCTCTGTTGCCCAGGCTGGAGCGCAGTGGCACAATCATAGCTCACTGCAGCCTCCGAACTCATGGGCTCAAGTGATCCTCCAACCAGATCCTCCCAAGTAGCTAGGACTACAAGGTGCACATCACCACACCCAATTAAATTTTTTTTGTATTTTTTGGTAGAGCCAGGGTCTCGCTTTGTCACCCAGGCTGGTCTCAAACTCCTGGGCTCAGGTGATCCTCCTACCTCACCCTCCCAAAGTGCTGGGATTACAGGTGTGAGCCACTGCAGCTGGCCTGAACATATTCTTAGCTGTTTGTTTTACATATTATAAATAGCACTGCAGTGAACATCTCGGTAGCCATCTATCTACAAACACAAGCTTTTCTACATCATAAGTTCCTAGAAATTCAAATTGCCCAGTCTAAGTGTGTATATATGTATATTCCCTTTCTTCCCTTGTAGATCATATACTTAATAAGACCTTAAACAATTTAAGTTATTGTAGGGTGCTTTTTCCCAATATTTTGCAGTTTTTAATATATTTTAATTTCATACAGGCAAGTCCCCTTTTCTTTATTTTTTAAAATCCTGGTTATCCCTACTAATTTCCCATTTCAAATGAACTTTAGGATCATTTTGATTTAATGCCAAAATATGTCAGTAGATGTTTTATTGGAACTGCATTAAATTGGATTTAAATTTGGGAAGGATTGCTGGGTTGGTCTGTTTTAGTCTTCCCAGCCAGAAATATAACACTTCTCTTTCCTCCTTTCTTCAAGCTTTGTTTTGTGCAATTTTCTTTCTTTCTTTTTTTTTGTTTTTGTTTTTGTTTTTGAGACGGAGTTTTGCTCTGTTGCCCAGGTTGGAGCACAGTGGTGTGATCTCGGCTCAGTGCAACCTCCACCTCCCGGGTTCAAGCAATTCTCCTGCCTCAGCCTCCCGAGTAGCTGGGATTACAGGCGCCTGCTACCATGCTTGGCTAATTTTAGTATTTTTAGTAGAGATGGGGTTTCACCATGTTGGCCGGGCGATCTCAAACTCCCGACCTCAGGTGATCCACCTGCCTCGGCCTTCCAAAGCGCTGAGATTACAGGCATGAGCCAATGTGACCGCTGCAATTTTCTTCATACCATGCCACCACTGTATAATTTATTATTTGAAATTGTTTGTCAGTTCTATGGGTGGGATATTTTCCCCATTTTCCTTTCTGATTAGTTCAGTGCTGAGATATGGCTTTCTGATGAGGCTGCTGGTAAGATAACTGGAGCTTAGAGCTAGGAAGCTACAATTTGCAAGATTCCTTGAACAACATTGCCACATTTGCTTCTGTTTCTGGTGCAACAGAGAAAGTGTAAAACCTTTTGCCCTCACAATTCCCAAGAAATGGCCTTGAAGATATCTGCTTAGCACGTGGGAATAGCTGGGTAGTCTGAGATCCACTAGTCTTTTTAGGAGTGCCCTAATAACTGTTACCTCCCTTGCCCAATCACTGTAACTCTCAGGCAACAAAAACACAACTATATCGATTGCTCATTTATTTAGTTTCACTTCTGCCAGTGCCTTACTCATGTTTTAAAGCCATACTTGGGCTCCAGGCCAATTATTTTCTCCAAGCTGCTAATTAATCCATAAACTGGCGATAATACTTAACCTACCTATTTCACTGAGCTGTTAAAAAAAAAAAAACTAACTTTGTTTTTTGTTGTCGTTTGTTAGTGGTGGTGGTGGTGGTGTTTTTGAGACACTGTCTCATTCTGTTGCCCATGCTGGAATGGAGTCAGTGGCACAATCATGGCTCACTGCAGCCTCGACCTCCCAGCCTCAATCAATTCTCCCTCCTCAGGCTCCAGAGTAGCTGGGACTACAGGCAAGCACCACCACATCCAGCAAATTTTTGTATTTTTTTGTAGAGACAGGGTTTCACCATGTTGCCCAGGCTGGTCTCGAACTCAGGCTCATACGATCCCCTGGCCTCAGCCTCACAAAGTGCTGGGATTACAGGTTTGAGTCATGACACCCTACCCTAACTTTATTTTAAATACTTTGAAAACTGGTTCCATGGCCTTGTGATTATTTGAATGCAACCTCCCTGAACCGCAGCATCTTCACTTTTCACCTGTTTGTTTTTTCGAGACAGGGTCTCTCTGTTTCCCTGGCTGGAGTGCAGTGGTGTCATCATAGCTCACTGCAGCCTCAACCTCCCAGGCTCAAGCGATTCTCCCGCCTCAGCCTCCTGAGTAGCTGGGACTACAGGTCCCAGCTAATTTTTGTATTTTTAGTAGAGATGGGTCTCGCTGTGTTGCCCAGAATGGAACTCCTGGCCTCAAGCAATCTTCCCACCTCTACCTCCCAAAATGTTGGGATTACGGGTATGAACTACTGTGCCCAGATGGTATCTTCATCTGTTAAATGAAAATAACCATGGAGAGCTGGGGGTTCCAAAGCACTTAGGATGTAGTAGGTGAATTGAGAGATCTAGTGTCATAATTATTATCATCATTCATTGCTGAACGCAGTCGGCTTCAGTTGCAAATAAAGCAAACATGATTCAAACTGCCTTAAACAATCAGGGAGGTTATTGGTTCATGAAACCTGCAGTTAGGGGATGGGGTACACTTCATGTCAGTTCAAACCAGTGGCTCAATGTTGTCATCAAAGACTCAGATTCTTTCTCCCTTTCCATTCTACCATGCTCAGGTTAGCCTCATTCCAAGCTTTAGGATCAGGGCTCTGTGCTTCCTCACTCATGTTCAGAGAAGAGAGAGAGGTTAAGAGTAGGAAGCTGGCACTGCAGCCTCAACCTCCTGGACTCAAGGAATCCTCCTATCTCAACTTCCCAGGTAGCTGAGACTACGGGTGTGTGCCACCACACCAGGCTAACTTATATATATAATATATATGTAATATTATATATATGTATTACTATATATATGTAATATTATATATATGTATTACTATATATGTAATATTACATATATATTACTATATATATGTAATATTATATATATTACTATATATATGTAATGTATTACATTTTTTTGAGATGGTGCAACCTCCACCCCCTGGGTTCAAGCAATTCTCCTGGCTTAGCCCTCCGAGTAGCTGGGATTACAGGCATGCACCACCACACCTAGCTAATTTTTGTATTTTTAGTAGAGACGGGGTTTCACCATGTTGGCCAGGCTGGTTTCCAACTCCTGACCTCAAGTGATCCGCCCACCTCAGCCTTCCAAAGTGCTGGGATTACTGGCGTGAGTCACCGCGCCCAGCCAATTTTATATTTTATTTATTTCATTTTATTTTATTTTATTTTTTTTATTTTTGTAGAGAAAGGGTCTCACTTTGCTGTCCAGACTGGTCTGGAACTCCTGGCCTCAAGCAATCCTCCTGTCTCTTCCTCTCAAAGTGCTGGGATTATCGGTGGGAGCCACCTCGCCCAGCTGCATTTTTCTTAAAGGACTGTAGGAAGAAACTGAACAATTTTTTGTAGGAAAAATGAAAGATAGTCCACATGTTTTAAAAAAAAACAGAAAGAAACATATTTATCTGTGGCAGTAAAGACTACCTCAGCTCACTTCACTCATTTGAATTACCCGCCTGGCCCCTGAAACCTCTATGCTTTAGCAGGATATATCTGTAATAGACGAAACTGATATAAACATATCAACCTGAAAATATTAACGGTTTACATGCAATACAAGTTTATTCCTTGATCACTTAACAGTCCATGACAGACGTTCCAGGTCTGTGGGCAGCTCTCCTCCAAGTGATTATCCAGGGACTCAGGACTCTTCTTGGGGCTCCACCACCCCAGGGCCGCTTCACCCCACGCATCCAGCCAACCAAGGGAGAGTGTGAGGAGGCGGCACAGCTGCCCCAGTCCGAAGTAGAGCAGGTCACATGCACTTAAACCCCATTGGTGAGAACTAGTCACATGGCCACATCAAGTTGCAAGGAAGGCTGGGAGATGTAGTTCCGGCTGGACCAGCTCTTCCCAGCTACAACTCTATTATTGTGCAAGGGCAGAACAGATTTTGGTGGGTAGCAAACCATCTCTATCTTGCATGAAAATGCTGGGGAGACCTCCTCAGGCATTTAAGTCACAGACCGCTTTGATTCTTTCTTAGCCAAGTAGTGAATATGCAGGAGATTTGGGGATTTCACCAAATTCCATTCATTTCTTCCAGGCATGGAAAATTTGAAGCATATTATCACCCTTGGCCAGGTCATCCACAAACGGTGTGAAGAGATGAAATACTGCAAGAAACAGTGCCGGCGCCTGGGCCACCGCGTCCTCGGCCTGATCAAGCCTCTGGAGATGCTCCAGGACCAAGGAAAGAGGAGCGTGCCCTCTGAGAAGTTAACCACAGCCATGAACCGCTTCAAGGCTGCCCTGGAGGAGGCTAATGGGGAGATAGAAAAGTTCAGCAATAGATCCAATATCTGCAGGTTTCTAACAGCAAGCCAGGACAAAATACTCTTCAAGGACGTGAACAGGAAGCTGAGTGATGTCTGGAAGGAGCTCTCGCTGTTACTTCAGGTTGAGCAACGCATGCCTGTTTCACCCATAAGCCAAGGAGCGTCCTGGGCACAGGAAGATCAGCAGGATGCAGACGAAGACAGGCGAGCTTTCCAGATGCTAAGAAGAGGCAAGCTGGGTCTTTGGTGGGGAGTGGGAGTGCAGTTGAATGCATTTTAGTCTCACTTTAATTTACCAAAGGAGCAGCAATGATGAAGTTTGAGCAGTTGTAATATACTTGTACCTCAAAACTCCTAGCTGGGCGCGATGGCTCTCGCCTGTAATCCCAGCACTTTGGGAGGCCGAGGCGGGCTGATCACTAGGTCAGGAGACTGAGACCATCCTGGCTAACACGGTGAAACCCCGTCTCTACTAAAAATACAAAAAATTAGCCGGGCATGGTGGCGGGCGCCTGTAGTCCCAGCTACTCGGGAGGCTGAGGCAGGAGAACAGCGTGAACCCGGGAGGCAGAGCTTGCAGTGAGCTGAGATCGCGCCACTGCACTCCAGCCTGGGCGACAGAGCGAGACTCTGCCTCAGAAAACAAACAAACAAACAAACAAACAAACAAAACTCCTAACATCCTTTGGCCCAGATATATGGTGGGGGCTGGTGAAATTTGGGCAAGCCAGCGTTGAAGAGGAGTTTTGTTTTGTTTTGTTTCATTTTTTGAGACAGGGTCTCTGTTGCACGGGCTAGAGGACGGCGGCACAATCATAGCTCACTGCAGCCTCAGGTTCAAGTGATCCTCCCACCTCAGGCTCCCGAGTGGCTGGTACTATAGGTGTGCACGCCACAATGCCCAGCTAATTTTTATTTTATTTTTTGTAGTTAGAGAGTCTCACTATGTTGCCCAGGCTGGTGTAGAACTCCTGGCCTCAAGTGATCCTCTTGCCTCAGCCTCCCAAAGTGCTGGGATTACAGGCACCTAGGAGGTCGAGGCTGCAGTGAGCCACGATTTCTCCATTGCACTGCAGCCTGGGCGACAGAGCGAGATCCTGTCTCCAAAAACAAAGGATGGAGGGGGCCGGCGTGAGAAGTAAATCTCCCTCCTTGACCTCAGGGGCCCCTGTTTCCCTTTCTGAGGACATGAGACCTTCAGTACTAAAACTGGGGAAGTCTGATGGAAACCATATAGACAAAATGATAATCTCATCCATTGTTGGTAGGATATTTGTGCAACCTTTATCAAAATCTGAGATACAATCACACAATCTACCAGTTTCTTGAATACCCTTCTGGAGATTTAAGTATATATATTTTATTGTTGTTGTCACACAGTCAGCATCATGCCAAGCACATTGTTCTATTTCTTCTTTTCTCATTAAATAATCTTAAATATCCTCCCATGTAAATATCCATTGAATTATATAGCTTGTTTTCCTACTTGGCATCTACCCTACTGTTTTGTTTTGTTTTATGATCATACTAGCAGCACACAAATTCAAAAACAACCCAATACATACACCCATCATTTTTTCCCATTTTTTGTGATAAAATATACATAACATAAAATTTACCATTTCGGCCAGGCGGGGTGGCTCACGCCTGTAATCCCAGCACTTTGGGAGGCCGAGGCGGGCGGATCATGAGGTCAGGAGATTGAGACCATCCTGGCTAACACGGTGAAACCCCGTCTCTACTGAAAATACAAAAAATTAGACGGGCGAGGTGGTGGGCGCCTGTAGTCCCAGCTACTCGGGAGGCTGAGGCGGGGGAATGGCGTGAACCCCGCGGGGCGGAGCCTGCAGTGAGCTGAGATCGCTCCACTGCACTCCAGCCTGGGCGACAGAGAGATTCCGTCTCAAAAAAAAAAAAAAAAAAATTTACCATTTCAACCATTTTTAGATGCCAGTTCAGTGGCATCAAGTATATTCACATGGTTCTGAAACCATCGCGACCATCCATCACCAGAACTTTTTTTTTCTTTTCTTTCTTTCTTTCTTTCTTTTTTCTTTTCTTTTTTTTTTTTTTTGAGACAGAGTCTTGCTGGAGTGCAGTGACACGATCTTGGCTCACTGCAACCTCTGCTTCCTGGGTTCAAGTGATTCTTGTGCCTCAGTCACCCCAGTAGTTGGGATTACAGGCATGTGCCACCACACCCGGCTAATTTTTGTATTTTTAGTAGAGACGGGGTTTCACTATCTCTACTGACCAGTTTGGCCAGGCTGGTCTCAAACTCCTGACCTCAAGTGATCTGCCTGACTCGGCCTCCCAAAGTGCTAGGATTACAGGCATGAGCCACCACGCCTGGCCTATTTCAAGATATCTTTATGAGAAATTCCCAGAAGTGGAATTGCTAGGTAAAATCACTAGGTCAAAGACTGTAGGCATTTCAAATTTTGATAGAAGTTGCACAGATATTACTTCTACCAACTATGCATGAGTTATCTGCTTCTCTATACTTTTCCCATAAGAGACTTTCCCACTTTTAGTAGTCAGGGTTTCATGTCCCCAGAGCTCCTCAGTCCTGGGCAGACAGGGATGGCTGACCACTGTAAATAGTGTGTTATAAATTTTCAAACATGTTTCTGAGTATATAAATCAGGATTGATTTGATTATGCTGTGGTTTAAAAAACAACAACTCAGTGTTCTAAAGAAACAAGTTTATTTCTCATTCAGGCAAAGTCCAGGGGACTCTCCAAGGTGAATGTCCTCCTTCCAGGATACTTTCAATAGTATAGCACTTCTGCGTTGACGCAAACTTTCCTCACTTCCAAAGCAGCCAGGTTGGAACCTTATGCAGAGTCAGTTAAATGCTCCCTCTGGGAAGTGACAGACATCTCTTTTCTTCATTTCTTAGCCAAAGCAAGTTACCCAGCCATGCTTTAATGCATTTCCTATGTGCTCAGAAGTAGAAATCTGAATATTGGTGATCAGTAGTAATCCCTACCATAATGAATATGATAGGTAAAAAATGATATCTCAACAGTTTTAATTAGCATTTTAGTTTTGATTGGCGTGTGATTTTAATATCTATTTTGAGCATATACTGCCCTTTTTTCCTGCAGATAATGAAAAAATAGAAGCTTCACTGAGACGATTAGAAATCAACATGAAAGAAATCAAGGAAACTTTGAGGCAGTGTAAGTTATCATGTGCCCTGCTGTTTCTGATGGCCCCCAAACTAGAAGTCATCAGTTTACTGGGACCCCAGCCTCCCGCTACCCCTGCATTTGTCCATTTTCTGTGCTGGATGGCTGGAAGCAGCCCACAGGTTTGGGGATCCATTCATGGCTAGCCCAGGCTTCTGTCCATGGAATAACATGTGGAGAGAGCTTCTTGACCAGTAAGATACCTTCTAGCAGCTGTCAAAGTACTTAAAAACCTCTATGAATAGAATCAAAGCTTCAGTTCAGTTGCTGAATTTCCAAGAAGAAATTCAAATCAAATTTAAAATGCCCACTCATTCATTCATTCAACAAAACTGTGAGTATCTGGTTTATGCCAGAGGCCATGCAAAGAGGTAACTAAGATGCAGAGAAGGACACTGCCTTCCAGGAGCTCACGGGGTGGAGGAGGAAAGAGGAAAGACAGACAGTGAACACACAACAGCAAGGTTACTGAGCTTGAACTATGTCCCTAACTACTAGATCTGAAATGACTACGCCAGATGCCAGATGCTCAAGTGCCAAGCTCTGGGTAACAGGAATAGACATCCTTCCAGGATGAGAGAGATGAGTCTGGATGAGGGTTAAGGCTGGAGGGACAGGCGGGATTTGAAGAGGAGGGAAAGGAAGTGGATGACACATTCTGTTAACTGTCCAGCTGTGTCTCTACTGGTCACTCAGAGGCACGGGAGCCGCTCCCTTGGGCTGAGTCCATCAGAAGCCCCAGCCACCACCAGCTCTGGTTCATGTAGTAGAGCTTCCCACTCACACATCACAAATATGCCACCTCCCTTAGGACCCCTTCCTCTGCTCATTGACTCTTTTGTCTTCTTTCCTCTCGGGGGTGAGGTCAGATTTACCACCAAAATGCATGCAGGAGATCCCGCAAGAGCAAATCAAGGAGATCAAGAAGGAGCAGCTTTCAGGATCCCCGTGGATTCTGCTAAGGGAAAATGAAGTCAGCACACTTTATAAAGGAGAATACCACAGAGCTCCAGTGGCCATAAAAGTATTCAAAAAACTCCAGGCTGGCAGCATTGCGTAAGTTGTTTTGTGTGGTTCTCTCGTGTGTACCAATACTTACTCTAACTCTCCAAGGAGAGAGGGATATCGTCTCCATTTTTAGATGAGGAAGCCTGGGCCCTAAAGGGTTAAATTATGTGCTCTCCACTGTTAAGGAGCAGAGTCTTGACTTAAATACATCTTTCCACCTCAGTTCTAGGTCTTCTCTCCTTTGTCCACATATATATTTAAAAAAAAAAAACAACTTTCCCTTCCAACCTTGTTTCCCAGTTGCTCATCCCCTCCACAGACAGTAGTTCTAGTGTGTTTTGTTTGTATGTGTTCTTGTAAAATGTATGCATACATTTTTCATGTTCACAACTGGTAGAGTTACGTGTCTGTTGCCTCCTTTCCTCACTTTTTTCACTCAACATCATGAAACGTGTTCCATATCTGGACTCCTTAATTTCTGTCTGCCATCCATGGTGAAGATCCACATTTTGCCTTTTTTTTTTTTTTTTTTTTTTTTTTTTTGAGACAAGGTCTCACTCTGTTGTCCAGGCTGGAGTGCAGTGGTGAGATCATAGCTCATTGCAGCCTTAACCTCCTGGGCTCCAGCAATCCTCACACCTCAGCCTCCCAAGTAGCTGGGACTGCAGGTGTGCACCACCATTCTTGTCTAATATTTAAATTTTTTGTAGAGACAGGGACCCACTGTGCTGCCCAGGCTTGTCTGGAACTCCTGGACTCAAGCGCCTTCTGCCTCAGCCTTCCAAAATGTTGGGATAACAGGCGTGAGCCATATATTTTGTCTCTTTTTTTTTCCAGTGATGGAACCTAGTCAGCTTCCAACTTTTCCCCACCAAAAAGATGCCATACTTAGTTTCCCTTTAGGGACCTGTATAAGAATCCTTCAGGATATAGCACCAGGAGAGAAAATGATGGGCCATGGGATATGTGTATATTAAGTGACTAAGTACTACCAGGCAACTCTTCAGAACAGTGTCTATGCCTACACTCCCACAAGCAACCTCACCAACCCTTAGTGTTATCCAGCTTTCTGATTACTTTCATCTTTATAGTTATAAAGTGATCAATATCTTGTAGTTATTTGAACTTGCATTTCTGTTTTTACTAATGAATTCAAGCCCTTATTTACATGTTTTAGTTATTTGGGTTTTCTCTTCCATAAATTGCCTGTTCATATCCTCTGCCCTTTTTTCCATCACGGTTGCTGCTTTTGTCTTGTCTGTTTGTAAATCTTTGTATATTGTGGAAATAAAGCACTTGTCAGCTTTAGACATTGCAAGCTTTTTATTTGTGCTCTGGAGGTGTCCTGCTCCACCTCTAGATCTTAAAGGCATTCTATATTTTCCTCTCTTAACTTTCCAGTTTTATTTTTTATATTTAGGTTTTAATCCTACTAGAATCCACCTTTGTATGTGACGTTATGTAGGGTCAACTTTTATTTTTAGCCACATAGTAAGTCAGTTTTCTCTATACCATCTATTAAGTCGTCTGTCTTTTCCCTGTTGATTTGTGGTACCATATTTATTGTATATTAAGTTTTTATATAGACATAGATCTGACTCTGATCTGTCTAATCTTTCCCACTGATCAATTTGTCTGTTTTTGTACCAGTAACACACTGTTACTGTTTTTTTCATATGACTTTGCAGTAAATTTCGATATCTGGTAAAGAACTTCCTCCTCTTGATTCTTCTTTTTCAGGTTGACTTAGCTGAATAAATATCAAAGAAAGTTTTATCACACTCCTCAAAATACACATCAAGATTTTCATTGAGACTGTATTTTTAACAGTTTTATTGAGATATATTTTACATACCGTAAGATTTACCTATTTAAAATGTACAATTTAATGGCTTTAAATATATTTACAGGCCAGGTGCAGTGGCTCACGCCTGTAATCCCAGCACTTTGGGAGGCCAAGGAGGGCAGATCACCTGAGGTCAGGAGTTCAAGACCAGCCTGGCCAACATGGTGAAACCCCGTCTCTACTAAAAAATACAAAAATTAGCTGGGCATGGTGGCATGAGCCTATAATCCCAGCTACTTGGGAGGCTGAGGCAGGAGAATCACTTGAACCTTGGAGGCCAAGGTTGCAGTGAGCTGAGATCGTGCCACTGCACTCCAGCCTGGGTAACAGAGCAAGACTCCAACAAAAAAAAAAAAGAAAAAAAAAAGAAAAAAGGAAGGAAGGAAGGAGAAACCCTATACCCACTAGCAGTCATTCCTCTTTCACCCCTATCACCACCATCCTGAGCCCAGGCAACAGTCCTACCTTCTGTCTCTATAGATTTGCCTTTTCTGAATCTTCAATGTAAATGGAATAATACAATATGTGGCCTGTTGAGTCTGGCTTCTTTCACTTAGCATGATATTTTCAAGGTTCATCTATATTATAGCAAGTATCATTTCTTCATTCCTTTTTATGGCTGAATGATAGTCTGTTGTATGGATATCCTACTTATCCATTAATCAATTGAAGGACCTTGTGTTTTTTCCACTTTTTGATTATTATGAATAATGTTTCTGTGTACATTCATGTACAGGTTTTGGGGGTTTTTTGTTTTGTTCTGTTTGAGATGGAGTCTTGCTCTGTCACCCAGGCTGGAGTGTAGTGGTGTGATATCAGTCACTGCAACCTCCATCTCCTAGGTTCAAGCAATTCTCATGCCTCAGCCTCCCGAGTAGCTGGAACTACAGGCATGCACCACCAGGCCCAGTTAATTTTTGTATTTTTAGTGGTGACAGGGTTTCACCATGTTGGCCAGGCTGGTCTGAAACTCCTAACCTCAAGCAATCCACCCACCTTGGCCTCCCAAACTGCTGGGATTACAGGCTTGAGCCACTGCACCTGGCCCTCCTGTGTTTTCTTCTAAGAGTTTATAGTTTTTGGCTCTTATATTTAGGTTTCCGAAGTTAGAGTTAATTTTGGTGTATTGTATAAGGTAGTCATTCAACTTCATTTTTCTGCATGTTGATATTCACATGTCCCAGAGCCATTTGTTTAAAAGACTGTGCTGGCCTGGCACTGCAGCTCACATCTGTAATCCTAGCACTTTGGGAGGCCGAGGCAGGTGGATCACTTGAGGTCAGGAGTTTGAGACCAGCCTAGCCAACATGGCGAAACCCCATCTCCACTAAAAATACAAAAATTAGCCGGGCGTTGGCTGGGCGCAGTGGCTCACGACTGTAATCCTAGCACTTTGGGAGGCCAGGGCGGGCAGATCACCAGGTCAGGAGATCAAGACCATCCTGGCTAATATGGTGAAACCCGTCTCTACTAAAAATACAAAAAATTAGCCAGGTGTGGTGGCGGGCACCTGTAGTCCCAGCTACTCAGGAGGCTGAGGCAGGAGAATGGTGTGAACCTGAGAGGCAGAGCTTGCAGTGACCTGAGATCACGCCACTGCACTCCAGCCTGCTTGACAGAGCAAGACTCCATCGCAAAAAAAAATAGCCAGGCGTGGTGGCAGGCACCTGTAGTCCCAGCTACTTGGGAGGCTGAGGCAGTAGAATCTCTTGAACCCAGAAGGCAGGTATTGCAGTGAGCAGAAATTGCATCGCTGCACTCCAGCCTGGGTGACAGAGCAAGTTCCAAAAAAAAAAACTGTGAAAAATCAACTGGCTTTATATGTATGAGTTTATTTCCGGACCCCCAATTCTATTCCATTGATCTGTTTGTCTAGTCTTATGATAGCACTATACTGTCTTCATTACTGTAACCTTGTGATAAGTTTTGAAATTGAGAAGTATAAGTCTTCCAGCTTTGTTCTTCTTTTGCAAGACTGTCTTGGCTATCCTGAATTCCTTTCATTTCCACACAAATTTTAGGAATATCTTGTCAATTTCAGTTTTTGTTTTTGCTTTTTTTTTTTAAGCCAACTACAAATCGGGTAAGGATTGCATTGAACCTGTAGGTCAATTTGGAAAATGTTACCATCTTAATGGTATAAAGTCTTCCTATTCAAGAACATGGGACGTGTTTCCATTTATTTAGATCTTTTAAAATTTCTTGCTGGGTGCAGTGAGTTATGCCTATAATCCCAGCACTTTGGGAGGCTGAGGCAGGAGGATCACCTGAGGTCAGGAGTTCGAGACTAGTCTGGCCAACATGGTGAAACCCCGCCTCTACTATAAATACAAAAATTAGCCGGGCATGGTAGCAAGCGCCTGTAATCCCAGCTATTCGGGAGGCTGAGGCAGGAGAATTGCTTGAACCCAGGAGGCAGAGGTTGCAGTGAGCCGAGATCATGCCATTGCACTCAGCCTGGGCGACAAAAGTGAGGCTCCATCTCAAAAAACAAACAAACAAAACAAAACAAAATTCTTTCAACAATTTAGGTACAAAATTTTCAGGGTGAGACTTGCACTTCTTTTGTAAATTTATTCCTAAGTATTTTATTCTCTTTATGCTATTGGAAATGAAAATTTTTAATTTAATCTTTTGATTGTTAATTGCTAGCAGATAGAAATACAATTGATTTTTATAGGCTCTGAACCTGCCCTGATTCTCTGACAGACCTTGGACAAGCCTCCTTTGCCCTTTGAGTCTAAGACTCAGAGTGAATGAACAGATTGGATTGAGTTGGTGGTTCCAGTGATCCTCTTTAATAATTTACCTGCCTACATTTTTTAAGGCCCACGTTTTGGAAGGAATTTTGGTTATAAGATTTCACTTAATAAATATCTTTTTTTGTGTGTGTGTGGAGACGTAGTCTCGTTCTGTCACCCAGGCTGGAGTGCAATGGTGTGATCTCGGCTCACTGCAAGCTCCACCTCCTGGGTTCACGCCGTTCTCCTGCCTCAGCCTCCCAAGTAGCTGGGGCTACAGGCGCCCGCCACCACACCCAGCTAATTTTTTTGTATTTTTAGTAGAGACGGGGTTTCACCATGTTCGGCAGGATTGTCTCGAACTCCTGACCTTGTGATCCACCTGCCTCGGCCTCCCAAAGTGCTGGGATTACAGGCATGAGCCACCACGCCCGGCCTAGTATCATTATTTTTATTCATCAAAGACACACACCACGGGCTGGGCACGGTGACTCACACCTGAAATCCCAGCACTTTGGGAGGCGTAGGCAGGCAAATCACTTGAGGCCAGGAGTTTGACACCAGCCTGGCCAACATGGTGAAATCATGTCTCTGCAAAAAAAATACAAAAATTAGCCAAGCATGGTGGCACGCACCTGTAGTTCCAGCTACTCAGGTGGCTGAGGCATGAGAATTGCTTCAACCTGGGAGGTGGAGGCTGCAGTGAGCCAAGATCGCACCACTGCACTCCAGCCTGGGTGACAAAGCAAGACCCTGTCTCCAAAAAAAAAAAAAAGACACACACCACAATCTGTCAGAGTATATGCTAAACAACAGGTTACAGCCTAAAAACAGTAACAAATACTTGACTTTTTAGTTTGCCTAGTAAAGCCCTGTAGGTCATAAAAATACAATTCTATCAGACTATTTGAACTACTGAAAAGATATTAGCAAGTCCCATTAATATCTGACAGACCCCGAGGGACTAATTGTGCTGCCACAGGCACCTGAGGGGTTCCACATGTTGTTATCAGTAGCTGAGTTCATCCTGGCACCAGTTCTCACCCCAGATGCTGATACCCCCGCCCCCACATACACAGAGGGTCACCACACTGAATGTTCTCTAAGGAACCTTCCAGTTCTGAAATCCTGATTTCTCTCTTTAATCCTTATAGAATAGTGAGGCAGACTTTCAATAAGGAGATCAAAACCATGAAGAAATTCGAATCTCCCAACATCCTGCGTATATTTGGGATTTGCATTGATGAAACAGGTAAGGAATGCTTCTAGGATTGGTCAAGCTTTGGATGGCCTAGAACACACCTCCTGTGTTTTAATGTGTTGCATTTTTTTAAAGAACATCACAAAGGGTGGAATCCACAAAGTGTGATTATTATCAATGTTAATTTTTTTTTTTTCATCCCAAGATGCATGTTCTCATCTTCTTTCAGGAGGGCAGGGCTGAAGGCTGAGGGGTGGTTTGCACTAACATGGCCACATCTTCTCCTTTCAGCCCACTGGGAAATAAGGGGGTGCATGTTTAGATGCCAGCCTGGAAGAGGGGTGCATCTTGTTGCTCTAAAACATTATAAAGCTGCCAGGTGCAGTGGCTCACACCTGTAATCCCAGCACTTTGGTAAGCCGAGACAGGCAGGTCACTTGAGGTCAGGAGTTCAAGACCAGCCCAGCCAACATGGTGAAACCCCATCTCTACTAAAATACAAAAATTAGCTGGGTCTGGTGGCAGGCATCTGTAGTCCCAGCTACTCGGGAGGCTGAGGTGGGAGAATTGCTTGAACCTGGGAAGCGGAGGTTGCAGTGAGCTGAGGGTGCACCATTGCATTCCAGCCTGGGCAACAGAGCAAGACTCCGTCTCAAAAATAAAAATAAATTATAAAGCTGTCTGACCCAAAGAAGGAAAACACCCTTGGTCATCATTAGTATAGAACAAATCTAAAAGCAAAATTAACTTACCTGGCCAGGCGCTGTGGCTCAGCAGCACTTAGGGAGGCTGAGGTGGGTGGATCACAAGGTCAGGAGCTTGAGACCGTCCTGGCCAACATGATGAAACCCCGTCTCTACTAAAAATACAAAAAATTAGCCGGATGTGGTGGCACATGCCTCTAGTCCCAGCTACTCGGGAGGCTGAGGCAGGAGAATTGCTTGAACCTGGGAGGCGGAGTTTGCAGTGAGCCGAGATCATGCCACTGCACTCCAGCCTGGGTGACAGAGTGAGACTCTGTCTCAAACAAACAAAAAAAAAAACCATTACTTTACCCCTCTACCAAGAGCCTTATGTGACAGGCTCTTTTTTTTTTTTTTTTTTTCTTTTTTTCCCAATGTGACTGCATTTTCTCTCATGGAATGACCCCTCCTGCTGGTCATGTTTTGCTGCCGTCTTGCCTAGAGATTGGACAGAGCAACTCCTGTCTTATCCCCTTTGGAAGTTGCTCCACAGCCTCAGGCCAACTTGATTTCAGAGTGTGGAATCCCAATCTAAAGGGAAACGTAGGCCAGGCACGGTGGCTCACATCTGTAATCCCAGCACTTTGGGAGGCCAAGGTAGGTGGATCACCTGAGGTCAGGAGTTTGAGACCAGCCTGGCCAACATGATAAAACCCTGTCTCTACTAAAAATATAAAAATTAACTGGGCGTGGTGGTGGGTGCCTGTAGTCCCAGCTACTCGGGAGGCTGAGGCAGGAGAATTGCGTGAACCTGGGAGGCGGAGGTTGCAGTGAGCCAATATCATGCCACTGCACTCCAGCCTGGGTGACAGAGCTAGACTCTGTCTCAAAAAAATTAAAAAATAAAAAATAAAGACAAATGTTCAGCAACGTTTGTTCTCCTTGGGGACCGCTGAGGTGCCTGGCTCAGTCACATGTCAGTTTTGCAGCTCAGGCCCATGAATGGGGAAGTCGACTTCTTGTCTGAGTCCTCACCCGCCCCTGCCATGTGTGCCCTACTCATTCCTCCCACACAGATGTACGAAGCTTCTTGTGAGCACCCATGTGAACAAGACAGACACATTTCCTGCCTTCTTGGGAATCCAGTTGAGTGAGGAAGACATTCGCCAAATAACTGCTCAAGAAAATTTTGAATTATACCAAGAAAGGGAGATAGAAGTTAAAAAAGAAAAAGAAAAAGAATTTTTTTTTTTTTTTTTTGAGACAGAGTCTCATTCTGTCACTCAGGCTGGAGTGCGGTGGTACAATATGCTTACTGCAGCTTCCACCTCCGAGGTTCAAGCAATTCTCCTGCCTCAGCCTCCCTAATAGCTGGGACTACAGGCATGTCCCACCACACCTGGCTAATTTTTGCATTTTTCATAGAGACGAGGTTTCATCATGTTGGCCAGGCTGGTCTCGAACTCCTGGCCTCAAGTGATCCACCAGCCTCAGCCTCCCAAAGAGCCAGGATTACAGGCGTGAGTCACCACACCTGGCAGAACATTTTTTTTTTTTTTTTGAGATGTAGTGTCACTCTGTTGCCCAGGCTGGAGTGCAGTGGTGCAATCTCTGCCACGCAGCTTCAAGTGATTCTCCTGCCTCAGCCTCCCAAGTAGATGGGATTACACGCACCTGCCACCACACCCAGCTAATTTTTGTATTTTTAGTAGAGACATGGTTTCACCACGTAGGCCAGGCTGATCTCAAACTCCTGACCTTGTGTTCCACCCACATTGGTCTCCCAAAGTGCTGGGATTACAGGCATGAGCCAACGCACCCAGCCAATTTTTTTTTTAAGGTAGAATTACGACAAGCCAAGTATTATGGAGAAGAGGATGGGAATTCTGGGCATATTTGGTCCATTCAAGGAGGCCGGGGACCAAAACTGTGGGCTGAGGATTGGGGGAGAAATGGGACTCAGCAGAGCCAAGTCTGTATCTGTACCGAGGCTGGGAGAGGTGGGCTGCAGACATGGGAAGCTTCAAGTAGGGCGGGTCCTCATAGTGTCTGGCTCCTTTCCACCAGTGACTCCGCCTCAATTCTCCATTGTCATGGAGTACTGTGAACTCGGGACCCTGAGGGAGCTGTTGGATAGGGAAAAAGACCTCACACTTGGCAAGCGCATGGTCCTAGTCCTGGGGGCAGCCCGAGGCCTATACCGGTAAGACGGGGTGAAAAGGCGCCACTAAGGGTTGGATGGGTCTGTCCACACTCCTGATACTCCCAGAGATGGTGAGAGAACAGGCCAGACGCCCCAGACAGTCTCCCTCCCATACACTGTTTTACTATTTACTCTGATTACAGATAGGAGGGAGGAAAGAGGCTTAACCCAGGGAACACCAGCTCCCAGAACTGACGGTTGAAATTGATGTCCACACTGCACTTATAGAGTTGGATGAGCCCTAATTTTGGAGTGGACAGATTTAGCATAAAAATGAACATATCCAGTTAAATTTGAACGTTAGGAAAGTAATGAATCATTTTTTAGTATAAGTGCATCCTAAACATTGCATGGTATATACTTATACTAAATATCAAAAATATCAAATTTTATTTTATGTTTTGAGACAGAGTCTCACTCTCTTGCCCAGACTGGAGTGCACTGATATGATCACAGATCACTTAACCTCCCGAGCTGAAGGGATTCTCCTACCTTAGCCTCCTGAGAAGCTGGGACTACAGGCGCACACCACTACACTCAGCCAGTTTTTTTTTTATATATATTTTTTGTAGAGATAAGGTTTTGCCATGCTGCCTAGGCTGGTCTCGAACTACTGGGCTCAAGCAATCCTCCTGCCTCAGCTTTCCAAAGTGCTGGGATTACAGGCATGAGTCACTGCACCCAGTCTCAAATTTTGGATAAACATTTATTTTTAGTACAACTATGTCCTATACAATTTGTGGGCATGCTTGTACATATATATATGCGTGTACGTGAATCTATATATTCATTGCTTATCAGAAACTCAAATTTAATGGAGTGTCTTGTGTTTTTTTCTTTTCTTTTTTTTTCTTCTTGAGATGGAGTCTCCCTCTGTTGCCCAGGCTGGAGTGCAGTGGCACGATCTCGGCTCACTGCAACCTCTGCCTCCCAGGTTCATGCCATTCTCCTGCCTTAGCCTCCCGAGTAGCTGGGACTACAGGTGCCTGCCACTACGCCTGGCTAATTTTTTTGTATTTTTATTAGAGACGGGGTTTCACCATGTTAGCCAGGATGGTATCGATCTCCTGACCTCATGATCCACCTGTCTCGGCCTCCCAAAGTGCTGGGATTACAAGTGTGAGCCACCGCGCCCGGCCGTGTCTTGTGTTTTATTTGGCAACTCTACCTATTCTCACCTGCAGAATCTATGGATTCTTAGTCCCAAGGGTCCCCAAAGGTTAGTCACTCACAAACCATCTGCAGGGTTTTAACTATACTACTACCAGTGTTATTTACTTAACATTTTTCATTACATTGACTCACTTTTTAAAAATCGGAATAAAGGCCTGGCCCAGTGGCTCACGCCCATAATCCCAGCACTTTGAGAGGCCAAGGCAGGTGGATCACTTGAGGTCAGGAGTTGGAGACTAGCCTGGCCAACGTGGCGAAACCCTGTTTTTACTAAAAATACAGAAATTAGCCCAGCATGGTGCCACAGGCCTGTAATCTCAGCTACTCAGGAGGCTTGAGGGACAAGAATCACTTGAACCCAGGAGGCGGAGGTTTCAATGAACTGATATCGTACCACTGCACTCCAGGCTGGGCGACAAAGCAAGACTCCATCTCAAAAAATAATAATAATAATTGAAATAAAGCTTTTAAAAAGGACACTTTCTCTTACTACCATAAATTGAAAACCAGTGTCACTTGCCAAAAATAGGTAACCACAAATGAAACCAAAACAATGTAATTAAATTCTGGCTGGATGAGGCTGCCTGCCAGAAGCTCTGTGATCCAACCCACATTCTCTTTGTACAATGGAGATATTGGAGATATTGGCAGAGTTAAGGATACCCAACACCAAGGCTGGGCGCAGTAGCTCACGTCTATAATCCCAGCACTTTGGGAGGCTGAGGCGGACAGATCACAAGGTAAAGAGATCAAGAGCATCCTGCCCAACACGGTGAAACCTCGTCTCTCCTAAAAATACAAAAATTAGCTGGGCGTGATGGCACGCACCTATAGTCCCAGCTACTCGTAAGGCTGAGGCAGGAGAATCGCTTGAACCTGGGAGGCAGAGGTTGCAGTGAGCTGAGATTGTGCCACTGCACTCCAGCCTGGGCGACAGAGCGAGACTCCGTCTCATAAAAAAACAAAAAACAAAAAACAAAAACAAAAAAACAAAAAAAAAATACCAAACGCAGACTTTCTTCTTGATGTAATCAGAAAGACTGGAGCAAACTGAAAGGAGAGTAATTTTCCCTTTATATAATCTTGCATACCACCTTATCCCACACTTTTGGAAACACTGTCTTAGCTATTAATTTGAAATTAAGTTTGTTTCTTCTCAACTCCCTAAACTAGTGAGTTTAAGGAGAAGTATTTTTGGATGTTGTAGGGGACACTGTTAATATCCCCTCCAAATGACCTCTGATCCTTTTTACCAGCTCTATTTACCCATCCCCCTCTCGGCATGCTTTGCTGCTGAAAGTTCACAGCTGCAATCTTCAGAGGATTGCCTGTGGGCACTGGAGCCCTTTCACCCTTATAGACAGCTGAAAGTGCCCACGAGTTTTATATCCATCTGTCCCTGCCCTCCCCAACACAGTCCATAACCACTGACTGGTGTAAGTATAAAAGTCCAGTTCCTTTGCTTCCTGTGGGACACACTCTGAGGTGTAATTGTGCCCACAGGTCTCCGCGAGACCACCTGAGCCTGGGATTTCACCTGAAATCAACCTCTTGCTTGATTTCTTCTCCTTCGCCATCCTACTTCCTGTACTCCCTCAACCATTTCTCCTGGGAGCACCTTCTTTTTGTTTGTTTGGGGGACTTTTGGAGTTATTTTTTTTTTGAGACAGAGCCTCATTTTGCTGCCCAGGCTGGAGTATAGTGGCGTGATCTCGGCTCACTGCAAACTCCACCTCCTGGGTGCAAGTGATTCTCATGCTTTAGCATCCTGAATAGCTGGAATTACAGGCACATGCCACCACGCCCAGCTATTTTTTTGTATTTTTATTAATAGTAGAGATGATGTTTCACCATGTTGGCGAAGCTGGTCTCAAACTCCTGACCTCAAGTGATCCATCCACCTTGGTCTCCCAAAGTGTGGGGATTATAAGCGCAAGCCACCATGCCTGGTCAAGGGAGCACCTTCTTGATACAAATCCCTCGTGCCCAAATCATGGCTCATGATCTGCTTCTGGGAGAATCTGAGCTCAGGCAGACACCATGAGTGCAACCCAACCTGGGACGCAGGGGCTTTGTGAAACCAAAGCCCTTGTCTGGAAGTCAGCGGGACCCCAGCTTCACATTCTGCTTTGACCTGAAGGGTCCCAGCAAGGTCCAGCCACCCAGCCATGCCTCTGAGCTCTCGGATCTGCCCAGCACTTCCCAGGCAAAGCAACACAGAGGCAACGTTGTCCTTCTCTACCTAAAGGCACCCCTGATGCCCGATTGCATGCACTTCATAAGGGCTGTCATGCCCCCTTGTGCTATGAATCTCATCTCTGTTCTATACTCACGGCTTGTGATTCTCAAACCTTGCCTCTACATCCCAGTTTTTCCTGTGTAACTGTGGACAGGCACCCATGGTACTGTCCAGCCTCATCAGCCCAGTTATGATTGTCAGTCCCCCAAAGAAAGTTTGGGCAAAGGTACTTATGCTCCCCGCCTTTGGCTGTGTCAGGCTACACCATTCAGAAGCACCTGAACTCCACGGAAAAATCAGAAGCTCAAACTTCCTGGTAACTCAAGGCTACCAAGTGAAGGTGAGTGTGCCTTGCGGGGGCGCTTTGGGTCAAACCTGCATGACTGGTGCTATGAGAGGGGCACGAGTGTCTCAGAAAGGCTTGATTCTTGTCTTAGTTTATTTATTTATTTATTTAGAGACAGAGTCTCTTTCTGTCACCCAAGCTGGAGGGCAGTGAGCGAGATCGCCCCGCTGCAACCTCTGCTTCCCAGGTTCAAGCGATTCTCCTGCCTCAGCCTCCCAAGTAGCTGGGATTACAGCCATGCACCACCACTCCTGACTAATTTTTGCATTTTTAGTAGAGACAGGGTTTCACCATGTTGGCCAGCTGGTTTTGAACTCCTGGCCTCAAGTGATCCGCCCACCTGGGCCTCCCAAAGTGCTGGGATTACAGGCATGAGCCACCATGCCCGGCCTTGCCTTGGTTTTAGAACTGAGTTCAATTTTAGTTTTTTAGTTTCAGAACTAACTTCAACTTTCTGTGTGCCCACCACACAACAGTCTCCATCTATGCCGCCTGTTCTGATGACTGCCTTCCCTCACTGCCCATTTAGCAGGGATGGGCTACAAGTCATTTCCCCTTAGATGCCTGGACACCACTTCTATGTCCCTACAACATACAATGGGGGATCTTGTTAGGTTTAAGGACTCAGACTCACAGGACAGGTCTAGGCCACACTTGTCATTCAGTTACTTAGAAGGATGTCAGCAGCGCCAAACCTTTCCCTCCAGGGTGAGTCCTCGCAGTCATCCAGGAGATACTCTCTTTGTCAGAGCCACAGGTGCTGGAGAAAGAGGCTCCCATTAGGTGGGTGTGGGTCATCCAGGCTTAGAAGCCCATGACCTGCAGGAGTCAGCATCTCTGGTAACAACTCTGCAGGCATGCCTTCCAGTGTTTCTGCAAGTGACATGTGAGTTGCTGTTTTAAGAGCTGCCACATCTGGGTATGGTGGCTCACGCCTGTAATCCCAACACTTAGGGAGGCTAAGGCGGGTGGATCACCTGAGGTCAGGAGTTCAAGACTAGCCTGGCCAACATAGTGAAACACTGTCTCTACTAAAAATACAAAAAATTAGCCGGGTGTGGTGGCGCACGCCTCTAGTCCCAGCTCCTAAGGAGGCTGAGGCAGGAGAATCACTTGAACCCGGGAGGCAGAGGTTTGCAGTGAGCCGAGATCGCGTGGTTGAACTCCAGCCCGGGCAACAACAGCAAAACTCCATCTCCAAAAAAAAAGAAAAAAGAAAAGAAAAGAGCTGCTACATGGCCAGGCATGGTGGCTTATGCCTGTAATCCCCGCACTTTGGAAGGGAAGGCAGGAGGATCACTTTGAGCCCAAGAGTTCAAGACCAGCCTTGGCAACACAGTGAGACCTCCCCCTCTTCAAAAAATTTAAAAATCAGCCAGTCATGGTGGTGCACACCTGTAATTCCAGCTACTCAGGAGAGTGAGGCAGGAGGAGGATGCCTAGAGCCCAGGAGGTCAAGGCTGCAGGGAGCTATGTTTACGCCACTGTATACCCTAGCCTGGGCAACAGAATGAGACCCTGTCTCAAAAAATAAAAAAGAGGCTGGGCGCGGTGGCTCACACCTGTAATCCCAGCACTTTGGGAGGCCAAGGCAGGTGGATCATGAGGTTAGGAGATCGAGACCATCCTGGCTAACACAGTGAAACCCTGTCTCTACTAAACAATACAAAAAATTGGCCAGGCGTGGTGGCAGGTGCCTGTAGTCCCAGCTACTCCGGAGGCTGAGGCAGGAGAATGGCATGAACCCAGGAGGCAGAACTTGCAGTGAGCTGAGATTGCACCACTGCTCTCCAACCTGGGCGACAGAGTGAGACTCCGTCTCAAAAAATAAATAAATAAATAAATAAATAAGAAAAATTTGCTACAAAGCATTCCCATCAGCTGTTTACTGTGTAGTCCTGTTACCCCCTTGATCCTGCCCAGAAGCAATCTAACAATCAGCAGTCATTTTTATTTTCATCATCAGCAATGTTACTAAGAGCCATAGGTGACAGTCTACCTGTATCAGATTTCCAGGGGAACAGAGCTAAGAAGTTCACTGGAAGTCAGATTTTCATACAGAAGAGGAAAAGATTTTGTGAACTCAGTGTCCACAATTCCCAAATGCTAAAAGAATTTTAGCAGTTTTCTTTGTCATCCATAGACGGTTTTCTTTCTTCCAGTCCTACGAGTGTCAGAGACAGCCCTCAAATAATAGCAGACAGGCCTTTTTTGCCTTTCAGATGCCTTTCCCCCTCTGCGATGGTGATATAAGTACTCCCAAAACACTGTTTCTACTACTCTCACGCTCTTCATGCAGCCTGACTATAAGATGCGCTATTCCACCTTTCATCCCTGGTATCCCATACGGCGCTAGATGTAAGAGAATGTCAGTGCTCAGGAAACGTGTGAGCAAATGAATGAATGAATGAATGAAAGGGGGATGAGCCATCTAAGTGCCTTATCCCTTTTCTCACATTGCCCCTAGATTTGGGTACCTGGCTGAGTTTGGGGCTGGCAGCCTTCAGCACACCAATGGTGTCAATGGCAGGTGTGCATGGGACAAGAACATATGCTGTCATGATTGTGCTACAGTTTCTTTAAGAACACCAGGTGACCGCGCAGGCCTGGGGGGATGACTCACACTCGTCACGCCAAAGCCAAAGGATCAGGCTGACCCCCCATAAAGTCAGATAGCACAGAGGGGATGCCCCCATGCCATTTTTCCATCTGCTTCTTTGGGAAAAGGCGAGCCAGGCAGTGGCTCTATGACCCCTCTCCACTCTCACTGAGTGGAGTTCAGTCCTCAACTGAGAAACCCCTACATTTTAACATAGTCATACTGGCAACAACTACAACTTAGCAGGTCTTACTGGTGCTTTATAACCATTATCTCAAGTAATCCCCCCTGTCATCGCCCCATTTTATACAGAAGAAATCTCTTTGTGTTTCTCTTGGTCACTGCACTGTGATAAGTTGAACCCATAATGTTAACCAATAAAGTAGCCACACAGACAGAAGTCACGACAGGAAATAAATCCCTAAGGTAAAAGACAATTCCCTGGCAATTGTGTGTAGCAACAATCCCTGCCCTTTACTCCTCTACCCAAGATCTTGCTTGTTTCTTTCTAAGTTGCCTCTCTATCTAGCTTGCAGGATTTGAGTTGAGGAAAACACAGACTTCCATGAGTTTGGGAACTACGAGAGAAAAGACAGACAGAGTCAAATCTACAGCATATCTCTCACCTCAGGAACTGGAAGATGTATTTTATCAATATGATGTAAAGTCTGAAATATACAGGTACACTCACGTTCTGGTACAGATTCTAACTCAGATGTGCATAATAGGAAAACCCAAATCAAACTCCTCCAAGGACCACCTAAACTCAACTCTGTTGAATGAAATTGGGTAGTAATCAAAAAATTCACTGAGTTTTCTGGCAGTGGCTAGAGGGACAGGGGAAAGGGGAGACTAGTTATGGTTGTTCAGTTTCTTGGTTTTCTTTTAGCTTTGGAATCGTCCTCTGGGAAATCGCCACTGGAGATATCCCGTTTCAAGGTGAAGAATGTGAAGACTGGCTCAGCCAGTGGTGAGGTTGGGTCCCCTTCCAGTAGACCAGAAATTCCCCATCAGTGCTGCCCCTGGCAATTTGTTGTTTAATGTGGGAACTGCCTGGGCTGGTCAGTGGAATCGTTGGAAGTTCTTGTTGTTTCCATACTCAGAGTCCCTAGTTCTGATGCCAGCCATCAGCATCCAGAGAGATGTACGAGTAGCGGAGCAATTTTTTGAGGCTCTCATGCTATCATTTCCAGGCTGTAATTCTGAGAAGATCCGCAAGCTGGTGGCTGTGAAGCGGCAGCAGGAGCCACTGGGTGAAGACTGCCCTTCAGAGCTGCGGGAGATCATTGATGAGTGCCGGGCCCATGATCCCTCTGTGCGGCCCTCTGTGGATGGTAGGGTTCTTTCTGGTGTAAAGAGCGTGAGCCCCATCATTATTTCACACTTGTGAAAGATTTCCTTTTCACCAGCTCCAAGGCAGTAGTTTACAACGAGGGGTGGTTTTATCCGGGGAACATTTAGTGATGTCTGAAACATTGTTGTTTGTCATAAGGCCAGGGAGGTAGGATGGAGTGTGCTACTGTCATCTAGTGAATAAAGGCCAAGGATGATGGCTGGGTGCGGTTGCTCATGCCTGTAATTCTAGCCCTTTGGGAGGCTGAGATGGGCAGATCACTTGAGGTTAGGAGTTTGAGACCAGCCTGGCCAACATGGTGAAACCTCATCTCTACTAAAATTAGCTAGCCATGGTGGTACATGCCTGTAATCCCAGCTACTCAGGAGGCTGAGGCATGAGAATCTCTTGAAACTGGGAGGTTGCAGTGAGCCAAGATCACGCCACTGTACCACTGCACTCCAGCCTGGGTGACAAAACAAGACTCCGTCTCAAAAAAAAAAATGTTGGCCAGGCGCGGTGGCTCATGCCTATAATCCCAACATTTTGCGAGGCCAAGGTGGGTGGATCGCCTGAGCTCAGGAGTTTGAGACCACCCTGGCCAGCATGATGAAACCTCGTCTCTATTAAAAACCCAAAAATTAGCCAAGTATATTGGCGCATGCCTGTAGTCCCAGCTACTCAGGAGGCTGAGGCAAGAGAATCACTTGAACCCAGGAGGCAGAGGTTGCAGAGTCAGGATCACGCCACTGCGCTCCAGCCTGGACAACAGGGCAAGACTCCATCTCAAAAAAAAAAAAAAAAGAATGCTATTCAACATCCTACAACGCATAGGACAGCCCACCACACAAAGAACTCTCTGGCAGCCCCAATGTCAATAGTGTAAGGGCTTCCAGAGGGCATTGTTTTATCCAAAGTGGGTTGGAAAGGCAGATTACTTTCTTCCTGCCTATTTCCTTCCTTTATTTATCTGTCTGCCTATTTATGGTTTTTTTTTTTTTTTTTTTTAGAGAGGAGGTCTCATTATGTTGCCCAGGCCAGAGTGCAGTGGCTATTGACAGGTAGGATCATGGCACTCTATAGCCTCAAACTCCTGGGCTCAAGTGATCCTCCTGCCTTAGTCTCTAGAGTAGCTAGGACAACAGGCACCACCACAGCAGCATTATCTTGTTGTCTTTTTGTCTTTCTATCTCTCTTCTTTTTCCTCTCTCTTGTTTTATTTTTGACTATCTTTCTCCTTTTTTCCTCCCTCCTTGTCTGCCTTCCTTCCTTTTTTCAGCATCCTTGGGATTATTTCCTCGATGCAGACTTTTATCTCACCATGTCATCAGCTGCTTCTCCATAGCTTCCTTACACTGTCTCCCTCCCTGGAAGCATCTCTCTCTCATACCCTAGACCTAAATCTCCCAGACTTTCCACAAAGCCCAGACAAAAGAGAGAAGGGGCCGGGTGCAGTGGCTCACACCTGTAATCTCAGCACTTTGGGAGGCTGAGGCAGGCAGATCACTTGTGGTCAGGAGTTCAACACCAGCCTGGCCAACATGGTGAAACCCTATCTCTACTAAAAATACAAAAAATAGCTGGGCATAGTGGCACACACCGGTAATCCCAACTACTCAGGAAGCTGAGGCAGGAGAATTGCTTGAACCCCAGAGGCAAAGGTTGCAGTGAGCCAAGATCGCGCCACTGTACTCCAGCCTGGGTGACAGAGCAAGACTCTGTCTCAAAAGAGAAAGAAAGAAAAGAAGAAGGAACTAAAGAGCCATGAGTCCAGACTTTTGAGGCAGCTTCCAAGGATGTTCTGTCTGCTTACAGAAGTCTTGAGCATGAGGACTGTTCTTCAAGGCCTTCTCACAGATGGTCTGTTGGGAAAACCTCTCACACTACCTGAGAGGGTCTCATCTGTCATCTCTCCTCTCCCTTCATCCACATCCCTACCTTTCAGAATGAAGAATCAAAGTCACGGCATAGTTTCTGTCTGAAACTTTCTCTTCACCACCACAGAGCAGAAGCGCAGACTTAATGATGTGTTCTGAAAAATTGGTCTTTGGGGTGGATGAGAAGCCAACAGTGATTTATACAATGCTGTCCTCCACTACACTCTCTCCTCTGTCTTCTTTCTTCTTCTACCAAGCTCCCTTACAACCTAGGGTCCTCCTAGTATTAAGGAATCTAACACCAGAGAGTAATTCATACTAAGATGTGAGTTTACCCCCTCCTGTGAGGTGTTTGTGTTTTAAAAGTTGATCAAGTAAGAGAACTTTATATCCCAAATGTGTGAGTGCTGATGGTGGTTCAGGCACCAGCCAGACCAGGGGGAATGCAGTTTCTAAATGACTGTGCAATGTAGAAATGTCTTTGTGTTTCTAACTTGGCTCTCAGCTGCCTACCCTGGTCTAATTTTCTGTTCATTCATCCACAGAAATCTTAAAGAAACTCTCCACCTTTTCTAAGTAGTGTATCAAAATCTAAACCAAGGAGTCTCTGGACAAGAAGCTGGGAGAGGCACAAACTGGACATCTCTCTCTCTCATATCCTTCGGCATTGGGTTATCTATGGGTGCAAGGAGTGGGCACGCTTCTCTGTTACAAATAGAAAACGATTCCAGTCATACAGGACACATCCCACTCCAAATGATATTTCCAAAAACATACCTCTGACAGTAACTTTGATAGATGGTTTGTCAAATGTATCTTTCTGGGTATCCACACCTCTTGGCAATGAAATTTGCAGCTCCTCCCTTCCATAAATGAAGTCTCTTTCCCCACCATTTGAATCTGGGCTGGCACTGTGACTTGATTTGATCAATAGAATGTGGAAGAAGTGACTGTATGCCAGTTCCAAGCCTAGGTTTCAAGAGGCCTTATAAATGTCTGTTGGAACCTTACCCAGCCATGAACATGTTGAGTGAGCATGCTGGAGAATGAGAGACCACATGAAGCAGAAACATGCTTTCCTAGCTGAAGTCATACTAGCCCAACCAACATGGCAGCTAACACATGAATGAGGCCAATCAAGACCAGAAGAACCACTCAAGCAGATCCCAGCCCAAATTGCCCATTCACACAATCAGGAGCTAAATAAATTACTGTTGTCTTAACACTAAGTTTTGTGGTGGTTTTTTACACAACAGAAGTAACTAGGCAGAAACTGTTCAATTCTTCCTCTTGCCCAAGGAATCAAGTACAAACTTCCTATTTGGATATCCATAGCCTTATGGATATCCCCCATACCATACTTTCCAACCTGACTTTCCAATCAGATGCCAGAGTTCTCCTACCAGAGATTGCAAACTCTAATACCCATAGGGCCTAGGAAGGAAACTAAATGAATGATTTGAACCTGGAGGGGGCTTCAGTGGGCAGATGAGCAAGAACAGCGTCTCCTCAACTCCAGTCTATACTTTGTCACATAGAATGGGATCCCAACATTTCTAGAGCTTTCCATTTTGTCAAAAGAGCTAGAAAGTTGGATTTTTCTGTGATGTCCTTATTTTTAAAGGTCAGTATCTCATTAAAAATTATTTTAGGCTGGGCACGGTGACTCATGCCTGAAATCCCAGCGCTTTGGGAGGCCCAGGCGGGAGGATCATCTGAGGTCAGGAGTTCGAGACCAGCCTTGCCAACATGGTGAAGCCCTGTTTCTACTAAAAATACAAAAATTAGCTGGGTGTGGCTGCCACATGCCTGTAATCCCAGCTACTCGGGAGGCTGAGGCATGAGAATCGTTTGAACCTGGGAGGCGGAGGTTGCAGTGAGGCATGATTGCACCACTGCACTCCAGCCTGAGTGACAGAGTGAGACCCTGTCTCAAAAAAAAAATTATTTTAATGCTGATAAGACAAACAAAATATGTCCACATAGGAGCTGCCAGATTTTAATCCCTGCCAGACTCAAACCCATGTTTGTGGTGCTTTCATTCTAGATTTCTTTTTTTAAGACGGAGTCTTGCTCTGTCACGCCCAGGCTGGAGTGCAGTGGTGCAATCTTGGCTCACTGGAACCTCTGCCTCCTGGGTTCAAGCGATTCTCCTGCCTCAGCCTCCTAAGTAGTTGGGATTACAGGTGCTCACCATCACACCCGGCTAACTTTTTGTATTTTTTAGTAGAGATGGGGGTTTCACCATGTTGGTCAGGCTGGTCTCGAACTCCTGACCTCAGGTGATCCACCCGCCTCGGCCTCCTGAAGTGCTGGGATTACAGGTGTGAGCCACCGCGCCCGGCCTAGAGTTTCACTCTTGTTGGCCAGGCTGGAGTGCAGTGGCGCAATCTCGGCTCACTGCAACCTCCGCCTTGCAGGTTCAAGCGATTCTCCTGTCTCAGCCTCCCAAGTGTCTGGGATTACAGGTGTGTGCCACCACACCTGGCTAATTTTTGTATTTTTAGTAGAGACAGCATTTCACCATGTTGGTCAGGCTGGTCTCGAACTCCTGACCTCAAGTGATCTGCCCACCTCGGCCTCCCAAAGTGCTGGGGTTACAGACATGAGCCACCACACCTGGTCTCATTTTAGATCTTATACCTTTGTTCATGGTGTGTGCTTTGCCTAGGATACACTAATCCCTGTCTTTAAAGTTACATTTTTTTCAGAACTCATTCTAAATCATTCAACAGCAAATGTGCTGTCCATTGTTTCAATCACTGAGAAGACAGCAATAAAAATACATTTGGGTCTTGTATTCTAGTAATCATCTCTGGTGAAGAAAATTATGGCTGATTTCTATTACTATTATTATTATTATTATGAGACAGGGTTTCACTGTGTTGCCTAGGCTAGTCTTGAACTTCTGGGCGCAAGTGATACTCCCACCTTGGCCTCCCAAAGTGCTGGGATTACAGGCATAAGCCACCACACTCGGCCTTATGTTTTTATCTTTTACTTATCCTTGATTTTTTTAAAACCTAGAACATGGTTTTTTTCTATAAATAAAAAATGCAGAAGAATATAAACTTAATATGATTATTTTGTAGAACTTACTGGCAGGTATTACTATTTTACTATTTTCCTTCCTTCCTTTTTTCTTTTTTCTTTTTTTTCAGAGGCAGGGTCTGCTGGTCTGGAACTCCTGACCTCAAGGGATCCGCCCACCTTGTCCTCCCAAAGTGCTGGGATTACAGGCATGAGCCACCATGCCCAGCCACTGTTTTCATCTTTAAAATCATTTGTTCTATTTACTGTAGGAGTTACAGTGAAAATTCTCCCTGGTAGATGAATTATTCATACTCTGGCAGACCCACAATTATTATAGGTGAATTTACTATAAGCCTGATAAAGCTTAATCTTCAGGGCCTTTTACTTGCACAGGATGCCTTCCAAGGCCCTGTACCTGATTTTTCCCAACACTTATGTATGAAAATTTCCAGATACACAGAAAAGTCAGTACAATTGTACTCTGAACAACCATATACCTACCACCTAAATTCTACAACTAACAATTTATTATATTTGTTTTATCACATACCTATTTATCTGCTTGTGCCTCTTTCTAGCCATTAATTCATCCTGATTTTTTATGCACTTCATTCCTAAACACTTCAGCATTTATGCCATTAACTGGAGTTTATCTCTCTATGAGCTTTTTTTTGGCGGGGGGGTGGGAAGGTAAGTTTTTGCTGTGAAAAATTTGTGTGAAATGCACAAATCTTAAAGATAGCATTTGATGAGTTTTGACAAATGCATACATATGAGTAATCCAAACTCTATCAAGATCATGAACATTATGGCCGGGCGCGGTGGCTCACGCCTATAATCCCAGCACTTTGGGAGGCCAAGGCGGGTGGATCACCTGAGGTCAGGAGTTCAGGACCAGCCTGGCCAACATAGTGAAACCCCACCGCTACTAAAAATACAAAAATTAGGTGGGCGTAGTGGCACGTGCCTGTGATCCCAGCTACTCAGGAGGCTGAGGCAGGAGAATCACTTGAACCCAGGAGGTGGAGGTTGCAGTGAGCCGAAATCATGCCATTGCACTCCAGCCTGGGCAACAGAGCGAGACCCTGTCTAAAAAAAAAAAAGTTCTAGAGCTAAAAAAGATTATTCATATGGCACAAAGTGATCTCCTACTAGTCCAAAGTTCAAAAACATTTTAATAAAGTCCATTCATATATCTTTTGTTTGCTTTCCAATGGAATACTACGTTTATTGAGGCAAAATCACATTATTTTTAGTTCTTGGAGTCAAAAAGCGTACACGAATGTTCTTCAACACAGTTACTAAAAATACAAGACCAAGTTGAATGTGCCAAAGAGATACCATTCAGTTGGGTTTTCTAGAGTCATCAGGAAGAATATTAGAGAAGGGATTTACATGGTTGGTTTCCATAGCTTGATAGACCAAACACACACAAAAAAACTGCCACAACAACAAACAGCAAAATTTTTATCCATACAGGAATGGAGCGTCCCTTTTTTTTGTATTTTCTCACTTGACGTCTGCCAAGGGAACATACTTAGGAACATATGTAGATGAAAACGACTCCTCCATCCTCAAATCACTGAGTTCTAATGGCCGGCCTGCAGCTCCTTTGATTGTTCTGCGGCAACTAGCACTAATTCTTGTTGGTGTAGTTGCTTCATAGGGGAACATTTCCTTAAGAATATCCCTTTCTACTCTTCTTTCCTGTGTTTTTTTTCTCCCACTTCAGCTCTTGTCAATGGTTTCTTTGGTGTTCTTCTGGGTATGTCTGAGAATTCAGTGACTGGCAGAATAGGAAATGCATGCTTGAAATTTCCAGTCACCCTATTGACAATTAAGGATTCGTTGTTTGAAGCAATTATAGTTTCAGCTATGGGAGTACTCGCTGAAATTACTGCTCCATCTATACGAAAATATTCTGAAGCGTGCACCCTTTTGCTTGGAGTTCTTCTTGACCCTCTTGTAGATTCCCTAGTTAATAATGCCTGCAGAGGTCCGCCTTTTGAAGATCCACTTGTCCATTCAGTCCCAGTTATTCCAGCTTGAGAATAGCTCTCCTTGTGCTCAACTCTTCTTTGCTTGAGGGTTACTGGAGTCTTTACTCCCCTGTTTAGCGGTTCTCTCTTCTCAAACTTGAGCCCAATTTAGAGTCTTCTTCATTTTCACCATATCTGTCAGAATCATTACTTCCATTCTGCCTTGTATTTTCTGCTGAAGAAGAAATTGTTGCTGAAGGAGACGATCTTGATTCTGTTCCTTGCTCCCTCAGTTTCAAAAGCTATTTCTCATACAGCTTCCTGGTTGTTCCCACAATAGGACCACAATTCACTCCGTATTTCACAAGCTGATCCAAAGGATCTTCATTAGTGAGTTCTGTTACATCTAGATCGTCTTTATCATCTTGTCTGGGTTTATCAGTTTTCTTTGTGGCTTTCCTGCCGGCGGCGGGCTCGGAGCCGAGACGGCTGTGGGCTCGCGCTCCTCGTACGTAGCTGGAGAATTCCGGGGGCCCCTTTCTTTTGGCGCTGGCGGCGAGCGGCGGCCCTAACAAGTGATTTGAGACTGTTCAGTAGCTCAGATCCCTTGCAGCGGTTTGAGATTGAAGAGATTATGTAGGCAAAGTATTTTGCGTGAGCTCTTCAACCCCATGAGAGGATACATATGAACTGGACTGTCCTACGCCTCTTTACAGGCTCCGAAATTCAAAATATTGAAATATTTTGAAATTATTCGATTAGCTGCTATCCTTTGGATACAGATAACTCCTTCACTAAAGCGTTAGGGATAAGCAGCAGGAGTCAGTTTTAATATCATCATCCCCATTCCAAAATGGACCGAGAAATCATATAACTTTCTCCCGCCAGAAAGTTCAAATAAAACGCGCTAAAAAAAAAAAAAAAAACCAAACAAAAAAAAAACAAAAAAACCTCCCATTTTTTCCGGGGCGGGTGCAAGGTGACGGACGTAGATTCCTGCCAATTGTAGGAGGCTTCCTCAAGCGCGGTCCCGCCTCGTCAGGACGAACTACCAGCCAATGAGAGCACCGCTGCTTCAGCTATCGGGGGACCCATTGAAGAAGAAGAGTGGGTATTGGCCACAGCGTAGGGCTTCTGTCCAATAGGAGCATGCCTGCCGGCGGCTCTGGCGGGAGCTTGAGCGGCTCCGGAAGTGGCAGTTGGCGTAGGTGCATTCGGAGTGCGGCCGAGGTAACTACCGAGTCTTCGGCGGGCTCGCGAGCCCGGCCGCGGCCTGCTGGTTTCAGGTGAGGAGGGGTGTTGCTTCTCCTCAGGCCTTGGGCCTCTAGCTTCGGGATAAACCTCCCCACGCCTGATTCCTGGATTGGGATTCAGGAGACACCCCACGAGGTGGGCTGCACGCGGGCTTGGAACCCGGCGGCCTGAGGGGATTCGGGCCCTCGGGGCGGCGCCAGTGGTCGGGGCTAAGGAGCCCGAACCCCCGCGCGTATCTGGGTTGCTGGGCGTGGGGGCTGGGCAGGCGAGAGCTCGGGGCGATCACTGAAGGAGCCGAGTTCGCTGCTGCGGGGCCTGCCCTGGCCGGGGTGGGAGGTCGCCCGGCCCTTCCCCCGAGAGCCTAGCCTCGGGCTCCTCAGCGGCGTTGCCTGCGCCCGCTCTGAGCGCCGATTACTTCATCACTTTAAAGTTGATGGAAGAACTTCATTTTTAATTTCATCACGGAAACTGTGGAGTAAAGACTTGTATTATCCCTGTTTTACAGGAGAACAAGTTGAGCCGAGTTTAGGAAACCCGCCCAAAGTTTCCCCATGTAGTAAAAGAACAGGGATTTAATATCTATGTATCTAATCAATCTATCTATCTATCTATCTATCTATCTATCTATCTATCTAATCTGTCTATCTAATCTATCTATGTCTTTCTTTCCCCATGTAGTAAAAGAACAGGGATTTAATTTCCTTCTTTCCCTCTCTCCCTTCCCCTCCCGTCTCCCTCTCCCTCCTCTTCCCCCTCCGCCTCTCCCTCTCCCTCTCTCTTCCTCCCTTTTTCCTGTTATAAAGAGAAAAAGGTGTTATAAAGAGAAAAGCGGTGGCTCAGGCCTGTAATCCCAGCACTTTGGGAGGCCGAGGCAGTCGGATCACCTGAGGCCAGGAGTTCGAGACCAGCCTGACCAACATGGAGAAACCCCATTTCCCAGCTACTCGGGAGGCTGAGGCAGGAGAATCGCTTGAACCCGGGAGGCCGAGGTTGCAGTGAGCTGAGATCACGCCATTGCACTCCAGCCTGGGCAACAAGAGTGAAACTCCATCTCAAAAAAAGAAAGAAAGAAAGAAAGAAAAGTCTCCCTGTTGCACCCAGGCTGGAAGAGCTCACTGCAGTCTCGAACTCCCGGGCCCCAGGGATCCTCCCACCTCGGCTTCCCGCAATAGCTGGGACCACAGGTGCGCGCCACCACGCCCGGCTCATTGTTTTATTTTTCTTTTTTCTTTCTTTTTTTGAGATAGAGTCTCGCTTTGTTGCCCCTGCTGGAGTGCAGTGGTGCGATCTCGGCTCACTGCAACCTCTGCCTCCCGGGTTCAAGCGATTCTCCTGCCTCAGCCTCCCAAGTAGCTGGGATTACAGGCATGCGCCACCACACCCGGGTAGTTTTTGTATTTTTAGTGGAGACGGGGTTTCACCATATTGGCCATTCTGGGACTCCGACCTCAAGTGGTCTGCCCTCGGCTTCCCAAAGTGCTGGGATTACAGGTGTGAGCCACCGCGCCTGACCTGTTCTATTTTTCTTTTTTGGTAGAGATGGGAATTTCACTGTGTTGCCCAAGCTGGTCTGGAACACCAGAGCGTAAGTGATCCATCCGCCTGGGCATTTCAGTGTCCAGGGATCACAGGCGTGACCCTCTGCACCGGCCAGAGCAAAGATTTGAACACTTCCCCCGCCCACCTCTTCTCAACCTTTAATTGAGGGGCTTTCGTCCTGCCTGTTGTGGCCATTGATTGAAACCTGAGTAACAAAGATGACAAGTCTGAGGTTGACATTTTAAGCACCGCTCACAGCACACATAAAAAACAGCGTTTGTGTGACATCCTCAAGGTTTGGGGTGCCCAGCCCATGGTCTCTCGTTCTAGGCACCTCCGACTGGCCTACAGTGGTTAGGAAGCTTCAGCTCCAGAACTGCACCGTTCCATAGAACTTTGTGCGACGAGAAAAGTGTTCTGTATTTCTGCTGTCCAGTATGGGAGTCACCCGCCCTATGTGTGTTTCTAGCAGTTGAAATGTGACCTGCACGACAAAGGAACTTATTTTATTTCTTTCTTTTTTCTTTTTTTAGACGGAGTCTTACTCTCTCTCCCGGTCTGGAGTGCAGTGGCGTGATCTCGGCTCAATGTAACCTCCACTCTCCGGGTTCAAGGGGTTCTCCTGCCTCAGCCTCCCAAGTAGCTAGGACCACAGGTGCACACCATCACGGCTGGCTAATTTTTTTGTATTTTTTGTAGAGACGGGGTTTTGCCGTGTTGCCCAGGCTGGTCTCCAACTCCTGGTCTCCAGCTACCTGCCTCAGTCTCCCAAAGTGCTGGGATTATAGGCGTGGGCCACAGCTCCTGGCCGAATTTGATTTTTATTTAATTTAAATAACCATATGGGAGTAGACAGTGCGGCCCCCTAGATTCTGCTCTTTTTAGTCCATTTCTCCCCTTTGTCTTCCTGAAGGCTGAGTTGCTTAATGTCTCTTGAGTACATCTAGAAGTAGCTTGGGCCTTATGTTCTGACACACAATTCTTGGGAGACTGTCGTTGTACCCTAGAAACATTAAAAGCTTTTAGTTAGGCAGCTGCAGTAGCTCACTCCTGTAATCCCAGCACTTTGGGAGGCTGAGGCAGAAGGGTTGCTTGAGCCGAGGAGTTGAAGACCAGCCTAGGCAACGTGGGAAACCCCATCTATACAAAAAATGTTTAAAACTTGAAGTATCTCACATTGTTCAGTTTGCAGACTTTCTTTCCCACTTATTTTCAGTACTGTGCCACTCTCCATCCTGAGTGTAAGCCTGTGTGGTTCAAACCTCCAGTTTTCTCGTGCATAGGGGGAGAAGGGCTTTGTTCTGTGTTTTGTTTTAGCTGGCTGGTGTTTGAGTAGGAGTCAAGCTAACTGCTTTACTGGCTTTTAACCAGCCCTTCTCTTTTAGCGCCATCTTTCAATATTGCCTTTTGTGGTACCTGGTTTTTACAGTCCCTTTAGTGGGAATCAGCTTGCTTCTCAATAACACACCTCACCCCAACCACTGTGCCCTTTGCAGGCTTTGAGTTTTATCTTTTGGCTCTGCTAAGCAGTCATCAATCATCAGTTTCTCCTTTATGGCCTTAAAAAACTGGTTTGCATATCATACCCTGTTTGCATTTGTGTCGTCCTGGTTAATTTATCCTTTCTTAAAAAAATGTCTCAGGTTGTGGGGGTCATGTTCGTGGGTTTTAGGAATGACTGGAGTGGAGAGAGAAAGATACATATATGTACTTCGTCCACTATGTTTATTAGAATTCCTTCCATTTATTCAGCCTGCACCAGTCTGGCCTCTGACCCCACCACTTCAGGGAAACTGCTTTTTTAGGTCACCTGTCATCCTCATGTTGCCAAATCTAGCGGCCGTTCTTCCCCCCAGTAGCACTTGACACTCAATTGTTCCTTCCTTGAAACATTGTTTTTCCAAGACACCACATTCCCATGTTTCCTCCTACTTTATAATCTTCCTTAACTGGCTTCTTTTACTCTGTTGTACTTTTAACAGTAGTGTCTCTGACTTTAGTCTTCAGCCCTCTTCTGTCATTCTGTTCCTCAGGTGGTTTAATCTGCTTTGATGATTTTAAGAAACATGAGTATTGGCCGGGCGCGGTGGCTCATGCCTATAATCCGAGCACTTTGGGAGGCTGAGGCTGGCAGATCACCAGGTCAGGGGATCGAGACCATCCTGGCTAACACAGTGAAACCCCGGCTGTACTAAAAATACAAAAAATTAGCCAGGCGTGGTGGCAGGCACCTGTAATCCCAGCTACTCGGGAGGCTGAGGCAGGAGAATGGCGTGAACCCGGGAGGCGGAGCTTGCAGTGAGCCGAGATCGCGCCACTGCACTCCAGCCTGGGCAACAGAGCGAGACTCCATCTCAAAAAAAAAAAAAAAGAAGCATGACCATTCTGAAGATTCTTAAAGCTGTCTGTTTGTTTTCATCTCCACTGCTACCACTCTTGCCTAGGTCTCTCTGACCTCTGGTCTGGACTCCCACAATAGCCTCTACACTGGTCACCTAGCTTATGCTCTTGCACCCCTACAGTGCATTCCTAACATAGAAGAAACTCCTTACCAAGGCCCATAGGCCCTTTAATAATGGTGTCCTGTTCATCAGTGAAACCCATGCTCATCAGGGACCTATGCACTGATTTCCTTCTGAGACTCTTCTTGGCTCTTTGCATAGCCAGCTGCTTTTAATCCTTCATGCCTCAGCCCAATTTTCACTCTTTAAAAGAGTACTTCCCTCACAATTGTGTCTTAGTTGGTCCTCTTTGTCTCCTCAACCCCAAACATCATAATCTATAATTTTTTTCATGTATTTGTTTATTGACATCTTACTTGCTAGAATCTAAACTCTGATACATGGGGTCTTATCTGTTTTTGCCTCTAGGGTGTCTTGTCTGCATAACAGGTGCTTAATAACTATTAGTTGAACCCCCATTTCCTCATAAGTCAGATGAAAATAAAAGCACGTGCCTTACTTCACAAAGTAATTAAGGGGATAAGTTATACTGATGTACTTTAAAAACTAGGTGGTAGGGAGGCACAGTGGCTCAGTCCTGTTGTCCTGATGCATGAGGAGGTAAGGCCAGGCATTCAAGACCAGTTTGGGCAACATAGGAAGCCTTCATCTATATAACAAAAAAAAATTTTTTTTTTTAGTTTAAAAACTAGGTGGTAGTTTTCAAACTGATACAATGGAATTAAAGATAGGAAACATGAAAAGAACATAGGTGCTTAATAAATATTTGTTGAATACGCTAACATGATGGAATTAGAGATGGAAAACAAAAATAATGAAAGGGATAGGATAAAGTTTGCTCAGCCTTTTTGGAAACATTAGGTAAGTTTCCATTTTGAGTTAGTAACAGTTAATTTTGCAAGTGTAAAAAATGTCCTTTCTCTATTTATCCCTTGTAACTGTTGATGCTGTGAAAGATTAATATTGCCTGCTAAAATTAGATACTGCATTATATGCATTTGATTTTGGTGAATGTCCATATTCAGCTTGAGAGAACTGCAAAGTGTCTGAGAGATTACTTTTAGACCCAGTAGTTTAATCTCCTTGGTTTATAGATCTTTCTATTTTGGAAGATACTACTATGATCACAGGACTTCATGTTTTCTAAGGGCAAACCGGAAAACTGGTTATAAATGCTTGTTATAGAGAGGAAAGTCCATTACCAAACACTTCTGACTTAAGTAGTTAAAATCTTCTCTTGAAGCTTCTCAGTCTTGCTAAGAATGATATTAAACATAAAATCAGAAAGATTAAATATGATTCTGTCACCTACATAGCATGTTTTATCTATTTTATTAATACTTTTTACAAATACTGTTTCTCTAGTGATGGCTCATGAAGCAATGGAATATGATGTTCAGGTGCAGTTAAATCATGCCGAACAACAGCCAGCTCCTGCTGGCATGGCCAGCAGCCAAGGGGGACCAGCCCTCCTCCAGCCTGTTCCTGCTGATGTGGTCAGCAGCCAGGGGGTACCATCCATCCTCCAGCCAGCTCCTGCTGAGGTGATCAGCAGCCAAGCGACACCACCCCTGCTCCAGCCTGCTCCGCAACTGTCTGTTGACCTGACAGAAGTGGAGGTCTTGGGAGAAGACACTGTGGAGAACATCAATCCAAGAACTTCAGAACAACATAGGCAGGGATCTGATGGTAATCACACCATCCCAGCATCTTCGTTGCATTCAATGACCAACTTCATCAGCGGACTGCAGAGACTTCATGGCATGCTGGAATTCCTGAGACCTTCATCTTCAAACCACAGTGTAGGGCCAATGAGAACAAGAAGGAGGGTATCTGCTTCACGGAGGGCAAGAGCCGGAGGGTCTCAGAGGACAGACAGTGCCAGGTAAATAAATATATGGATAAGTCTGTGATCATTGCTGTACTAGAAATTATGAAACTGAGGCTCTGCCATTCAAGGACTGACAGTGTGACTTTTGGCAAGTCAGGTAACTTCTGACCCCCAGTTCCTCATAGGTGGAAATAAAAGTGCTTGCCTTACTTCACAAAGTAATGAAGGGATAAGTTAAACTGTTGTGCCTTGAAAACTAGGTGGTAGTTTGTTGGCAATCTCTGTAGAGATTGGCTGTTGTTCAGATTGTGTCTTGTACACCAAAAATTCTTTCTTCACTTGCAAGTCTCTACTCACCCAAATTCATTATTCACTGGCATTCCACCTGGGGGCACAATTAATTAATTTTCTTTCATAGTCTTGGTTTGAACTTGCCTCTTGAAGGGCTTAGCTGTCAAGTCTTGACAGGGTTATTATGAAGAATAACAATTGCCTATACCCTGTCCGTTTTTTGGTTTTTTGTTTTTGTTTTTGAGACAGCGTCTCACTCTGTCGTCCAGGCTGGATTCCCGTGGCACAATCTTTGCTCACTGCAACCTCCATCTCCCAGATTCAAGCGATTCTCCTGCCTCAGCTTCCCCAGTACCTGGCATTACAGGCGCGTGCCACCACACCTAACTAATTAAACCTGTCTGTTTTTGGTTTTGTTTTGTTTTGAGATGGAGTCTCACTCTGTCGCCCAGGCTGGAGCGCAGTGGTGCGATCTCCGCTCAGAGAGGGCTTTGTTCAGGGTCTCATAACTATAGAATAGAGGAGTTAGCACTGATATTGGAGCCTGGATCTGCCCTGTTTTCTACATAGGCAGATGGAGGAAGCTTCGACGAAATCCCTTTGTTTTCTCTTTCTTCTTGTTTTTATTATTGTTATTTTTGAGACAGGGTCTCACTGTGCTCCCCAGGCTGGAGTGCAGTGGTGCAATCACAGCTCACTGCAGCCTCGACCTCCCCAGGCTTAGGCGATCTTCCTACCTCAGCCTCTTGATGATTAACTGGGACTACAGGCATACGCAACCATGCCGATGTTTTCTAACACTGTGAAAATATTGAGATGATACTAAAAAGTGGTAGCTAGGTCATCTATTACCCATGTTTTACAAATGAGGAAGCTGATGGGATAATTTGTGATTTGGTTGTGATAAGGCTGGAATTGGAATTGTGCCTTCTGTATCTGGATTCAGCATTCTTTTTCATGGATCCTGCTGATTTTAATGTTGGGGCTTGCCATGACTGTGGCTCCAGTGTCTGTAGTGCCCATCAAGGATGACAGATGCCTAGTTCTGTGTTGACAAGAGTTGCAAATGCATATTACTCTGGGTTTTTTTTTTGTTTTTAAGACAAGAGTCTTGCTCTGTCACTCAGGCTGGAGTGCAGTGGCGCAGTATCAGCTCACCAGGACCTCTGGCTCCCGGGTTCAAGCGATTCTTGTGCCTCAGCCTCCTAAGTAGCTGGGATTGCAGGCGTGCACCAGCAGGCTTGGCTATAGTCTGTTGTTTTAAGATGTCATTACTCACGTTATAAAGGCAGGGTAAGATTTCATACATTTGTGTTATAGGTGAAGGCACCTTATGGTGTAATTTGGGGACCCTCCCAAAGTAAATGGGCTAACTTTCCATGGTTGAGAGTTGTGAGTGGTGTTTCCAGGAGCTGGCTGACTGTCAGGAGGCCTCTTGCAAGTCCTCAGTCTTGCTTATCCATGCACTCATTCTTGTTGGGGGACGCAGAGTGGATTCCTCTTGGTCAAGCACAGTGACTTGTATTAACCAACTTAAGGGTGACACTTATAAACCAGATGCCAACTTACAAAGAAAAACAGAACCACTAGAGAGCCAAACAGAAGCCAAACTCTAGTGAGAAAATTGCTTGATGTGGCTGGGCATAGTGGCTCACGCCTGTAATCTCAGAACTTTGAGCGGCCAAGGCAGGCGGATCCCTTTAGGCCAGGAGTTCGAGGCCAACATGGTGAAACCCCATCTCTACTAAAAATACAAAAAATTAGCCGGGCGTGGTGGCACACACCTGTGGTCCCAGCTACTTGGGAGGTTAAGGCATGAGAATTCCTTGAACCTAGGAGGCGGAGCTTGCAGTGAGCCAAGATCTTGTCACTGTAATCCAGCCTGGGTGACAAGAGTGACTCTCTGTCTCAAAAAAAAAAAAAAAAAATTATAGAATCTGCTCAGGGAATGAGTTATACAGAATTTAAATGTTGAAAGATGTCAGTCAAGCTATTTGGCAGCCATAATCTGTCTCCACAAAGGGAATAACCTAAACGGTCAGGAAGTGTGCAGTTCAGTGGAAATTACATCAGTTCTGGAGCCAGGTAAATGTGATTAAAACTTTTTTCCCTGAAGTATGACCTTTCCCAGGACTAATCGCTTATAACTTCTGAATTTCTTGAGATGAATTTCTCAGTGTGGTGTTTGACATTTACTCATCTGACAGACTGTCCCTGGGCCAGGTGTTGAAAGCCTGGGCCAAGGTGAACAGCTTTTGACTCACAGTCAGCCAAGAAGCCAAAGCTATGGAAAGCTAAGTAGTGAGCTTATTCTTCCCAACAGGCTTAGCTGAGGTCACAAACTCCTTTCTGATTTGTTTGGGGCGGTTTCATTCTGGCAGTGGGGGTCATCACTCATTCATCAAATATTGATAACACTCCTCTGTGTGAGAGACTAAACTTTGCCCTAGATATATTGGTGAATAACACAGATCACAATATTGTTTTCCTGGAGCATACGGAGTCTAGGACTACAGAGAGTAGGGAAGGAGCAAAATTCAAAGTTGGTAAGTGCAGGGAAGGAGGAGAATTTCTTGGGTTCTAAATCTGTGCTCCCAAAGAGAAACCCTAGCACTGCTTCCTGTTGGTTTTCACAGTTCCCCTTTCCTGTGTTCTTGCCTGACTTTGGAAATTCTTTGCTACATAAAAGCAATATTAAAGAGTGATTTTTTTTAATCGTCTATCACTTTTTTACTGGGTTCTATGTAGAATTCTATTGATATACGTGTCAACACCCTAACTCTAGTATGTATTTGATTAAATCTTCTTATGAAATGCTTTTCTTATGTGTTTAGTCTCATGGTAGCTATAGCTGCTGTTCACTTAGAATCTCAAGAAATGGAGTTGGTAAACTTGCTTAGCACTGTCTAAAAAGAAAACCTGGCTAGGCGCAGTGGCTCACACCTGTAATCGCAGCATTTTGGGAGGCTGAGGCAGGCGAATCACCTGAGGTCACGAGTTCGAGACCAGCCTGGCCAACATGGTGAAACCCTGTCTACTAAAAATACAAAAATTAGTCGGGTGTGGTGGCGGGTGCCCATAATCCCAGCTGCTCAGGAGACTGAGGCAGGAGAATCGCTTGAACCCGGGAGGTGGATGTTGCAGTGAGCCGAGATTGCGCCACTACACTCCAGCCTGGGCCGCAGAGCGAGACTCCGTCTCAAAAAAAAAAAAAAAGAAAAAGAAAACCTGGGTGATGTCAGTGAAAATGGCAGAGTAAGGACCACAGAGAATTATCTCCATGGAAGTAGTGAAACAACTGGCAGAATTTGTCAGGATCAACTTTTTCATAATTCAGGAAACTGACCAAATGCTTATAGCAATCCAGGGAGTGATTATTAAAGAAAAACAGCCGAATCTCATTGAGCTCTATGGCATTCCTTATTCTTGTCACCTTCTCCAGCTCCTTGATAGTTGTGAAAAGCATCTGCCTGTAATCATAGTAAAAACCAACAGCCTGGCAGGCACCAGAGGGATTGGAGCACCTTCAAAGCCTCATTCCCAGAGAATTATCTTTATATGACCTGTTGGTGGTTCTCTGGAAAACCCCATTTGCAAGACTACTCTTGACTCTGAGCAATGCAGAGTGTGAAAAGCCTAAATCATTTTCCCTGGGGCCTGCCTGAGGTAATGGATATTCAGTGGGATAAGCAATAAACTAACCAATAAGAAGGAAAGGAAAATCTAGGAATGAGATCAATTCAGTCACATCTTCTAAGTCTAGTTCTCTTGCTGTTTCTAGCACATCTGCAGTTACTTTCTTAACTGAAGTCTTGAGCCCGGCAAAAGTCATCCATAAGAGTTGACATCAACTTCTTCTAAATTCCTGATAATGTTGATATTTTGGCCTCCTCCCATGAATCATGAATGTTCTTAGGGGCATCAAGGATGGTGGATCCCCAAGGCACAGTGGCTCATGCCTATAATCCCAGCACTTTGGGGGGCTGAAGCAGGCAGATTGCCTGAGCTCAGGAGTTCAAGACCAACCTGGCCAACATGTTGAAACCTTGTCTCTACAAAAAAATACAAAAATTAGCTGGGCATGGTGTGCATGCCTGTAGTCCCAGCTACTTAGGAGGTTGGGGTGAAAGGTTCCAATGAGCCAATATCATGCCACTGCACTCCAGCCTGGGTGACAGAGCCAGACCCTGTCTCCAAAAAGAAAAAAAAAGAATGGTGGATCATTTCAAGGTTTTCAATTTACTTTGTCCAGATCCATTAGAGGAATCACTGGCAGCTATCATCTTAAGAAATTAAAAAAAATAAAATAAAAAAAGCTTTTCCCCACAGCTAAGAGTCACAACAAAATATTTCTTTTCTTTTCTTTTTTTTTTTTTTTTTTTTTTTGGCAAGACAAGGTCTCACTCTGTTGCCCAGGCTGGAGTACAGTGGTGTGATCATGGCTCACTGCAGCCTCAACCTCCCCGGGCTCAGGTGATCCTCGATCCTCCTGCCTCAGCCTACAGAGTAGCTGGGACTAAAGGCACAAGCCGCCACACCCAGCTAATTTTTTCTGTTTTTTGTAGAGATGTTATTTCATTAAAGTACTGAGATTACAGGTGTGAGCCACTGTGTCTGGCCTTATTTCTTAAATAATAAGTCTTGAAAGTTGGGCTGCAGAATATGTTATATTAACAGACATGAAAATAACATTAATCACCTTCAGAGCTCTTGGTTTACTGGGTGCATTGTCAATGAGCAGTAATATATTTAAAGGAATCCTTTTTTCTGAATAGTAGGTTTCAACAGTGGGCATAAGTTGTAAGACATACTCTAAACAGATAAGCTGTTATCCAGGCTTTGTAGTTCCATTTAGAGAGCACAGACATAGGCCGGGTGTGGTGGCTCACGCCTGTAATCCCAGCACTTTGGGAGGCCGAGGTGGGCAGATCACGAGGTCAGGAGATGGGTGAGACCATCCTGGCTAACACGGTGAAACCCCGTCTCCACTAAAAATACAACAAATTAGCCAGGCGCCACTGCACTGCAGCCTGGGTGACAGAGCGAGACTCCATCTCAAAAAAAAAGAGAGAGAGCACAGACAGAATAAATTTAGCATAATTTTCAAGCACCCTAGGATTTTCAGAACAGTAAAAGAGCATCGGCTTCAGCTGGGCATGGTGGCTCATGCCTGTAATCCCAGGACTTTGGGAGGCCGAGGCGGGCGAATCACGAGGTCAGGAGATCGAGACCATCCTGGCTAACAGGGTGAAACCTCATCTCTACTAAAAATACAAAAAAAAAAAAAATTAGCCAGGCGTGGTGGCGGGTGCCTGTAGTCCCAGCTACTCGGGAGGCTGAGGCAGGAGAATGGCGTGAACCCGGGAGGCAGAGCTTGCAGTGAGCCGAGATCACGCCACTGCACTCTAACCTGGGCGACAAAGTGAGACTCTGTCTCAAAAAAAAAGAGCATCGGCTTCAACTGAAGTCACCAGCAGCATTATCCCCTAACAAGAGAGTCAGCCTGTCCTTTGAGCCTTGAAGCCAGGCATTGACTTCTCTGTAGCTGCAAAAGTCCTACGTGGCATCTTCCAATAGAGGGGTGTTTCATCTACACTGAGAATCTTTTTAGTGTAGATACTTTCATCAATTGTCTTAGCTAGATATTCTGGATAACTTGGTACAGTTTCAATGTCAGCGCTTGCTGCTGCTTCATGCACTTTATGGAGACAGTATCTTTTCTTAAACCTCATGAACCAGCCTCTGCTTTCTTCCAACTTCCTGCAGCTTCCTCACTTCTCAGCTTTCACAGAATTAAAGAGAGTTGGGGCCTTCCTCTGGATTAGGGATTCACTTAAGGGAATGTTGTGGCTGGTTTGATCTTCTTTCCAGACCACTAAAACTGTCTCCATATCAGCAATAAGGCTGTCTTATCATTCATGTATTCGCTGTTGTAGCGCTTAATTTTCTTCAGAAACTTTTCCTTTGCATTCACCACTTGGCTGTTTGGTGCAAAAGGCCTGGCTTCTGGCCTATCCCAGCTTTTGACATGCCTTCCTCACTAAGCTTAATCACTTTAGCTTAGTGATTTAAAGTGAGAGATGCCTGACTCTTCCCTTAATTTGAACACTTAGAGGCCATTGTAGAGTTACTAACTGGCCTAATTTCAGTATTGTTTTGTCTCAGGGAATAAGGAATCCCAAGGAGAGGGAGGGAGGGGAATGGCTGGTGGGTGGAGCAGTCAACATACACAACATTTACTGATTAAGTTCACCATCTTATATGGGTGTGATTCTTGCACACCAAACTTGTAAAAATTACATAACACACTCCTAAATAACAGAGGAACAAACAAAACCCAACACAGGCAGACAGAAAGAAATAATAAAGGTTAGCATATAAATAAATGAAATAGAGAATAGAAAAATGAGAGAAAATGAACGAATCAAAAAGTTGGTTCTTCTAAAAGATCAACAAAATTGACAGACTTTTAGCTAGACCAACCAAGAAATAGAGAAGACTCAAAATACTAAAATGAAGAATGAAAGAGAGGACATGACTACCAAATAGGAGGGGAAATGACTGCTTGTGGATACAGGGTCCCTTTTAGGTGTGACAAAAATGTTTTGGAACCAGATAATGGTTATGATTATGATTACATAACCTTGTGGTTATGCTAAAAAAAAACAACACTGAATTGAACACTTTTAAATTGTGGATTTTATAGTATATTATATCTCAATTTCCAAAAAAGAAAAGCAACTTGATTGCTATTTCTCCTTTTGGTTTACTGACATTTCTTTTTTTAAGAGGTCAAAAAATCTTCTGTCTATTGAGTTGGACACTGAGTAGTGTTTATTTTGTTCTAGTTAGCATTTAGTCAAAGCCCTAATTCATCAATAAATTGCAGCCAAACTATTAGGAATAAAATTTTTCTGTGTAAGCAGTCCTCAACAATGTTTCTGGGTAATAATCAATATTTTATTTAATGTCATAATTATTAAAACTTCTAGTAGGTCACCTGTCAGTAATACTTAGTTGCCCTTTTGTTTTAAATTTTTTTTTAATAGAGATGGTGTCTTACTTTGTTGGCTAGTCTGGTCTCAAACTTCTGGCCTCAAGCAATCCTCCTGCCTTGGCTTTCCAGAGTGCTGGGATTATAGGCGTAAGCCACCAAACTCAGCCATTTTTTAAATTTTTATTTTTTCTTCTTCTTTTTTTTTTTGAAGATGGAGTCTCTCTCTTGCCACCTAGGCTGGAGTGCAGTAGCACAACCATAGCTCGCTCACTCTCTGTGGCCTCAAACTCTCGGGCTCAAGTGATCCTCCTGCCTCAGCCTCCCAAGTTTTTTGGGTGTCATTTTTTTGTTTTTTTGTTGTTGAGACAAGTCTCACTCTGATACCCAGGCTGGAGTATGGGCACCATCATGGCTCACTGCAGCCTCAATCTCCCAGGCTCAAGCCATCCTCCCACCTTGGCCTCCCAAGTAGCTGGAACTACAGGAGCACACCACCATGCCTGGCTATATTGTGTATTTTTTGTAGAGATGGGGTTTCACCATGTTAATCAGGCTGGTCTCGAACTCCTAGGCACAAGCAGTTTACCCACCTTGGCCTCCCAAAGTGCTAGGATTACAGACATGAGTCATCGCAGCTAGCCTAATGTGTCTGTGTGTGTGTGTCCCTAGATCCTTCCTCAGGAACTCCTGGTTTTTAGTATAAGGTTTTATTAATTTGTCTGGGTGTGGTGGCTCATGCCTGCAATTCCAGCATTTTGGGAGGCCAAGGTGGGTGGATCATTTGAGGTCAGGAGTTGGAGACCAGCTTGGCCAACATTGTAAGACCCTGTCTCTACTAAATATAAAGTTTCATTAATTCTGTGACAAAAGTGGCCTCAAACTCCTCAGCTCAAACTGGAGTATGCCTTGTTATTCCAGGAGTTAGAGAAACTGAGGTACAGTAGTGGTTATTTTAAACTCAGCCAGCCAAGATATATTTGGAGTGTTAGATTTGGCCCCAGGTCTTCTCATCATTCTAAGTTATTTTGTTTGATGCCATATTATCATTTATGTTTTTTATCTTAAAACTAACATTATTTAAATTTTAAAAGAAAAATACTATCCTAAAATGAGAGATGAAGAAATTACAGAAGCCAGACCCTGTACTGTACTCCAAAATACCTTGGTCTGGGTGACTGCAATAGCAAAATCCCATGAGGCCATATTTGGGCAACAAAGCCCTTTTTCTTCTTGCTAACCCTCCCTTTTCAGCCACCTAATACCAGCATACAGATTGCTGAGTTTGTCCTTTAAAGATACTGACAATATGGCCAGATGCCAGTAAAATAGAATTAGCTTTTAACGGAAGGATCAAGCTCCTTTGTGGGCTAATGTAGCAGTGGTTGAGTGGTAAAAAATAATATCTAGGAGGCCAGTCTCCCCCCCTTATCTGCTATACCTGCTTCAGCTTTCAAAGGCAGCATTTAATGGCCTGGAGATGGGTTGAAGTGATAGGATTTACTTCAAATCACTATAGATTGTTTTTGTGATGATAGTTCATTGTACTATAATTCCGTTGTCTTTCTGTGTACATAGGTTGAGAGCACCATTGGATGCTTACTTTCAGGTGAGCAGGACCCAGCCTGACTTGCCAGCTACCACTTATGATTCAGAGACTAGGAATCCTGTATCTGAAGAGTTGCAGGTGTCTAGTAGTTCTGATTCTGACAGTGACAGCTCTGCAGAGTATGGAGGGGTTGTTGACCAGGCAGAGGAATCTGGAGCTGTCATTTTAGAAGGTCAGTATTTTACCCAGGTTTGGACTCACAAGGCTAACATCCATGAAGCTTAAATTTCGGAAGGCTAGAAACTAGATTTGTGCTTTGACACTTTCCCTTTTCTCCCCTAAATGTTGTGGATTCCTGTTTTATAGTATAGAGCCTTCACTGGCCATAATTATGTAGAGAGGATTTGATCTGACTTACAGCTTAATGTAATTTGTGACCCAGTGAGTTAGTCACTTTGTAGTGGCATTTTGTATTCTCTTTCACTTCTTCAGACATCTGAGAAAGTAGATTCTTTTTTTTCTTTTTTGAGGCAAGGTCTGGCTCTGTCCCCCAGTGACAACTGGAGTGCAGCGACAACAATCTCAGCTTACTGCAACTTCCGCTTCTTGGGCTCAAGCCATCCTCCCACCTCAGCCTCCCCACTAACTGGGACTACAGGCACACACCACCACACCTGGCTAATTTTTTAAATTTTTTGTAGAGACAGAGTTTTTCCATGTTGCCCCGGCTGGTCATAAACTCCTGAGCTCAAGAGATCCACCTACCTCAGCCTCCCAAAGTGCTGGGATTACAGACATGAGCCACTGCACCCGGCCTAGATTCTTTATTTAAAAGAAAAGTTTTGTAAATTCAGCACCCTGTCTAGGCTGACACTTTCAAGTCCTAGTATAATGTTATGTGTTATGCAAGTGGAACTTTATTTAATAGTCGTAGGCAGAGACCCCTAAAGTAGATGTCCTGCTTATGTTAAAAACTTTCTGATCCCCAGAGGGCGCTCTTTCAGTATATTTTACCACTGAAAGAATATTCTTGGATTATGAATTGAAATATAATAAATCAATGAAAATCTTTAAGTTCATATTTATATAATTTTCCAAAACCTCATTTATCACTATCGTAAGTTGTTAGAACCCCAACTAATTACTCCAAAAACTAGTAAATAAAGGGTCAGGAATATATTAATATTTTGCCTTCCTGTATAAACTGTATTTTGGACAATCAGATAGTTGATGAAGTGGGTTTTTTTGTTGTTTTTTTTTTCATTTGTTTTTTTTGAGACAGGGTTACACTCTGTCCCCCAGGTTGGAGTGCAGTGGCACGATCACAGCTCACCGCAGCCTTGACCTCCCAGGCTCAAGCGATCCTCCCGCCTCAGCCACCTGAGTAGCTAGGACTACATGTGCATGCCTCCACACCTGGCTAATTTTTTGTAGCTGTGGGGTCTCCCTATGTTGTCCAGGCTTGAAGGTTTTTTTAATAGAAAAATTTCAGCTAATTGCAGCAGGAACGATAGAAAAGTCATCATTTTGTGACCCCCAATTAAATTATATATCTAGGCAAAGATCATCAGTGGATCCTAAAACCATTAGGTTGCAGGGTTGATGGGATTCCTTTTAATACAGGGACCAGGGTGATACCACCTGAACCCATTGGTCAATCTTAGCATCTTAAAAAAATAGGACAGCAAGACCATATGTGCCTCTAATGTGCTGCAATCAGAAATACTCATGCCACTTAGGAAGTACTGTATACACACACACACCAGCCCCCCACCCCCATTGCCAAAAAAAAAAAAAAGCCCTGAATCTACTCAAGACTGTTTTCTAACAACCAGTTTGCATAGTTTGTAGAAACGGGGGTGGAGGAACAAGATAAATAATACCTCAGAGATGTAATCATTTAAATTAAAAATGTAGAACAGTCTACAAATGGAACATCTTTCTAGACCTAAATATATATGGAAATTTAACATATTGTGAAGGGAATATCTCAAATCAGTGGGGACAATTTTTAATGTTTTATGTAACAGTAAACCAACATAGTTTATGATTCCACTTACATAAAATGTCCAGAAAAGGCAAGTCTACAGAGATAATATTAGTGGTTGCCCAGGGCTGCAGATGCAAATGTGGATTGACTCTAAATGGGCATAAAGGATCTTTGTGGGCTGATAGAAATATTTTAAATTGGGTTATGGTGGTGGTTGCACAATGCTCAATTTATTATATATAAAAGTTAATTTCATGAAGAAGCAGTCAGCCAAATCCAGGATGTGTAGGACATTTCATTAGACAAATGACCTGACAAATCAATGACAAACAGAGGGGAAAAAAATGGGTGAGGGGGAATTGTAATAAAATGAAAAAGACTTAAGAGACATCACAAGCTCATTATGGAGACTTTTTTTGGATTCTGATTGCAATAAATCTGCAAAGAGCAGCTTTAAAACTATTGGGAAATTTTGAATATGAACTGGATGCCTGGATATTTAGTGGTATTGGAGGATTATTGTTAATATTGTTAGGTATAATAATTACACAGTGTTTATATAAAAAAAGAATTCTTATCAGTGTTGCAGAAGTTTTTGCAAGTATAATGACATTTTAAGGTTTGTTAAGTATTCCAACCAAAAGAAAATAATGGAATGGGGGCTTAGGTGGAACAAGATTGGCAAAATATTGATTATTTTTTAAATTGAGTGATGGGTACTTGTGGCTTAACTATACTGTTCTGTGTACTTTTATGTATGTTTGAGAATATTCAAACTAAATTTTTAAAAATAAATTCACTGATGGTACCTGGGGAAGTTGTCATCCTTTTTGCAGGAACACTGTCAGTTAGAAATGGGAAGCTGTAGTGAGTCAGGCTCTCTCCTGCTAGCTTCTCATACCTGACATATCTTATTTTGTATTTTACCTCTCCTGTCATTTCTGGAAATGACTTGGCAGAGCAACTAGCAGGTGTCTCAGCAGAGCAAGAAGTTACATGTATCGATGGAGGCAAGACCCTCCCCAAACAGGTAATATGAACATCATTTTAAAAAAATCTATTTATTTATTTATTTATTTTTAGAGACTAGGTCTCACTCTCACCCAGGCTAGAGTGCAGTGGTGCAGTCATAACTCACTGCAGTTTCAAACTCCTGGGCTCAAAGGATCCTCCCACTTCAGCCTCCTGAATAGCTGGAACTACAGGTAATGCCACCACACTCGGCTACATTTTTTATTTTTTGTAGACAGAGTCTCACTATATTACCCAGTTGGTTTCGAACTCCTGGGCTCAAGGTATCGTCCTGCCTCGGCCTCCCAAACCATTGAGATTGTAGTCATGAGCCACCATGCCCAACCTGAATATCCCCTTTTTTTTCTTTTTTTTTGAGACGGAGTCTCACTCTGTTGCCCAGGGTGGAGTGCGGTGGTGCGATCTCAGCTCACCACAATAACCTCTGCCTCCCGTGTTTAAGCAATTCTCCTACCTCAGCCTCCCGAGCAGCTGGGACTACAGGCACACGCCACCCCGCCCAGCTAATTTTTGTCTTTTAAGTTAGAGACGGGGTTTCACCATACTGGCCAGGCTGGTCTCAAACTCCTGACCTTGTGATCCACCCACCTCGGCCTCCCAAAGTGCTGGGATTATAGGTGTGAGCCACCGTTCCTGGCCTCTGAATATCCTTTTAAATAAAAGGTTTGGGTTTTTGGCTGGGCACGGTGGCTTACACCTGTAATCCCAGCACTTTGGGAGGCCAAGGCGGGTGGATCACCTGAAGTAGGGAGTTTGAGACCAGCCTGGCCAACATGGTGAAACCTAGTCTCTAACCAAAGTGGGGCTGCAGGTTAAAATGGGAAGCTTGCAGGCTTTGTAGGCAAGAGGTCCAGGTGTGGATCCTATCCCAGTTACTCATTATTTGTGTGACTGCTGTCTCTTAGATTTAAAAATGGGGAGGGAGGAGTATTGAGGATAACCTGTCCTGTCTAGCCAACAAGGTTAAGTATCAGTTGAAAAAATAGACATAAATGTGCTTTATAAATTATTAAGCACATTCGCCAGGTGTGGTGGCATGCGCCTATAGTCCTAGCTACTTAGGGAGTCTGAGACAGGATTACTTGAGCCTGGGAGGTCAAGGCTTCAGTGAGCCATGATTGCACCACTGCACTCCATGGCAGCAGAGTGAGACCCTGTCTCAATAAAAAAATTAAAATTAAAAAAAAATCAGGCAGAATATGGTTAGTAGGTGATAATTTTTATTTTTAAAAATAATGGGCTGGGCGCGGTGGCCCATGCCTATAATCCCAGCACTGTTGGAGGCCAAGGCGGGCGGATCACCTGAGGTCAGGAGTTCAAGACCAGCCTGGCCAACATGGCGAAACCCCATCCCTAGTAAAAATGCAAAGATTAGCTGGGTATGTTGGCAGGCGCATATAATCCCAGCTACTCAGGAGGCTGAGATAGGAGAATCGCTTGAACCTGGGAGGCAGAAGTTGCAGTGAGCCCAAATAGCGTCACTGCGCTCTAGCTTGGGAGACGGAGCACGACTTCATCTCAAAGAATAGTAATAATAATGTTGGCCGGGCGCAGTGGCTCACACCTGTAATCCCAGCACTGTGGGAAGTCAAGGTGGGTGAGTCACCTGAGCACAGGAGTTTGAGACCAGCCTGGCCAACAGGGTGAAACCCCATCTCTACTAAAAATACAAAAATTAGCCGGATATGGTGGTGCGTGCCTATAGTCCCAGCTACTCGGGAAGCTGAGGCAGGAGAGTCACTTGAATCTGAGAGGCGGAGGTTGTGGTGAGCCGAGATTGTGCCATTGCACTCCAGCCTGGGTAACAGACCAAGACTCCATGTCAAAAAAAAAATAAAAATAACACCTATACATCATTGTCCTCAGTATGAGTAATTTACATCTGCTGTGAATTCTTCCAATGTCAAAACATCATTTAACATTTTTTGCATATTTCTATGTGCTCTTTGTGTTTTTATTTGAGTCTGGCTCATTTTTCCCAGCTTAGTACATCTTGGAGAGCTTTCTGTTATCAGTACATAAAATTGAATCTTTTTTTTTTTTTGAGACGAGTGTCGCTCTGTCACCCAGGCTGGAGTGCAGTGGCATGATCTCGGCTCACTGCAGGCTCCGCCTCCCAGGTTCACACCATTCTCCTGCCTCAGCCTCCCGGTAGCTGGGACTACAGGCGCCTGCCACCACACCTGGCTAATTTTGTTGTTGTTGTTGTTGTTGTTGTTGTTGTTGAGACGGGGTTTCACCGTGTTAGCCAGGATGGTCTTGATCTCCTGACCTGGTGATCCGCCCGCTTCGGGCTCCCAAAGTGCTGGGATTACAGGCGTGAGCCACCATGCCTGGTCTCATCTTGTTCTTATTAATAGCTACGTGGCATTCCATCATACAAATAAATTTTGAGTTAATTCTTTTCTTTCCACCTCCTGAGTTCAAGCGATTCCCCTGCCTCAGTCTCCCGAGTAGCTGGAACTACAGGCACACGCCGTCATGCCTGGCTAATTTTTTGTATTTTAGTAGAGACGAGGTTTCACCATGTCAGCCAGGATGGTCTCGATCTCCTGACTTCATGATCCGCCTGCCTTGGCCTCCCAAAGTGCTAGGATTACAGGTGTGAGCCACTGCGCCCAGCGAATTAATTCTTTTTCTTATCATGTAAAGCATGGTTGGTGTATGGTGGCACACGCCTGTGTTGTCTCAACTACTTGGGAGGGTAATAATATTTTTTTTCTTTATATAAATCATGCTACACTGAACTTTTTTGAGACAGGGTCTCATTCTGTCCCTCATGCTGGAGTGCAGTGGCACAATCATAGCTCACTGCAGCCTCAATATCCCGGGCTCAGGTGATGCTTCTACCTCAGCCTCCTGACTACTTGGGACTGCAGGCATGTGCCACCACACATGGCTAATTTTTTAAATTTTTAACAGGGACAAGGTCTTGCTATGTTGTCCAGTCTGGTTTCAAACTCCTGAGCTCAAGGAATCCTCCTGCCTTGGCCTCCCAATAAGCTGGGACTGTAGGTGTGATTACTACACCTGGCCTGCTTGGAACAATCTTATATAATTATCTTAGAATATATTTGTGACTGGCTGGGCATGGTGGCTCACGTCTGTAATCCCTGCACTTTGGGAGGCCAAGGCGGACGGATCGCGAGGTCAGGAGATCGAGACCATCCTAACTAACACGGTGAAACCCCGTCTCTACTAAAAATACACAAAATCGGGCTTGGTGGCAGGCGCCTGTAGTCCCAGCTACTCAGGAGGCTGAGGCAAGAGAATGGTGTGAACCCAGGAGGCGGAACTTGCAGTGAGCCGAGATTCTGCCGCTACACTCCAGCCTGGGCGACAGAGCGAGAGTCTGTCTCAAAAAAAAAAAAAAAAAAAAAAAAAGAAAATATTTGTGACTATGATCATGGGCTGCATAATAGTTCAGTCTATGACAGACCACATGTATGATGGTTGTCCCATTAGATGATAATACCAGGCTGGGCGCAGTGGCTCACACTTATAATCCCAGCACTTTGGGAGACCAAGGCGGGCGGATCACTTGAGGTCAGGAGTTCGGGACCAGCCCGGCCAACATGGTGAAACCCACCACTGTGCTACAGTTGCCTACAGTATTTGGTACAGTAACATCCTATACAGGTTTGTTGTCTAAGTATGTAATAGTTTACACCGTCTAGGTTTATTTAAGTACCTCTGGGATCATTCAATGACGAAATCGCCTAAAGACGCATTTCTCAGAATGTATTCCCATTGTCAAGCAATGCATGACTATATATCCATGAGGTATCTCTAGCAGAGAGATTGCTATGCCAAAGGAAAGATATATGTGTTTTAATTTTCATGGATAATGCCAAATGGTGCTCCAGAAATGTGTGCCACTTTACATTTAAGGCAACAGTATATAAGCATGTCCATATCTCATTTACCCACAACAGTGCTTGGTGTCATCAGACATCAATTTATACCAGTCTGATAGATGAAAAATGGTCTCTTTAATTTGCATTTCTTTAATTATAAGCAAACACTTATTGACCATTGTGTTTTCTTGTAAGCATTTGTATCCTTTGTTTTCTTTTTTTGCCCTCTGGTACACATGAGTTAAATATTTTATAGCTGCTATTCTTTATATGGATAGCTGCTTTTCTTCCTTTGAGTGAAGGAAAAAGTATCCAAGAATTTTATAAGATTTAAGAGTAGTATAGTTTTCATAGCTTATATTTTGTGACATTGCATTCTAGAAAGAATGACAAGTGATTCATAGGTGTTACAAGTGTTCTGTAGCCCTTTTGATTGTATCATTTTTTTTGCACTTCTGTTAATTTCTTAGTTGCACATCTTCTTCAAGATTGATTTTACATTTTCTCTAATTTGAATATATTCTGCTTTCCATCTAGCCATCTCCCCAGAAGTCTGAGCCTCTGCTACCTTCTGCTTCTATGGATGAGGAAGAAGGGGACACTTGTACAATATGTCTGGAACAGTGGACCAATGCTGGGGACCACCGGCTCTCAGCATTACGCTGTGGGCATCTCTTTGGGTATAGGTGCATTTCCACGTGGCTTAAAGGACAAGTACGAAAATGTCCCCAGGTAAGGACCATAGGTAAGGACACATTAACATGTTAAGTCAGGCAGATTCCTAGAACCACTCTAATTATGTCCTATTGGGTTCTTTAGTGCAACAAGAAAGCCAGGCACAGTGACATTGTCGTCCTTTATGCCCGAACCCTGAGAGCTTTGGACACTAGTGAACAGGAGCGCATGAAAAGGTAGGTGGTAAGAGTATGCCTGGCTGGAATGTTCCCTTTTGGTTCATTGTAGGCACATCTGAAAAAGAAGTTATGAGTCACTCGTAGTGAGGTTTTACTTGACCTGTGACTTGGGATCTCTGGGGATCATTGGCAGTCTGTCTTACACTGTTATTTATAATTCATGTCTGATCATCTTCTTAAGGAAGTCTGCATCGTTTGCCTTATGTAGAGCATTAAACACAAGGATCTGGCACATTACTTCTGTTGCCATTTTTGCTTCTCATATCCCTGACCACCCCCCGCCACAGCAGTTCTCCATACAGAAAACTCATAAGTGAAGCTTTGCACATGCAGTGCAATGTAAAAAATTACCAGGATTTCGGAAGCACAAAACAGTTGCTAGGGCCGGGCATGGTGGCTCACGCCTGTAATCCCAGCACTTTGGGAGGCCAAGGTGGGCAGATCACAAGGTCAGGAGATCAAGACCATCCTGGCTAACACGGTGAAACCCCGTCTCTACTAAAAAATACAAAAAAATTAGCCGGGCATAGTGGCGGACGCCTGTAATCCCAGCTACTGAGGAGGCTGAGACAGGAGAATGGCGTGAACCCGTGAGGCAGAGCTTGCAGTGAGCCGAAATTGCACCACTGCACTCCAGCCTGGGCGACAGAGCAAGACTCCGTCTCAAAAAAAAAAAAAAAAAAAAAAAACAGTTGCTAGTAACACCACTCAGTATATGCTTCAAAAATATTAAAGAACATACACACCATTGAGAGAGAGGTACAGTGACATGGGTTCACACTTTACTGGTTTGGATGTACACAGGCAAAATCATTTTGAGACATCCTTGGAAATGTGTCTCTAAAGCCTTTGATCTAGTAATTGTTCAGGCATTCTAAAGAAACATTGAAGGCTGTGTACCAAGATTTACTTAATGAAACTTCATTTAGCATTGTTAAAAATCTAAGGCAAGGGGATTGCTTAGTTGAATGAACGGTGGTGTATGCATGAACAGAATACAATGTTGAAATGTGCATATGTTGTCCTGTGGAAGCATGTTATTAGTATGATTGCATTTTTGTGAACTAGAAAAAAAGTAAGGCTGGTGCGGTGGCTCACTCTTGTAATCCCAGCACTTTGGGAGGCCAAGGCAAAAGGATTGCTTAAGACCAGGAGTTCAAGACCAACCTGGCCAACATAGATCCTATCTGTATTTAAAATTTTTTTTAAAAGAAAGAAAAAAAGCTCTATAGGTAGTCACTGTACAGATTATTTTAGTTTTCTTCCTTGTTTTTACTCATTTGGTCCAACCAATGCTCACTTGTAGCGTTTTTAAATAATGGAAGATGTGTACAGAGAGGAATTTTGTTGAAAAGGCAAAATCTATACGTGTGGCTGTAATGGGTGATTATATTTAAAAACAATTCACTGATTACAATAAGGAATTAGTATACTCTCCAGCCTCATTAGAAAAAGTGAAGAGTTTCAAAATGCCGATACAGACTAATAAAACGAACAGCCTTTTACCCAATTTTATCAAATCTTAATGTTTTGCCATATTGCTTTGAGCCTTTTTGAAAATAAATAGGCTGGGTGTAGTGGCTCATGCCTGTAATCCCAGCACTTTGGAAGGCCGAGGCAGGAGGATTGCTTGAGACCAGGAGTTTGAGAGCAGCATGGGCAACATTGTGAGACCTTGTTTCTAATAAAAATGAAAAAAATTATCCGTGTGTAGTGGTACACACCTGTAGTCTCAGCTACTCAGGAGAGAGGATTTCTTGAGCCCAGGAGGTTGTGGCTGCAGTGAGCTATGGTCATGCCACTGCACTCTAGCCTGGGTGACAGAGTAAGAACCTGTCTCAAAAAAATAAAGATAAATCTGTTGACCAGGTCAAGAAGGAAAAAAAGGAAAGAAAATTTTAAAGAAGAAGAAGTTAATTATAGATTCAGTAGAAGGGCCAGGCACAGTGGCTCACACCTGAAATCCTAGCACTCTGGGAGGCTGAGGCAGGCAGATCGCCTGAGCTCAGGAGTTTGAGACCAGCCTGAGCAGCATGGCAAAACCCCATCTTTACTAAAAATACAAAAAATTATCCGGATGTGGTGGTGCGTGCCTGTAATGCCAGCAACTCGGGAGGCTGAGGCACGAGAATCGCTTGAACCTGGGAGGCGGAGGTTACTGTAAGCTGAGATTGCGCCACTGCACTCCAGCCTGGGCAACAGAGCAAGACTCTGTGTCAAATTTAAAAAGGTACACTAGAAGTCTTCCTGTGAACTAAGTTCTTAATTCCATAGAGAACTACTTTCATGAATTAGGTGTTCAGCATTCCCAAGAGTTATTATGTATTTGATTAGCTATATATGTATTTGTAAATTATACATAGTATGATATAGAAAGTTTTGTTTTGGTTTTTGGTTTCTTTGGTTTTTTTTTTTTTTTTTTTTTTTTTTGGAGACGGAGTTTTGCTCTTGTTGCCCAGGCTGGATTGCAATGGTGCAATCTTGGCTCACTACAACTTCCCGCCTCCCAGGTTCAAGCAATTCTCCTGCCTCAGTCTCCCAAGTAGCCGGGATTACAGGCGCCTTTCACCATGCCCAGCTAATTTTTTTTGTATTTTTAGTAGAGACAGGGTTTCACCGTGTTGGCCAGGCTGGTCTGGAACTCCTGACCTCGTGATCAGCCTGCCTTGGACTCCCAAAGTGCTGAGATTACAGGCGTGAGGCACTGCACCCGGCCAGAAAGTTTTTATACTGTATGCAAATGTTATGTTAGATTATAACTTTTTCTTCTGTAGCTTGCTTTTTTGCTTAATTTTATGCTTTGGGAGTATATCCTAGTTGATACATGGGACTCTAGTTTTTTTCATTTCAATTTCTTGATAATATTCTAGTTCTCTAGTCAAAATTAATCTGTTTAGGCCAGGCGTGGTGGCTCACACCTATAATCCCAGCACTTTGAGGGGCTGAGGTGGGCGGATCATCTGAGGTCAGGAGTTGGAGACCAGCCTGGCCAACATGGTGAAACCCCATTTCTACTAAAAATACAAAAATTAGCCGGGCATGGTGGCACGCACCTGTAGTCCCAGCTACTCGGGAGACTGAGGCAGGAGGATAGCTTGAACCCAGGGGGCAGAGGTTGTGGTGAGCCGAGGTCGCACCATTGCACTCCTGCTTGGGCAACAATGGCGAAACTCTGTCTTCAAAAAAAAAAAAAATTATCTGTTTGTGTTTTACATTGGTAGACATTTAGGTTGTCTCCACTTGTTAATATTAGCCATGCTGCAGAGAGGTCTAGCAATGGAATTGCTTTATTATAGGGCACATTTAATTTCAGCTTTACCTAAATATTGTCAAATTACTTTTCTAACTTAAACTTTTCTTGTTTAAAAAAAAAGGAGAGATTTCTCATTTTTTCATACCTTTGTGAATTTTATTTATTTTGAGACAGAGTCTCGCTCTGTCGCCCAGGCTGGAGTGCAGTGGCGTGATCTCAGCTCACTACAACCTCCACCTCCCGGGTTTAAGTGATTCTCCTGCCTCAGCCTTACGAGTAGCTGAGACTACAGGCACCCGCCACCACGCCTGGCTAATTTTTTGTATTTTTAGTAGAGACGGGGTTTCACCATCTTGGCCAGGATGGTCTTGAACTCCTGACCTCGTGATCCACTCACCTCGGCCTCCCAGAGTGCTGGGATTACAGGCATGAGCCACTGCGCCTGGCCAAAAAATTTTTTTTAAAGACAGGGTCTTGCTCTATCACAAAGGCCAGAGTGCAGTGGCGCCATCAGATTCCTAGGCTCAAGCAGTCCTCCAACCTCAGCATCCTGAGTAGCTGGGAGTACAGGCGCATGCCACCACACCTGACTTATAATTTACTAAATAGTATATTTTTCTGTACAAATTTTCATTGCTACTTCTATCCTTAATTAAGTTTCCGGGCGGGCGCATTGGCTCACGCCTGTAATCCCAGCACTTTGGGAGGCTGAGGTGGGCGGATCACAAGGTCGGAAGTTCGAGACCAGCCTGACCAACATGATGAAACCGTGTCTCTACTAAGAATACAAAAATTAGCTGGGCGTGGTGGCACACACCTGTAATCCCAGCTACTCAGGATGCTGAGTCAGAAGAATCGCTTGAACTCGGGAGGAGGCGGAGGTTGCAGTGAGCCAAGATCACGCCACTGCACTCCAACCTGGGCAACAGAGCAAGACTGTTTCAAAAAAAAAAAAAAAAATTAAGTTTCCATGTATGAATGGGCTACAGTAGTCCCCCCTTAGCCACAAGGAATACATTTCAAGAGCCCCCAGTGAATGCCTGAAACCGTAGTATGTTTTTTCTTATACATACAAACCTAAAGGATAATTTATAAATTAGGAACAGTAAGAGATTAACAATAATAAATAATAAAATAGAGCAATTATACCAGTATACTATAGTAAGTTATGTGAGTGTGGTCTCCATCTCTCTCTCAACATATCTCGATATTTGTAGGTTGTGGTTGATCACAGATATCAGAAACCATGGAAAATGAAACTAGATAAGGAGACACTGTACTCTTTTGTTCCACAGTCTTTTTGTTAATTCTTTCTCACATATTCCAAGCTATAATTTATTGTAGCTTTAATATATGTTCCCCCATTTTGTTCTGCAAAAGTATTTTTTTGCTATTTTTGGCATTGTTCTTCATATTAATTTTTTAAAATTAATTTGTTAAGTTCCATGAAAAACACCTTTGGGATCTTGATTGAAATTGCATTAAAAATTATTATAGGGTAACTTGAGAAGTACCATCTTTGTGATAGTCTTTTCAGTCATGAACATTATGTAATATCCTTCCATTTGTTCACTGTTTTCTTGTGTCTTTCACAAGTGTATTTTGCTTCATAAAGATCCTGCCTAGCCTTTTACTTTACAGTCACGTGCTGCATAATGACCTTTGGGTCAATGACAGATTGCATATACGATGGTGGCCCCATAAGATTATAATGGAGCTGAAAATTCTGTTGCGTAAGTGATGTTGTAATCATTGAAATGGCTTAGCGCACTGGGTGTAGTAGCTCACACCTGTAATCCCAGCACTTTGGGAGGCTGAGGCAGGTGGATCACTTGAGGCCAGGAGTTTGAGACCAGCCTGGGCAACATGGTGAAACCCTGTCTCTACTAAAAATACAAAAATTAGCTGGGTGTGTTGGCAGGTGCCGGTCATCTCAGCTACTTGGGAGGCTGAGGCAAGAAATCTCTTGAACCCGGGGGGCGGAGGTAGCCGTGAGCCTGGATCACGCCACTGCTCTGCAGCCTAGGCAATGGAGTGAGACTCGGGCTAAAAAAAAAAAAAAAAAAAAAGTCTTAGCTCAATGCATTACCTTTTCTATGTTTAGATACATAAATACCATTATAGTACCATTGCCTATAGTATTCATTATGGTAACATACTATACAAGTTTGTAGCCTGGGAGCAACAGTATATAGCTTAGGTGTGTAGTAGGCTATACTGTGTAGGTTTCTGTAAGTACATTCTGTAATGTTTACATGACGAAATCACCTAACAACATGTTTCTCAGAACATGCCCACATCATTAAGCTGCACATGACTGTATTTCTAGATTGCTGTTAAAATTGTTGTGAATGAATTTTTTAAATTACATTTACTAATCAGTTATCTGATGAGGACTGCTGTTGATCTAATTTTTTTGGTCTTGAGTCCAGCAGCGTTGCTAAACTGTAATTGTTTTGGGGGTTCTCTTAAATTTGCCATAAAAATTAATAAGGGCAGCTTTATCTTTTCCAATTTTCATCTTTTTCTTGCATATCTTACTGGAGTGGAATTCTGTCTTTGCATTTCATATTTTGAGACTGTTTTTAGGTACATACAAATATATATTTGTTATTCTTGGTGAATGTGTCCTTTTATGATACATTGTTCCTCGTTATGCCTATTTATGCTTTTTCCTTAATTCTAATTGGTCTTTCCTTTGTTAATATTTGCTTGATGTCTACTTTTGCTCTTTTTAACTTCAGATTCTTTTTTGGGTTATATTATTTGAGTATCTCATGAACAACCAACAGCTTACTGTTTCCTTTTTAATCCAGTAACCTTGGCCTTTTAACATGTCAGTTTAATCTTTTACAATTTGCCGTAGCTGAACACTAGATTAGCTCTGTTCTCTCGTTTTGCCTGTGGCATTTTTAGTCCCCATTTTCTAGTAATAGTCAAATTCCTGACCATCACTCCCTGCTTACCCTAAAACCTGTTTCTGGAGAGATTTTTCTCTTTTTATATTTTATTCACTATCATAACATATTTACAGCAAAGAACGTGCATCATAGCATGAACTTAACTCTGCCACCTGGATGGGAAGTCTTCTGTAGCCTTCCTAATCCCCACTTGTTGCTGGCTTTCCCCCTCTAGTTCCCTACTGAAGGAACAGATGCTAAGGAAACAGGCCGAGTTAGAATCAGCACAGTGCCGACTCCAACTGCAGGTCCTCACTGATAAGTGCACTAGGCTTCAAAGGCGTGTTCAGGTACGTTTGTCCTTTCTAATCCAAAGAACTTTTGGAATAGGAATGGAAGAGGAAGCTAATGTTAGTTATGTTCATCTCAGAAACAAATAGGATTTGCCAAGTTGTTTAGGAAATGAACATGACCAACTCCTTATTTTATTTCTGATTAGGGCATCTGTTCAAAACTTACTACACACTTTATGATGAGGTCTACTATAGTCTGAATTTTATTTTTTATTTTTTTGAGGCAGAGTCTCACTCTGTCACCTAGGCTGGAGTGCAGTGATGTGATCTCGGCTCACTGCAACCTCTGTCTCCTGGGTTCAAGCGGTTCTCCTGCCTCAGCCTCAGCATCTCGAGGTGCTGGGATTACAGGAGCCCACCACCATGCCCAGCTAATTTTTGTACTTTTAGTAGAGACAGGGTTTCACCATGATGGCCAGGCTAGTCTTGAACACCTGACTTCAGGTGATCCGCCTGCCTTGGCTTCCCAAAGTGCTGGGATTACAGGCGTGAGCACTGCACCTGGCCTTACAATCTGAATTTTAGAAAAAATTAAATAGCCAACCAAGAATTCCAAACTTGTTTAAGTAATTTTACCTTCCTAAATCTACTAGTAAAATGAGGGCTTTACCAGGAGTTTGAAGGTTACAATGAGCTGTGATCGCACTACTGCACTCCAGCCTGGATGCCATGGATGACAGAGTGAGACCCTGTCTCCTTTTAAGTTGTTTTTTTTTTTTTTTTTTTTTTTAAAGGACTTTAAACGAAACCACCATTAAGGACTTTCAACCCTCATATTATGATTCTGTGCTCTCCTTATTTCACTTGCTTGTTGAAATACTGTAAAAACTCAGCAGTTCTGGCCGGGCGCGGTGGCTCACGCCTGTAATCCCAGCACTTTGGGCGGCCGAGGCGGGTGGATCACCTGAGGTCAGGAGTTCAAGACCAGCCCGGCCAACGTGGTAAAACCCCATCTCTACTAAAAATATTTAAAAATTAGCCGGGCATGGTAGTGGGTGCATGTAATCCCAGCTACTCAGGAGGCTGAGGCAGAAGTGCTTGAACCCAGGAGATGGAGGTTGCAGTGAGCCAACATGGTCCCACTGCACTCCAGCCTGGGTGACAGAGTGAGACTCCGTCTTAAAAAAAAAAACAAAAACTCTGCAGTTCTCTAGGATTCATGTTAACACTTTCATATAATGGATAAAAAATCTTCCTGTAAAAGATCAAGGAATTGTATTTGAGGGGAATATCAAATTAAAAAGCTTTGTATTTATAAAATCTTTTTCATTTTAGGACTTGCAAAAACTTACGTCACATCAAAGTCAGAATTTACAGCAACCCAGGGGCTCCCAAGCATGGGTCCTGAGCTGCTCACCCTCCAGCCAGGGCCAGCACAAGCACAAGTACCACTTCCAAAAGACCTTCACAGTATCTCAGGCAGGAAACTGCCGGATCATGGCATACTGTGATGCTCTGAGCTGCCTGGTGATATCACAGCCTTCTCCTCAGGCCTCTTTTCTTCCAGGTAAAGAGTCTAGAACCTCAGCTTTCATGTTCTTTATTAGACTCCATATATTTATTTCCTTGCCTTTTGGAAAATTCAAGACTCAAAGGTTACCAAATCACCTTTCCCTATTAGTTCCTTGTTAATGCAAGTACCCCAGGGTGCTGCAAAGATGTCTTTACTGTCTGTTGACTTCATTCTGTAAATTTATTAACCAAGAGGGTAGAAATACTGATAACCATGATAAAGCAGATGGTGAGGTCCTTGGAAGTGTAGGTTACTGATATAGTCCAAGAAGGACTTATATGTCCTCAACTTACAGATGCATTTTAGACTGGAAATGTTTGACAAAACACAGCCCTAAGGGTTAATTCAAGGTGAAACAAAATTTAATATTTACTTACAATAGTGTTCAAGTTAACAATTTCCAAATAAGAGAATTTAGGGAGTAAATTGATTATTTTATTAATACTAGGTTAATTTTCTCTCAACATGTTTTGTGTTTTTAAGCTTAATTTTAGGTTTTCTAAATGTTGAAAACCAAGTCTTTTCAAATGCTCAATTAAATCATTTCTAAATCTTGCAGATGTTTCTTTCTGCTGTCTTTAGCATAAGATTTCTGCCAACTGCAAGACCCCTTTGCTTTAGCATGGTTATATAATGTTCCTTTATCCCATCTAAGTTTTTAATAAAAAGATTTATCATCAAATAAAACCAACAAATTGGAAAAATAGCTATTTCCTAATGTTCCCCAAATTGGGAATGTGTTCTGTTCTTTTTTTCTTAACGTGTCCATTCCAGTCCGCTTGATAGTGTGCTGGTGTTGATTTGTCCTTGTTCCCCTTAATGATTAACTCGGTGTGTATTTCTGTTACCTTGTTGATTTTTTTTTTTTCTTTTGAGATGGAGTCTCACTCTTTTGCGCAGGCTGGAGTGCAGTGGCCTGATCTCAGCTCACTGCAACCTCTGCCTCCTGGATTCAAGAGATTCTCCTGCCTCAGCCTCCCAAGTAGTTGAGACTACGGGTGCATGCCACCATGCCTAGTTAATTTTTTTTTTTATTTTTTATTTTTTTTATTTTTTTGAGATGGAGTCTCGCTCTTTCGCCTAGGCCGGACTGCAGTGGCGCTGTCTCTATCTCGGCTCACTGCAAGCTCCACCTCTCGGGTTCATGCCATTCTGCCTCAGCCTCCTGAGTAGCTGGGACTACAGGCGCCCGCCACCACACCCAGCTAATTTTTTGTATTTTTAGAAGAGACGGAGTTTCACCGTGTTAGCCAGGATGGTCTCAATCTCCTGACCTCATGATCCGCCCGCCTCGGCCTCCCAAAGTGCTGGGATTACAGGCGTGAGCCACCGCGCCCGGCTATGCCTAGTTAATTTTTGTATTTGAAATGGGGTTTTAACATTTTGGTCAGGCTGGTCTCCAACTCCTGACCTCAGGTGATTCACCCATCTCAGCCTCCGAAAGTACTGGGATTACAGGCATGAGCCACCATGCCTGGCCACCTTGTTGATTTAAAGCCTATACCTGCGCCCCCCTTCCCCCCTTTTTTTTTCCTCTCTGGCTGTCTTAATTCTGCTAGAAGAAAGTACAGTAAGCCACGTGCTTGGTTCCCTGGAGAAGCTGAAGCTATCTTGAATCTAGGATTTGACGTATTTTTAAAGAATTTAACTCAAGTGGGCACAGTGGCTCATGACTGTAATCCCAGCACTTTGGGAGGCCAAGGCGGGAGGATCGTTTGGGCCCAGGAGTATGAGACCAGTCTGGGCAACATAGTGAGACTCCATCGCTATAAAAAAAATTTTTCTTAACTAGCTTGGTGTGGTGGCACACCTCTCTGGTCCCAGCTACTTGGGAGGCTGAGTTGGGAGGATCGCTTGAGCCTAGGAGATCGAGGCTATTGTGAGCCATGATGGTGCCACTGCACCTTAGCATGGGTGACAGAGTGAGGCCTTGTCTCAAAATATATATATATATATATATAAAGTACTTAGTAAAAAATAAATGTTATCATAGCCTAGTAAGAGAACAGAGTAACAAGAAGTTTTAAAAGGTTATTGGTTTTTGTTGGTTATTTTCCCCCCACTTCAGTAATGTGGGTACTTGAAATGTCATCTGTTTCATTTCATTTCAGACAGATGTGACATATCTTGACTGACAAATTATTTATTTTCATTCTCTATTGTTCACTATTCCTTCTGCATCTGGAGTGTCTGTGGTTCTGGTGAAATATTCTGTCTCTCAACAGCTTTATTGAAGTAGAATTGACAGAGAGTAAACTACATATTTAAAGTATACAATTTGATGACTTTTAACATATGTAATACACCCCTGAAACCATGACTACAATCAAGATAACTTTAATTTTTTTTTTTTTTGACAGAAGATCTAGTTCTGTCTTCCAGGCTGGATGCAGGGAGGGGTGTGATCTCCCGGGCTGGAATGCAGGGAGGGGTGTGATCTCAGCTCATTACAACCTCCGCCTCCTGGGCTCAAGTCATCCTTCCACCTCAGCCTCTTGAGTAACTGGGACTACAGGCTCGCCCCACTACGCCCAGCTAATTCTCATATTTTTTGTAGCAACAGGGTTTCACCATATTGCCCAGGCTGGTCTCGAACTCATGATCTCAAGCGAGCCACCCACCTCAGCCTCCCAAAGTGCTGGGATTACAGGCGCGAGCTACCATGCTTGGCCATGAACATATGTATTACCGCAAAAGTTTCCCTATGGCCTTTGATAATCTCACCTGCCCCTCCCTCCTCTCCCATCCCCAGCAGTCACTGCTTTTTGTCACTACAGATGAGTTTGCATTTTCTAGAATTTTACATAAATGGAATTATATAGTGTTACCATTTTTTGGTCTGACTTCTTTCTCGCTGCATAATTTTTTATTGTATATATTAGTAGTTAATTCCTTTTTAACGGGTGGTATTCCATCACATGTTTATACAGTAGGTTTGTTTATCCATTTACCTGGATGTTTGGAGTAGGTTATACTTTTTCTTTTTTTTTTTCTTCTTCTCTTCATTGTCATGAAGCAAGCATGGGTTGTACTTTTTTTTCTTTTCTTTTTTTTTTTTTTCTGAGACGGAGTTTTGCTCTGGTTGCCCACGCTGGAGTGTAGTGGTGCAATCTTGTCTCACTACAACCTCCGCCTCCTGGGTTCAAGCGATTCTCCTGCCTCAGCCTCCTGAATAGCTGGGATTACAGGAACTTGCCACCACGCCTGGCTAATTTTTTGTGTTTTAGTAGAGACAGGGTTTCACTGTGTTGGCCAGGCTTGTCTTGAACTCCTGACCTCAGGTAATCCACCTGTCTCGGCCTCCCAAAGTGCTGGGATTACAGAGGTGAGACACCATGCCTGGCCTGGGTTGTACTTTTTTAAATGAATCATAGGCCAGGTGTGGTGGCTCATGCCTGTAATCCCAGCACTTTGGGAGGCTGAGGCGAGCAGATCACCGGGAGGCAGAAGTTGTAGTGAGCTGAGGTTACGCCACTGCATTCCAGCCTGGCCAACTCTCAAAAATAAATGAATAAATTGTAACACTAGAGAATTTTTGTTTGACCAGCTGGTTCCCAAGGACTTATACGCCAAGAAAGGTGGACGAAGGAGCTACTTGAAAAACTAGTTTGAATTGCCCTAGGTTCACTTTCAGTGATCTATTTCATACTATTTTGCCTTTTTCAGGCTTTGGTGTTAAGATGTTGAGTACTGCCAACATGAAGAGCAGTCAGTACATTCCGATGCATGGCAAACAGATCCGTGGACTGGCGTTTAGCAGTTACCTCAGAGGCTTGCTACTCTCTGCTTCCCTAGACAACACTATTAAACTGACCAGGTGAGTGATTTGGGGAAGTAGGTGGAGACTGGGCTCTTTGGTGTTGAGTAGCATGGAATTCGTATCGGTGTTATGATGACCTTAGCTCTGTTTTTTGTTGTTGTTGTTGTTTTGTTTTGTTTTGTTTTTTTGAGATGGAGTCTCGCTCTGTCACCCAGGCTGGAGTGCACTGGTGGGATCTCGGCTCACTGCAAGCTCCACCTTCCGGGTTCAGGCCATTCTCCTGCCTCAGCCTCCCGAGTAGCTAGGACTACAGGCGCCTGCAACCATGCCTGGCTAATATTTTCTATTTTTGTAGTAGAGACGGGGTTTCACTGTGTTAGCCAGGATGGGCTCAATCTCCTGACCTCATGATCCGCCCGCCTCGGCCTCCTGAAGTGCTGGGATTACAGGCGTGAGCCACTGCGCCCAGCCGACCTTAGCTCTGTTTTTTTTGGTCTGAGACTGTGTCTTCTGAGATCCATTTAAAATATATTGCTTTTAGAAGTGGGCACAGAAGGTTACAAAACTGTATGTTTCCTGTTTCTTTGAAACTATGTATATTACAAAATATGTCTTAAGTATATTTTAAGGAGATGAGAATAAAACTCTAAAGTTGGTGGAGACCAGGCGTGGTGGCTCACGCCTGTAATCCTAGCGCTTTGTGAGGCCGAGGCAGGCAATCAGCTGAGGTCAGGGGTTTGAGACCAGCCTGGCCAACATGGTGAAACCCCGTCTTTAAAGTTTGTGGAATGACAGGATGGAGGAAGCTTTGGTGCCTGACATCAGAGTCGCCATACCAGGTTGGTACTGTTTACTCCTGGTCCTGGTCTGTTACCTGGATAATTCTGTGTAACAGAGATGTTCACCAAGCACTCACTGCCCTTGAGTACCATGATGACTTCTTTTATACCCTTAGTCACAGCGTTTTATCTGTCACATGCTCTGTGAGTACTGTGAACCAGATGTGAGTGTGCTCCGTGCCTTTATAAGTATTGTTTTAAAAATAAGGTAGAAAAATGTTACATACCAGAGTGTTGGTTGGGTTATTATTTATTTATTTTTGAGAGAGAGAGAGAGTCTCACTCTGTCACCCAGGCTGGAGTACAGTGGCATGATCTTAGCTCACTGCAACTTCCGCATCCCAGGGTTCAAGTGATTCTCCTGCCTCAGCCTCCCGAGTAGCTGGGATTACAGGTGCATGCCACCACACCTGGCTAATTTTTGTATTTTAGTTTCGCCATGTTGGCCAGGCTGGTCTCAAACTCCTGACCTCAAGTGATCTGTCTGCCTCAGAATCCCAAAGTGCTGGGATTACAGGCATGAGCCACCATGTCCAGCCCTTTTAATTTATTATTTTATTTCCTTAGAACTCAAGAGGAAAACCTGTGGCCCCCAAAACAAATGTTATGGAATTTAAAGGAGTTACCTGGGCAGATTCTAGAAAAAATAGGGAATCCAGATAGTTTGGGAGTATGAGTGTGTTCTCAGTAAGGATTAATGATCATTTAAATGATAATCTTTACATCTTTGTCATGTATTTGATTTTCTTAATGCAGTTGTAAAAGTCTTTTGTAACTCCACAGCCTGGAGACAAATACCGTGGTCCAGACTTATAATGCTGGACGTCCTGTCTGGAGCTGTTGCTGGTGTCTTGATGAGGCTAACTACATCTATGCTGGACTGGCCAATGGTTCAATTCTGGTATATGACGTGCGAAACACGAGCAGTCATGTGCAGGAGTTAGTAGCTCAGAAAGCCAGGTAGGGAGCCACTCACTCTTTTCCTGGTGGTAGCAGCTTTCTCTTGGCTTATTATTGTGTTAATCGTCTCTTCAGTGGGTGTTCCACAGTTAGTCAGAAATCCTCACAAATTTTTTGAAGATCCACTTGATCTCACTTCAGAATCAATAACATTCTTATTAATAAGAGTTTGTATTCATGCTATTTCATATGATGGAGAGTTCTGGTACAAGTATAGCCAGGTTCATAGTAATCATCTAACATGGCAAAATAGAGTCAGATCTATATTCAGAACCCAGCTCCACTACTTAGAAGTTGTGTGACCTTAGTTGTATTTTCTTGGCCCACTGTGAGCTTAATCTGTAAAATCTGGTCAATGTAGACTTGCTTTAATAGCCACATGTCGCTGGGTGCGGTGGCTTACGCCTGTAATCCCAGCACTTTGGGAAGACGAGGCGGACAGATCAGGAGGTCAGGAATTCGAGACCAGCCTGACCAACGTGGTAAAACCCCGTCTCTACTGAAAATACAAAAAAATGTTAGCCATGCGTGGTGGCACACGCCTGTAATCCCAGCTACTCAGAAGGCCGAGGCAGAAGAATCTATTGAGCCTCGGAGGCGGAGGTTGCGGTGAGCCGAGATTGCGCCGTTGCACTCCAGTCTGGGCAACAGAGTGAGACGCCATCTCAAGAAAAAAAAAAATAGCCACATGTCTAGCACATAGGAAGAGATCAGTTAAGGGTAACCTAATCAAAAGTGATTTAAAACTTCCCTAATCCAAAGCTAAACCAACTTGTTTGAAGATACCATATTATTATTATTTATCATTTAATCCAGTTATGAGATTGAGAAGTTTATAAAGTGAGCCCAAGTTCTGAGGATGGATGGCCACCAGCACCACTCTGTCTTAGAATGTGTTGAGCTGCCCTGTAGGTATAAAGTTATCAAAAAGGGAGTAGGGTCTGTGACCTGGCCAAAATCTGAAGTATCTTAACAGATAATTTATGTTTCCAACTGGATATATTAAAAAGAGCAAGGAGAGCCAAACATAAAGATACCACTAAAGTAATAATTCTTTACTGAAACCTAGGCCCAAATAGAGTAGACAGTAAAATATGGCAAGGTTTTTTTTTTTTGTTGGTGGTAGTGGTTTTTTTGTTTTGTTTTGTTTTTTTAAGATGGTGTCTCACTCTGTCACCCAGGCTGGAGTGCAGTGGCACAGTCTTGGATCACTGCATCCTCCACCTCCCGAGTAGCTGGGACTATACGCGTGTGCCACCACACCTGACTAACTTTTGTATTTTTAGTAGAGATGGGGTTTCACCATATTGGCCAGGCTGGTCTCAAACCGGTGACCTCAAGTGATTCTCCCACCTCGGCTTCCCGAAGTGCTGGGATTACAGGCGTGAGCCACCATGCCCAGCCAAACACAGCAAGTTTTAAAATAGCAAGGAAAGAATATTTGTATGTAATGTTCATTTTTATTTTTGTTTACTTTGATTACCTTTATTGTGACAGGGAAAATAAAACAGGCAAAGTAGACACTTTGGCAACTTTGGCACGAACGACTTCATAGCAGAAATGAGTTGATAGGAACACAGTCGGAAGGATGATATTTCTGAGAGAATTCTTGGCGCATAGTCCTGGTCATATGCTTGCAGAAGGAAATTTAGAAAACCTAAAACAGTCCTGTTTCTGAATTAAAATGTAGCTGCTTTTAGCTGTATTTTAATTGTGGGGTCTGTCAACTACAACTTGGGATCTTTATTTTGTTATGTATATAAGCTTTGTTTCTTTTCTGACTTTTCTTATGTGGCTAAACCCATTTCCAGAAGCTTCACATCAGTCAAGCTTCATAGTAATTGTGATCTTGTATCCCTTAAATTTCCTAGTTCTTTTTTTCCTTTTCTTTTAGAGCATCTGGTATCTCACCTGAAATTAGTTGCAGAATATTATATGTATGTCCTTTTGTTTCTACAGAGAGGGTTGATAATTTTTATCAGATATCAGAGGATAGTGACTAAAGGCGTTTAACCTCCTCTGCAGAGGTGGGAATGTGCTTGAGGTCTGGTAGTGGGGTCTGGAGCCGTCCGAGTTTTGGAGTGTGAGATACAGTTTCCTTACTTTCCTTTCAGATGCCCACTGGTCTCCCTGTCATACATGCCCAGAGCTGCCTCAGCTGCATTTCCATATGGTGGGGTGCTGGCTGGAACCTTGGAGGATGCTTCATTCTGGGAACAGAAAATGGACTTTTCTCATTGGCCTCATGTGCTGCCCTTGGAGCCAGGGGGCTGCATAGACTTTCAGACAGAGAACAGCTCCCGGCACTGTCTTGTGACCTACAGGCCTGGTAAGTAGTGCTGGGGTCTCCCATAGCTTATTTGGGAGCACAGTGGTAGAGAAAAGGGAAGGAGGGTTTGATCCTACCCTTTGGGTGGCTGTGGTACCGCTCACAGGCTAACGAGGTGTGTTGTAGCTCTTGCTACTACAGGGAGTATGGTGGCTCCAAGCTCCCCCACAGAGCCTGCCTCCCTGCTCCTTACGTGTGAGGACTGGAGCATATTCTGCCAGGTACTCCTGGAAGTGAATTAGCCACTTAGGAGCCCCTACAGTTTAGAACAGTAGTGGAACAAGGGGGCCAGCTCTAGGTCATTGAGCCACCTTGAGATCACTTTCGTATCTTCTGCCTGCCTCTTACTTCCCCTGAGAGAAAGGCCCAGATTAGGGCAGCCATGTAGTAGCCCGGCTGGCATACTGAAATGGACAACAGTGGCTGTGTGTGCCCAGCCAGCTGAACATCTCTGCCTCTGGAATCAGAGGTGGAACGCATAACAGCAGACTGTGCTTCATTCACAGGTTCTTTCTAGGCTAAGCGGCATGAATCTAAATTCCTGGTAAACTGTACTGATGGTCAGTGTTCTAGGTTTTTTCTTTCTAATTTGGTCTTGAGGTCTCTGTCAGGAGAGTGGCTATAAACTCTAGCCCTGTCCTGCCAAACACTAGGGAGTTCGTTGTGGGTGTTCATAGTTTGCCTTTCACAGGATACTCCTCTGTCCTGGCAGATGGCCTAATGCCTGCCTGACCCATGACCAGATGTCCCTCTCACAGGAAACTTGTTTGTACTGGCAGGTACCCTTGTGGCTCTTGTCTGAACTGTGTCTAGTTCATTTCCCTTGAGATAGTGACTCTCTAGAAGAGCCCTGACTAGGAAACAAGTTAGGTTCAGGTGTGTTGGTCAGGTGAGACACAAAGGAGGCAGTGCACAAAACACAGGAAATAACGGAATCAGCTTACTTGACAGATCCCACAGAGAAGAGGGCAGCATGCTTCAGGGGCCAATGGGAAGAAGGGGGAGCCATCCAGGACAGGCCTGCTCCCTTAGGGGTGGGGTAGGGGTGGAGGGGAGGGACAAGTGGGCTATATTTCAAACCTCTGCTCAGGGAAGGGATGTTTTAACTAGGCCAAAGTTGACAGGGTACATCTGGGTTTCAAATAATTTATGCTAGCCCTAAAAACAGATGCTGAGGTAACAACTGTATTAAACACATTTGTAACAGTCAGGCAGATGTATAGTCAGAGTTAGTCATTAAATGCTCACACTTCTGCTAGTTGTGGGTGGGTCTACTCATGTTTTTAAGTTTTGTTTGAGCTGAGAAACATCCCAGTACCACTTCAGACCCTTTGGCTCTTCATCATCCCACAGCTCGGCTGTCTCCAAGACTGTGATTTGTTGTGACTGGTGTACAAAGCCTGGGGGTCCTATTTTGTTATCTTGCTTTTGTTTGCCTCCCAGCAGAATTTCAGATACATGTTTCCCTTTCTGTAATAGCATGCTTTCACTTTATAAAAATGTGCAGTCCCAGGGGCTAATGAGGTTCTCACTGGGGGAAGGGAAAAACCTTTTACTGAGAATTCTTGAGAGAGAAATCCCCTAGCAGAGGTCTGGCAGGAGACTGATTTTACTAAAACAGACAACTCACAGAATTGTTTTTCTCTTAAGCAAAAAGCTATTGTAGATAACTTGATTCCTAGCCTATGGTTCTAAATTTCACTGATGCTAGCCTACGGTTCTAAATTTCATTGATGCTGTGATATTGTTCTTTCATTTGTTTTGTAACTGTTCTTGATGGTTTAATGCATTTATGGCTTTTCCATCCAACTAGGTTGTAAGCGTGTGAGGTTTGGGTACTTGGTTAATTTTTTGTGTAGCGTCCCCATGGTGCAGCACTGATTTCTCTGTCCCATAGATAAAAATCACACCACCATACGAAGTGTGCTGATGGAAATGTCCTACCGACTGGATGACACTGGAAATCCAATCTGCTCCTGCCAGCCTGTACATACATTTTTTGGAGGACCTACTTGCAAACTATTGACCAAAAATGCCATTTTCCAAAGCCCAGAGAATGATGGCAACATCCTGGTGTGTACTGGGGATGAAGCAGCAAATTCTGCCCTGGTGAGCCTGTTACTTTTTTACTTTCATATAAAAAGTAGTTTTGCTTAAAATATTGGTAAGGGAAAACATGAACTTTTTTTACAGAAGCTCATATAGCAAAAAAGTGTAAGTTCTGCTCTGTAATCCCACATATCCGCATATGTGTGTATGTGAGATTGCTTGGTTTCCATGAGTCGTGCTTTCCGTATTGCTTTGTAGATCTTGACTGAACTGCTGCAACCTCTATTTCTTGGGTTCAAGTGATTCTCCTGCCTCAGCCTCCTGAGTAGCTGGGATTACAGGCACCCCACCACCATGCCCGACTGATTTTTGTATTTTTAGTAGAGACAGGGTTTCACCGTGTTGGCCAGGCTGGTCTGGAACTCCTGACCTCAAGTGATCTGCCGGCCTTGGCCTCCCAAAGTGCTGGGATTAGAGGCGTGAGCCATTGCACCCAGCTGAGATGTTCTTGAACCTGAGTCTGATTAAGGCCTAGAGTAGCACTGTCCAGTACAGTCACACTAGTCACATGAGCACTTAAAGTGTGCTTAGTGCCAAGGAAGAACTTAATGTTTAATTTTAATCAAGTTAAATATAAACTTGTGTGACTAGAGGCCACCATATTGTATAGTGCCACTCTAGAAGCTAGCGCTAACTTTCATTGACTGGAGTTGCAGGGAATAGAGGAGAACAAGTTTAATGATAGCACAGAAAGCATATACACAAGTCCGGGTTGTGGGCGTTCTATAAGACAGCTGATCTGGCTTCCACAACAAGTCAATGGCAGAAGAAAAAAGGTTGGATTATAGGCGTGAGCCATTGCGCCTGGTCTGTCCTTTTTTTTTTTTTCTTGAGACGGTCTCGCTCTGTTACCCAGGCTGGAGTGCAGAGGCGCAATCTCGGCTCACTGCCACCTCCACCTCCCAGGTTCAAGCAATTCTTGTGCCTCAGCTTCCCAAGTAGCTGGGTGCACACCAACCATACCCGGCTAATTTGTGTATTTTTAGTAGAGACAGGGTTTTGCCATGTTTCCCAGGCTGGTCTCAAACTCCTGGGCTCAAGCAGTCTTCTCACCTCAGCCTCACAGACTACTAAGATTACAAGCATGAGCCACCGTGCTCTCTACCTTTTTTTTTCTGTCCCTCTCTACTTTTTTTTTTTTTTGAGACAGGGTCTTGCTCTGTTGCCCAGGCTGGAGTGCAGAGGTGCAATCTTGGCTTACTACAACCTCCACCTCCTGGGTTCAAGTGATTCTTGTGCTTCAGCCTCCCAAGTAGCTGGAACTATGGGTGTGTGCCACCATGCCCGGCTAGCTCTACTTTTTAATACTTCAAAATATTTTTCATTTCTTTTTGTTTGTTTGTTTGTTTGTTTTTAAGTGACAGTATCTTACTCGGTCCAGGCTGGAGTGCAGTAGTGCAATCATGGTTCACTGTAGCCTCAAACTCCTCAGCTTAAGCAATCCTCCTTCAGCCTCTTGAGTAGCTGGGACTGCGGGCATGCACCACTACACCTGGCTAATTTTTTCTTGTAGAGATTGGATTCTTGCTGTATTGCCCCAGCTGGTCTCAATCTCCTATCCTCAAGCTGTCCTCCCATCTCAGACTCCCAAAGTGTTGGAATTACAGGTGTGAGACACCATGCCTGGCCAATAATAAATTTTTAGAGGCCAGACGCGGTGGCTCACGCCTGTAATCCCAGCACTTTGGGAGGCCAAGGTGGGTGGATCACCTGAGGTCAGGAGTTCTAGACCAGCCTGGCCAACATGGTGAAACCCATCTCTACCAAAAATACAAGAAAATTAGCCGGGCGTGGTGGTGGATGTCTGTAATCCCAGCTACTTGGGAGGCTGAGGCATGAGAATCGCTGGAACCCAGGAGGCAGATGTTGCAGTAAGCCAAGATCGTGCCACTGCACTGCAGCCTGGGTGACAAGAGTGAGACTCCGTCTCAAAGAAAAAAAAGGGTGAGTTCCATGAGGGCAAAGACAGGGACTTTATCTTATTGACCCTTCTGTCCCTAGAAGAGGCTGGCACATTGAATGAATGGAAGCTGGGCTTTATTTCAGGTCCACTTACAGGTAGACTAATTGCTGATTACAGTAGGTGAGGCTGTACCTGAACTATGTCAGGTGTGCTGACTTTGAACAACCTTGCAAAGGTTAGGGACAGCCTGCTTTGCTCTCCAGGTAGTGTTCTCTCTGCAGCCTTTCAGACTTGTTAGATGATGAAGAATGGAAGTCCCTTCGTGTACTGACTGACTCCTGACCCTTCCCTCTGCTTGTGTTCTTTAGCTGTGGGATGCTGCCAGTGGCTCGTTGCTCCAGGACCTACAGACCGATCAGCCTGTGTTGGACATCTGCCCATTTGAGGTGAACCGTAACAGCTACTTGGCTACCTTAACAGAGAAGATGGTCCACATCTATAAGTGGGAGTGACTGTGGTCTCGAAACCTTGAAGGCATGCTGCTGGTTAGATGTTGTTTGCTAGCGCCTAGCAGCCCCAAGCAAGATCCCTGTTTATTGTCTGCAGTCTAGAACATTGGGAATCATGGTTTGTTTGCATTAGTATGATTCTAGGACCCTAGGTCACTGAGACACTACAGATTGTGTATCTGTTATGTCCACTAAAAGAGTAATTGATGGGTACTTTATCTACATTATCCATTTCTTGGGTTTAAAGCCTTCATTAACCATTATTGTATGTTGGAAATTCTTATTTTCTTTATTTTCTGTGTGACTTTCTGGACCTTAGAGAGTGTCCTCTCATCATCTAGGATGTGAGTGGGCATCAAGCATTTTCTGGGGAATATGACATCCCATCTGAGTTGTCCTGTCACTTAAGTATCCTTGAAGGGACTAACCATCGTCTTGGTACTGATTTGATGCAACGTAGATGTAAAAGAGTATTATTCAGTTGAACACAAGAGGGCACTGTAGAACCTTGTGTCCGGTTTATTTCTGACCTTGAAGGCTGACAATCTTTTAGTAACTTGTCTCATCTCCACACAAGTGTGTGATAGCACACCTGGGTGTGCTTTGTGGCAATAACACTTGTGTTCCAGGTGTGAAGTGCTGGGACATTGGCAGGCCCAGTGATGGAAGCAGCTAGTGAACGATTCCCTTTGCTAATGCCTAGTGCATTAAGTTCATTGCTTTGCGAAAGGTAAGGAAAGAGGCCAGTTGTTTGAGCGGTGGGGAAGATTTTGTTTTTTCTAGCCAGCTTAGGATCTCAGGATTGGTTTTATCCAAGCTAGTGCTTTGAAGAACACTATCTCTTGCCAGGAAAAGATGAGTGATAGGTCAAAGCTTTTACTTGAGTCTCCCCTAGTGTCAGAGATCAGGAGAAAAGACATAAGAGAATTTACAAAAGCTATTCAGACTGCTATTGAAAACATGAGAAGAACTTGTCTCCCATTTTGAGAGTTCCTATCTAAATAAAGCCAATTCCTCAGACTGAGGGGCTGTTCTTAAGTGTTCTTTATACATTCCAGTTATCCAGTTAAAGCCTTCCCCATGTGAAGCTGATGTTTGATTCCAGTTTCCTTTGATTTGCCTCCCTAACCTTTTCTAGGGCTCAGTTTGTATTTCTTTGCCTTGCCTCAGACTACTTTGCCAACCCACTTCCACAACAGAATATGCTTCAAGATGTGGGCAGGTCAGTGTCCTGTTCATGGGAGAAAATGGCTTAACAGTCTGATTTTCTCAAATGATTATTGAAGAGTTGTTATCGTTTTTATTATAAAACACTTCTGACCTGTCAATTCAAGAGCTGTTTCTAGGATCTTTCTCTCCGGCAAGGGGTTGTTGCACTAGATTTCCCCAGAGTTCCAAGTTCTAGTTGTGCCTTTTAATGACCCTTTAATATTTTAGGACATAATTTTTTCCTTTTTTAAATTTTTTTGTAGAAATAGATGTTTCACTACGTTGTCCAGGCTGGTCTTGGACTCCTGGCCTCAAGCAATCCTCCCACCTCAGCCTCCTAAAGTGCCAAAATTATAGGCGTGAGCCACTGCACCCGGCCCCTATTTGAAGACGTCTTTTGTAAAAGCTAGCTTCTAGAACCTGAGAAAAGCTCTTTTCTCAGAGGAGATACTCCTTTTGATATGTTAATGATTAAGAGTGGTTGCCCAGGCCTAGTTTCAGTGGCAGAATAGGATTGGAATTAAAAAGCAGAACTCATCTGGCTTCAGCAGATTGCCACCAAGAGGATACAGGTGGTCAGGTCCTGGCTGGCTTTGTCTTTGGGCCTGGGCAGGCTTAGGATTTGACTTTCTTTGAAGTACCTGATGCTGATTGATTCCACTAATAGTAGGAAGCAAGAGACTTAACTATGAGGGACGTTATGTGAATCTTAAGTCTTACCAGTCCTTGCATTAGTACATTAAATTTGGATGTTTTGGAAGCAAATTCATACGATCGTGAGTGATTTCTCCAAAGAAAAAAAGCCTTGTCCAGCCTGACCAACATGGTGAAACCCCATCTCTACTAAAAATACAAAAATTAACTGGGTGCAGTGGTGCGCATGCCTGTAGTCCCAGCTACTTGGGAGGCTGAGGCAGGAGAATTGCTTGAACCCTGGGAGGCAGAGGTTGCAGTGAGTCGAGATCGCGCCACTGCACTCCAGCCTCGGTGACAGAGCAAGACTCCATCTCAAAAAAAACAAACAAACAAAAAAAAACCCTGATGCCATTCCCAGTCCCCGTTGTAGGACATCACATTTATAAATCCAGGCTTTAGTCTTCTGGGCTCCACCAGTCTCTGCCCCACCATATTCCTTTGTCACTACCTCTAAGTTTTTTTCCCCACTTGAGGATTTGGAGTTAAACGAACTCAAAATGTCTTGTCATTGTATGTATTCTTGCCCCTGCTTTGAAAACAGGGCCATGGGAACTCTGTTTATGCCCTGTTTTAATGTTTCTGTTTTATGTTTTACTGTTAATATGAAAATAAAGAATTTGCTATGTATAATGGCTCCTAGTGCCTTTTGTCTCTTTCACTTCTAGAGGCAGGAACATGTCTGCCTCTTGGGAGAGGGATATAATCCCAACCTGGTAGATTTCTCGGGTTTGTTCGTTTGTTTGTTTTTTGAGACGGAATCTTGCTCTGTAGCCCTAGCTGGAGTGCAGTGGCGCCATCTTGGCTCACTGCAAACTCCGCCTCCTAGGTTCAAGAGATTCTCCTGTCTCAGCCTCCTGAGTAGCTGAGATTACAGGTGTGCGCCATCATGCTCGGCTAATTTTTGTATTTTTAGTAGAGACGGGTTTCAGCATGTTGGTCAGGCTGGTCTCAAACTTCTGACCTTGTGATCTGCCTGCTTCAGCCTCCCAAAGTGCTGGGATTACAGGCGTGAGCTACCGCACCCGGCCTTTTTTTTTTTTTTTTTTTTTAACTGAATCTCACTCTGTTGTCCCAGGCTGGAGTGCACTGGTTCAATCTCAGCTCACTGCAACCTCTGCCTCCCGGGTTCAAGCGATTCCCCTGCCTCATTCCTCTCCAGTACCTGGGAGTTACAGGCGCCTGCAACCATGCCTGGCTTATTTGTCTATTTTTAGTAGAGACGGGGTTTTACCATGTTGGCCAGGCTGGTCTCCAACTCCTGACCTCAAGTGATTTGTCCATCTTGACAGCCTCCCAAAGTGCTGGGATTACAGGCATGAGCCACCTCACCCAGCCATAGATTTTCTCTTTTTCACACAAATGAAGTGGTTGAGGCTTTAGCTTGCGGTTCTGTTTTGCTGTTGCCAGTGGAAAGCGATGTGTTTGCCTCTTAAGAACCCTGTGCCCTGGCCGTGTGGCTCACGCCTGTAATCCCAGCACTTTGGGAGGCCAAGGTGGGCAGATCACCTGAGGTCAGAAGTTCAAGGTCAGTCTGGCCAACAAGGTGAAACCTCATCTCTACTAAATGATATAAAAATTAGCTGGTCGTAGTGGCGGACACCTGTTACTCAGGGGGCTGAGGCAGGGGAATTGCTTGAACCCGCGAGGCAGAGGTTGCAGTTAGCTGAGATTGCACCACTGTACTCCAGCCTGGGTGACAGAGTGAGACTCCGTCTCAAAAAAAAAAAAAAAAAATGTCCTGGTCTTATGTCTATTTACTCTCAGATCTAGGGATCTACATTTCCCAGACTTGTCTGCTGGCTTCCTGCTAGTTTCTTTGAATCCAGGAGACTTTAAAGTGGGAGGAAGAGAGAGGAGGAGAGGACTTTTGTTCCCTTTATTTCTTTTAGTCATTGGTGGCACTTCTGACCGTGGCAGCAGCAATGGGCAAGTATGGGTTTCAGGGTTCCTGCTCAGTACAGTTCTGGCCACCTGCCTCAGTTTCTTTGTTCTGTTTGAGTTCAAGAATCTTCGTTGCCATAAATCATGGTGCTCTGGAATTAGGCTGGAAAGGCTGAAAATGTTTTCCAGTTTCCAGCTGAACAGCAAATGGAGTATACTGGATTCCAGGAGAACTGAATCCATAGGTATAAGCTTACTAACTTCATGGAGCCTGGTGCTCTAAGGGAAAATGACAGAGGTCCTAGGATAGAAGTGAACCCCAAATTACAAAACCCAACACCATTGTTTTTGTTTTTCACAGTACCCTTTTTTTGTTTTCCGTGTCAGTGATTGACTATAAGTGAAATTCTGAAAAAAAATTTTTTTAAGAAACGGGGTCTCACTGTCACCCAGGCTAGAGTGCAGTGGCACTATCCTATCTCGACTGCATCCTCAAACTTCTGGGCTCAGGTAATCCTGTCTCCTCAACCTCCTAAGTAACTGGGACTGTAGTTGTGGACCACTGTGCCCAGCCAATTTTTTTTTTTTTTTGCTTTTTTTTTCTTGGTAGAGACGGGGGTCTTGCTTTGTTGCCCAACTGGATTCAAACTTCTAGTTCAAGCAGTCCTCCCGCCTCAGCCTCCCAAAGCATTGGGATTGCAGGCATGAGCCACCATGTCTGGCCAAAATTCTAAAAATAGACATTTGTTTGTCCTTGTTCTTAGTCAACTTATGTTTGTTGGTAACACTCTCTGTTTTATCTCTTTATGGTTTACTAATATATTAAGTAACATCTTAGTAAATATATATTACTAATAAGTAATTCTTAATGTTATGGAATACATATTATTATTCTATCTTACGGGGGAAGAAACAGGTTAAAAATACTAATAAAGCTTGGGTGCAGTGGCTCATGCCTGTAATCCCAGCACTTTGGGAGGCCAAAGAGGATGGATCACCTGAGGTCAGGAGTTCGAGACCAGCATGGCTAACATGGTGAAACCCTGTCTCTACTAAAAATACAAAAATGATCCAGGCATGGTGGCGTAAACCTGTAATCCCAGCTTCTTTTTTTTTTTTTTTAGACGGAGTCTTGCTCTGTCTCCCAGGCTCGAGTGCAGTGGCACGATCTCAGCTCACTGCAAGCTCTGCCTCCCGGCTTCACGCCATTCTCCTGCCTCAGCCTCTTGAGTAACTGGGACTACAGGCGCCTGCCACCACACTCGGCTAATTTTTTTGTATTTTTAGTAGAGATGGGGTTTCACCGTGTTAGCCAGGATGGTCTCGATCTCCTGACCTCGTGATCTGCCCGCCTTGGCCTCCCAAGGTGCTGGGATTACAGGCGTGAGCCACCACACCCAGCCCCAGCTTCTTCTTGAACCTGGGAGGTGGAGGTTGCAGTGAGCCAAGATCGCGCCACTGCACTCCAGCCTGCGCAACGGGAGCAAGACTTCACCTCAAAAAAAAAAAAAAGAAAAAATCCTAATAAAGGAAAATGACAGATGGTATTTAATTAAATTTTATATGTCCTCGTCTTCCCAGTCTATACTTTGTGTTACCAACAGCAAAGCAGGAGTTGGAGAGCCTGGGTGAAAGCTCATTTTCACTCTTCATAGCTCTGTCTCCAGAACACCCTAGGCTAAGCCCCCACAAATTATTTCTTCTGCATTGAAAATTACAACAAAGCAGACAGTCATACTCATGATGTGGCACTACAGTCTTCAAGTAGTTTTCTGGGTGCTGAGGCTGGGAACCCCACTGTCCAATAGAAGAAAAAACGGGTTCATAGAAGAGGCTATGACACATGGGCTAGAACTGCCCAGCAGTGGTCATCGGAAAGGTCAGCTGAAGAGAGGAGGAAGGTGGAGGAGCTGTTGGGCTTGCTCTAGAAAGCAGGGTGCAGGGCCAGCTGAATAAGGAGTCTACTGTCGAGATGTGAGGAGTGCCATGAACCCACGCTGGTCCCTGAGGAGTAATAACAGGTTTATCCAGTTACAGACACCCAGCAGAAAGGCTTCCTTAGAGGCTGAACATAGGTACCAACTTAAATATCTGGATTTGGATAAAGGGAGAGTTGAAGGCTGAGGGGGAAACAAAGTTCAGGACATCACTGAACAGATGCTTGGGTTAAAAAAAAAAAAAAAATGGCCGGGCACGATGGCTCACGTCTGTAATCCCAGCACTTTGGGAGGTCAAGGCAGGTGGATCACGAGGTCAGGAGTTCAAAACCAGCGCGGCCAACATGGTGAAACCTCGTCTCTACTAAAAATACAAAAAATTAGCCAGGCGTGGTGGCAGGCACCTGTAATCCCAGCTACTTGGGAGGCTGAGGCAGGAGAATTGCTTGAACCTGGGAGGCAGAGGTTGCAGTGACCCTAGACTGTACCACTGCCCTCCAGCCTGGGCAACAGAGCAAGACTGTCTCAAAAAAAGAAAACAAAAACAAAAAACTGGCACTTTTGTTACCTAAGCCAGCTCTGTGTGAGCTGCCAACAGTTGGATAAGCTGCTGGTTAATGAAAGTTGTAAGTGGGAAGTTGGCAGGCCACTTATTTCCTGGAATAAAGAAGGGGATGCCTGCCCTGGATAAATGGTTATGCTCTGCCTTCAAACTCCAATGCCTGTAGACCCTCCCATTTAAGAGAAATGTCACCAGAGTTAAAAAGAGTGCCTCCAGGAGGGTCCAGGGGAATTCCCAGGCTTGAGCTATGGAGGGGGTGTTGAGTGATGATGTGGCTTCCTCCTTTCTCATAAGCCTGGTACAAAAAATTGCTGGTTAGATTGTGCAGGAACATATGGGAAACAATGAGGGCCTAACATGAGAAAGGGTGACAGGGTAGGGGGGAAGATGGGAAATTGCCACGGAATCTAAGCTCAGTGAAGTTCTGACACCTCACTTGTACCCCAGTGGAAGCTCCAGAGTTAGCGATGACCCCAGTTCCTCTCTTGAAGATGATGTCCTGACTTGAGATAGAGAGATGGTATTTCACTAGGCAAACAGTATGCTACCCCCTCAGCTCACAGGAGTCACTTGCCCTTGAGTCAAGGAAGTAAACGAAATATCAAATGCTAACATTTGTTTCTCTGATTGAGACCCTCTCCAAAAGACATGATATTCCTGCAAACTGGCAAATTGCCATAAAGGAAGTAATATTCAAACTACAGTCCGGTCTCTACTGTCTACAGATCAGAATGCTGGGTGAGTTTTTCTTCTCCAGGAGTCTTAGATTCTCGTCTAGACAGTCACTGAGGTTGCTGTGACAGACAAGTTCAGGTCTCTTAGCTGGATAATGTGGGGGTGTCTAGAAATATGTTACTTGTTACTCTTTTTTTTTTTTTTTAATTGAAATGGGGTCTCACTCTGTCACCCAGGCTGGAGTGCAGTGGTGTAATCTCGGCTTGCTGTAACCTCTGCCTCCCAGGCTCAAGTGATCCTCCCACTTCAGCCTCCCAAGTAGCTGTGACTACAGGTATACACCACCATGCCCAGCTAATTTTTTTATATTTTTAGTAGGGACGGGGTTTCGCCATGTTGGCCAGGGTGGTCTCAAATTCCTGGCCTCAAGTGATCCACTGCCTCAGCCTCCCAAAGTGCTGGAATTACAGGCATGAGCCACCACGCCTGGCCTGTTATTTCATTTTTAATCCCTTAAGTCTTGTCAATATGAAGTCACCAATGTCCTAGCTTAGTAGTCTAAACAATTTCTTTTTCTTCCCTGAGACTGAGTCTCACTTTGTCACCCAGGCTGGAGTGCAGTGGCATGATCTTGGCTCACTGCAACCTCTGCCTCCCAGGTTCAAGTGATTCTTCTGCCTCAGCCTCCCGAGTAGCTGGGATTACAGGCGCATGCCATCGCACCTGGCTAATTTTTTTTGTTTTTTTTTTTAGATGGAGTCTCACTCCTGCCAGGCTGGAGTGCAGTGGCGCGATCTTGGCTCACTGCAACCTCCGACTCCTGGGTTCAAGCGATTCTTGTACCTCAGCCTCCCAATTAGCTGGGATTACAGGCGCCTGCCACCACGCCCAGCTAATTTTTGTATTTTTAGTAGAGACAGGGTTTCACCATGTTAGCCAGGATGGTCTCGATTTCCTGACCTCATGATCTGCCCCGCTTAGCCTCCCAAAGTGCTGGAATTACAGGCATGAGCCACTGCACCCGGCTAATTTTTGTATTTTTAGTAGAGACTGGGCTTTACCATGTCAGCCAGGCCAGTCTTCACCTCCTGACCTCAGGTGATCTGCTCGCCTTGGCCTCCCAAAGTGCTGGGATTACAGGCGTGAGCCACCACGCCCAGCCATGCTATGCCTTTTATATGAAAGAGATTCTCTAGTTAAAGAAGTTACTCAGATGTGGTGACCTTGAAAATGAGCCTCTCAGATCTCCAGCTGTGGGGAACATGATTGACCTCTGTTTGATCTGCTGAGCACTGAAATCTACAACTGCATTCATCCCAAGGATCCTCCTAGTCTTGACTAAGAGTGATAGGGCTACTGACGCAGGCCCATTTCTGGAAGACTCAGTGACAGGTAACTTTTGCATGAGGACTATCCTATGGCCTTGGCCAACTTTCTTTTTTTTTTTTTTTTTTTGGAGACGGAGTTTTGGTCTTATTGCCCAGGCTGGAGATCTTGGCTCACTGCAACCTCCGCCTTCTGGGTTCAAGTGATTCTCCTGCCTCAGCCTCCCGAGTAGCTGGGAATACAGGTATGCACCACCATGCCCGGATAATTTTTTGTGTGTTTTTAGTAGAGACGGGGTTTCTCCATGTTGGTCAGGCTGGTCTCGAACTCTCGACCTCAGGTGATCTGCCTGCCTTGGCCTCCCAAAGTGCTGGGATTACAGGCGTCAGCCACCGTGCCGGACCTTGGCTGACTTTCTTAGAAATGAATTTCAGTTTAAGTTGAGTCTTAGATGTTTCCACCGAATCCTCCCGTCCTTCCTTCCCTCCCTCTGTACTTCACACAGTGTTGGACCAGCATCATGGTCACATGGCTCTCTCAGCCACCTCATTTTTCCTACAACTGTTGCCCCTAATAAATTTCTTGCATAGGTAATCCCCTTTTGTTGTCTGCTTCCTGGCAGACCTGGACTCACACAAGTAGTGCCAGGAGTGTTCCAAGAAAACAGGTGGTAAGACGGGGCTGACTAGGGCCCCAGAATAATAAAGACCCGGTGGCAATGTTTAAGTGCCAGAAGCCAGGAGACCACAATTACCACCATTACCAGCAAGATCAAAGGTGATGACCAAGGGCCAGATGCGGTGGCTCATACCTATAATTCTAGCACTTTGGGAGGCCGAGGCAGGAGGATCACTTGAGGTCAGGAGTTCAAGACCAGCCTGGCCAACATGGTAAAACCCTGTCTCTACTAAAAACACAAAAATTAGCTGGGCGTGGTGGCACACGCCTGTAGTCCCAGCTATTCGAGAGGCTGAGGCCGGAGAATCTCTTGAACCCGGGAGGCAGAGGTTGCAGTGAGCCGAGATTGTGCCACTGCACTCCAGCCTGGGTGACAGAGCAAGACTCCATCTCAAAAAATAATAAGAAAATAGCGACCAAGGGGTCTTGACCAGCGGGGAGTATAGAGATGGTTAATAAAGGATAACATCACCCAAGACCAGCAAGGGAACTATTCAACATCTATAGCCAATAAGGTCCACAAGAATGGAGGAACAGGAGGCTAAGGGTGGTCACCCCCAATAAGTCATGCTCCTTTGCCCAGCTTCTAGAGCTGAGGCTTTTTTTTTTGAGATGGAGTCTCACTCGGTCACCCAGGCTAGAGTGCAGAGGTGTGATCTTGGCTCACTGCAACCTCCACTTCCCAAGTTCAAGCAATTCTCCTGCGTCACCCTCCTGAGTAGCTAGTACTACAGGCATGTGCCACCACACCCAGCTAATTTTCGTATTTTTAGTAGAGACGGGGCTTCACCATGTTGGCCAGGATGGTCTTAATCTCTTGACCTCATGATCCGCCCACCTCAGCCTCCCAAAGTGCTGGGATTACAGGTGTGAGCCACTGCTCCCTGCCCAATCTGAGCCAATTTTCAGATCCAGAATCCATTGATGAAAGTGGTGGCCAGGAGCCTAACACCAAAGACCCTACAACACCATGGCAGCCGTACCATGGCACAAGGGCCCTCAGGCCTTCCCCAGAGGAACTTGTGGCTACTTACTTGGGTGACTGTACATTGGCAAAAGGGAAGTAACCGAACATTTTCAAGACTATCGGACACAGACTTCAAGGTGAAATCAATCATTAGAGGCCAAAAACATCATTATAGCCCCCTGGCCTGTAGGGGCCAGGTAATAAATGGACTCCTGCCTAAAGTGGTAAGGTATGGCTCTCAGCTCACTGGATGTGTGGACCCACCCAGAGATTTACATAGTCCCCAAATGTATAACTGGAAATGACCTGGAATAACCCCACATTGTATTTCTGGCCTGTGGGGCAGGGACTATCATGGGCAGGAAAGGCCAGATGTAAATCTGTGAAATTGCTCCCTACCCGTGGCTAAGATTGTACGTTAAAAACAATGTTCCAAGGCCAGGCTCAGTGGCTGTAATCCCAGCACTTTGGGAGGCCAAAGTGGGCAGATCACCTGACGTCAGAAGTCCAAGACCAGCCTGGCCAACATGGTGAAACCCCCGTCTCTACTAAAAATACAAAAATTAGCTGGGCGTGGTGGCAGGCTCCTGTAATCCCAGCTACTCAGGAGGCTGAGGCAGGAGAATCGCTTGAACCCGGGTGGCAGAGGTTGCAGTGAGCCGAGATCGCGCCATCGCACTCCAGCCTGGGGAACAAGAGCGAGACTTCATCTCAAAAAAAAAAAACAAAAAAAACAAAAACAGTGTTCCGAGAGTACAAGTCTGAGGTGGAGGGAGTCATGGCAGGACAGGCGTTTAGAAAGTTTCTTCCACTCGGCCAGGTGCTGTGGCTCACGCCTGTAATCCCAGCACTTTGGGAGGCAGAGGCGGGCGGATCACAAGGTCAGGATATCGAGACCATCCTGGCTAACACGGTGAAACCCTGTCTCTACTAAAAATACAAAAAATTAGCCAGGCGTGGCAGCGTGTGCCTGTAGTCCCAGCTACTCGGGAGGCTGAGGCAGGAGGATGGCGTGAACCCGGGAGGTGGAGCTTGCAGTGAGCCGAGATCGCAGGACTGCACTCCAGCCTGGGCGACAGAGCGAGACTCTGTCTCAAAAAAAATAAATAAATAAAAAGAAAGTTTCTTCCACTCTTTGAGCGAGTACTGGTTGAAAGGAGCGCTGCTGAAACTGTAACCAGAGGAGGCATTATGCTTCCAGAAAAATCTCAAGGAAAAGTATTGCAAGCAATAGTAGTCGCTGTTGGATCGGGTTCTAAAGGAAAAGGTGGAGAGATTCAACCAGTTAGCATGAAAGTTGGAGATAAAGTTCTTCTCCCAGAACATGGAGGCACCAAAGTAATTCTAGATGACAAGGATTATTTCCTATTTAGAGATGGTGACATTCTTGGAAAGTATGTAGACTGAAATAAGACACTATTGAAAATGGCAGCAACATGAAGCTGCCCATTCCACTGAAGTTCTGAAATCTTTCTCAAAGTGCTGGGATTGCAGGCGTGAGTCACCGCACCCAGCTGAAATCTTTCATCATGTAAATAATTTCCATCTCTCTCTCTTTTTTCTTTTTCTTTTTTTTTTTTTGTGACAGAGTCTCGCTCTGTCGCCCAGGCTGGAGTGCAGTGGCGCAATCTCGGCTCACTGCAGTCTCCACCTCCCGGGTTCACGCCGTTCTCCGTTCTGCCTCAGCCTCCCAAGTAGCTGGGACCACAGGTGCCTGCCACCACGCCCAGCTAATTTTTTGTATTTTTAGTAGAGACAGGGTTTCACCATGTTAGCCAGGATGGCCTCGATCTGCTGACCTCGTGATCCACCCACCTCGGCCTCCCAAAGTGCTGGGATTACAGGCGTAAGCCACCGCACCTGGCCTCCATATCTCTCTTTTATAATAAGCTCATGATAACTAATCACAAAAAAAAAATGTTCCATTGGGAGGATGGGGATTGGTGAAGATTAGAGCCACCATTACAGACCTAAAGAATGCAAATGTGGTTCTGAAAGATGGTGGAGAGTGAAAACTTTTCCAAACTAGTGGAAATGCTGGCTGTGCTCTTAGTCATTCCACTTTGTATGTAAGATGAGAATATATACAGATTCCTGGACAAAGTCCAATGGCCTGGCCTGGAGTAGAGGCATGTGGATGAACGTGTGGGGGTGAGTACAATATATAAAGATTTTTGTATCTCTTAATAATGCCCTCCAGAAAGCCTCCACCATAGAAGAGGCACTGAGCAACCAAGTAAGCAAAATGACACAGCCAATTCACATGAGCTAGCCTCTAGCTCCTCCTGACCCGACATTCTGGGCACGTGAACAGAGCAGCCATAGCAGCAGACATGCAGGTTCCATGTGAGCTCAGTAGCATGGACTCCCACTCACCAAGGTACATCCAGCTACTGCTGCCCCTGAATGTCCAACTTGTCAGCAACAGAGAGCAACACTGAGTCTTTTTTTTTTGGAGACAGAGTCTTGCTCTGTCGCCAGACTGGAGTGCCCTGGCGCAATCTCGGCTCACTGCAACCTCTGCCTCCTGGGTTCAAGCGATTCTCCTGCCTCAGCCTCCTGAGTAGCTGGGATTACAGGCGCACGCCACCACGCCCAGCTAATTTTTGTATTTTTAGTAGAGACGGGGTTTCACCGTGTTGGCCAGGATGGTCTCGATCTCTTGACCTTGTCATCTGCCCGCCTTGGCCTCCCAAAGGGCTGGGATTACAGGCGTGAGCCACTGCGCCCACCCTGCAACACTGAGTCTTTGATAGGCACTGTTTTTTTTTTTTTTTTTAGACCGAGTCTCGCTCTGTTGCCCAGGCTGGAGTGCAGCGGCGTGATCTCTGCTCGGAGCTGCAACCTCCACCTCCTGGGTTCAAGAAGTTCTCCTGCCTCAGCCTCCGAGTAGCTGGGATTACATCCATGAGCCACTGCGCCTGACCCCCTTTTTTTTTAAATTTTTTAATTTTTTTATTTTTCTGAGACAGGATCTCACTCTGTCACCCAGGCTGGAGTGCAGTGGCATAATCTCAGCTCACTGCAACCTCCACTTGCCGCTTTCAAGTGATCTTCCCGCGTAAGCCTCCTGAGTAACTGGGACTATAGGTTGCACCATTATGCCCAGCCAATTTTTGTATTTTTAGTAAAGGCCTGACCTCAGGTGATCCACCCGCCTCGGCCTCCCAAAGTGCTGGGATTACAGGTAGGTGTGAGCCACCATGCCTAGCAGGCCTTCATTTTGAATGCTTATTCCCACCTCCTTAGAATCTTGAACTAGTTATTAATGTCTGATTTTGGAACACTTAGAGTCCTCTTTTCATGGTTGCACTTGGGAGGCCGAGGCAGGCAATCACCTGAAGTCAGGAGTTCGAGACTAGCCTGGTCAACATGGTGAAATCTCTCTCTACTAAAAATACAAAAACTAGCTGGGCGTGGTGGCAGGCGCCTGTAATCCTAGTTACTTGGGGAGGCTGAGGCAGGAGAATCACTTGAACCCGGGAGGCAGAGGTTGCAGAGCTGAGATCATGCCATTGCACAGCAGCCTGGGCAACAAGAGTGAAACACTCCATCTCAAATAATAATAATAATAATAATAATAATAATAATAATAATAATAATAAAAGAACAAATTCTCAACAGCCCAGGTGCAGGGCTGACACCTGTAATCCCAGCACTTTGGGAAGCTGAGGTGGAAGGATCACTTGAGCTTGGGAGGCTGAGGATGCAGTGAACATGATCATGCCATTATATTGTAGTCTGGGTGACAGAACAAGACCCTGTCTCAAAAACAAAAAAAAATACTAAAATTACAAAAAAAAAATAATTAGCTGGGCGTGGTGGCACACACCGGTAGTCCCAGCTACTTAGGAGGCTGAGGCGGGAAGACTGCTTGAGCCCAGGAGGTTGGGGCTGCAGTGAGCCACAATTATCATGCCACTGCACTCTAGCCTGGGTGACAGAGGGAGACCCCGTCTGAAAACAAACAAGGAAAATGCTCATGGCTGGGCCCGGTGGCTTATCCCTGTAATCCCAACACTTTGGGAGGCCAAGGTAGGTGGATCCCTTGAGGTCAGGAATTCAAGATCAGCATGGCCAACATGGTGAAACCCCGTCTCTACTAAAAGTACAAAAACTAGCCGGTTGTGGTGGTGCACGCCTGTAATACCAGCTACTTGGGAGGCTACAGCAGGAGAATCGCTTGGACCCAGGAGGCGGAGGTTGCAGTGAGCTGAGATCACAACACTGCACTCCAGCCTGGGTGGCAGAGCAAGACTCCGTCTCAAAAAAAAAAAAAAAGAAAATGTTCAACAGATACCTGCTTGATGAATAAATTAAGAAAGTGAGGATCAGGAAACAAAGGATACAATAAAGGGTAAAAAGAACTCCCCGTTTCTTGGCTGGGCACAGTGGCTCATGCCTGTAATCCTAGCACTTTGGGAGGCCGAGGAGGATGGATCATAAGGTCAAGAGATTGAGACTCTCCTGGCCAACATGGTGAAATCCCGTCTCTAAAAATACAAAAATTAGCTGGGCATGGTGGCGCACACTTGTAGTCCCATCTACTTGGGAGGCTGAGGCAAGAGAATTGCTTGAATCCGGGAGGCAGAGGTTGCAGTGAGCCGAGATCGCGCCACTGCACTTCAGCCTGGCGACAGTGTGACTCCTCTCAAAAAAAAAAGAAAAAAGAATTCCCCGTTTCTGATAGAGATAGTATATGTTATATTGAAAAGGCAATGAGACCAGAAGACCTGAGTTAAGGCAACTGTCTTTCCGTGGGTTTGGGGGCTCGTGGCTTCCGTAAGGTCTACGCTTGCCTGACAGCCTGAGCTGGCCAGGTTCCCAGATTTATCTGTTTCTTGCTTCTTGGTGACTGAGATTTCAAGATAGCCATGTGTACTCCTCCCTATCTCTGGAGGCAATCTGTGGCTGTGGTTTCCTCAGTTCAGGCTGAAAGATAAGTAACTGATGGCTTATCTAGGATTGTCAATTTCTAGTTAAACTGGCTTAAAATAATCTCCCACTTGTCTGAACACATGCAGACTCAGCATTGAAAATTAATGGAGGCCAGGCGCAGTACCTCACGCCTGTAATCCTAGCACTTTGGGAGGCTGAGGTGGGCAGATCGCCTGAGGTTTGGGGTTCGAGACCAGCCTGGCCAACATGGCAAAACCCCGTCGCTACTAAAAATACAAAAATTAGCTGGGTGTGGTGGCACATGCCTGTAATCCCAGCCACTCGGAGGCTGAGGCAGGAGAACTGCTTGAACCCAGGAGGTGGAGGTGGCAGCTCCGAGCAGAGATCACGCCACTGCACTCCAGCCTGGGCAACAGAGTGAGATTCCGTCTCAAAAAAAAAAAAAAAAAATTAACATACGCTAGTGACATCTCAAGGACTTCTGGTGATGTGTCCAGCCTGCCTGACTGAAACTTACCTATGCCATGTGTTTGCTAATAAACATGGGGCTGCCTTAGTCAGTGCTCAAGGTTAGCAGCAGCCTCATGATCATTTTATGACAGTAGCAAAGGTGACCGTTGGTGGAGATGCCAACAAGCTCTCATTCCCCATGATAGAGGCCTGGGGTCAGCCACAGTGGGTAATTTGTACTCACAGAATATCTTCAGTCTCAGGAGCTCCTTTTGGGTTCCCTGAGCTCCTGACTTTTCAGGTTCTAGTTATGTCTAACTTGGTCTTGACTGCTCATTTGCGGGTCAGGACAGCAGAAGCTGTCTGTTTACTACAGTAGATGTAATTCGCATTTTTGGACACAATGACCAGTGGAGATTACACAACCCAAACTGCCCTCATTCCCCAACATGTGCATGGACAGAGTGGGATGAAAGTGCGCCAGGGTGGTGGGAAGCCCCAGGGATTCTGGTGGCTAGCCTAGCTGTCTACAGGATGGCAGAGTTCCTCTTGGGCAGCTCATTTAATCCCTCCACGCAGAACTGTTAACATCTCTGTGCCATTCTTCAGTTAAATGAGAACCTAACGCAGGCCTGATGCATGGCTCAGATTACACAGCGGATGTGAAGAGGCTTTGGGAACATATCCTCTCTCCTAAGGACAGGGAGGGGATGCTAGTGTGGGGTGCCTGCGGTGTTGCATGCAGGTCAATGAGAACAGTTACCGACACACAGACTTAACCCGAGTCCTCAAAGATGTGTTTTATTATTATTTTTTCATCCTTTAAACATGAATCTAAATGCTGGCTTAAAATCAGGATTCATGCATAAACGGCTTCCCAGTTTATTAACAATACTGGCTGTGACTTTTTGAGTTCAGTGTTGTGGGCCAGGCACTTAAATTATTATTTCGAATCTTGCCAATGGTACTTTACATTTGAGCTCTTGCGTACCCTGCCAGAGCAAGGATTATAACCTTAATTTTTTTTCTTACCCCAGAACTTATGCTCTTAACCCTATTCAATGCTGTCTCTCTCTTTGGCTAAGAAAGACTTCTGAGGCAGATGGAAGGAAGGAAGGAAGGAGGGAGCGATACAAGGAGAGGCTTTCCGATTCCGTAATACACCTGGTTGTGCAAAGTTCACCTCTACATATAAAGTTTTTGTTTTCCAAGTCATTGAACCGGCGACATATTCTACCGGCCATTTTGGTTGTGGCAACCCCAATTCCCTTGATTTTTTTTTTTGTGACAGCAAATGGAATTAGAGTAGGCCGCCCTGCCCGGGCTTTTTAAGAAACCCCAGCAACCCCCCCGGGTAAGGAGCGCCGCTCTCCCGCCCGCCGGTCCAGGGTGTGTGCGGTTTCCAGCACGGCCTCCTCCTTCGCCCCACTCTGGGTTCGCGGGTCGGCGCCGGCGGGGCGGGGCTCGGCAGGGCCACGCTGCCACGCCCAGCGTCTCCACCCCCTCATTTAAATACGCGGCGCCGGCGAGTGCGTCGAGCTCGCCGCGGACTCAAGATGGCGGCGTGTGGACGTGTACGGAGGATGTTCCGCTTGTCGGCGGCGCTGCATCTGCTGCTGCTATTCGCGGCCGGGGCCGAGAAACTCCCCGGCCAGGGCGTCCACAGCCAGGGCCAGGGTCCCGGGGCCAACTTTGTGTCCTTCGTAGGGCAGGCCGGAGGCGGCGGCCCGGCGGGTCAGCAGCTGCCCCAGCTGCCTCAGTCATCGCAGCTTCAGCAGCAACAGCAGCAGCAGCAACAGCAACAGCAGCCTCAGCCGCCGCAGCCGCCTTTCCCGGCGGGTGGGCCTCCGGCCCGGCGGGGAGGAGCGGGGGCTGGTGGGGGCTGGAAGCTGGCGGAGGAAGAGTCCTGCAGGGAGGACGTGACCCGCGTGTGCCCTAAGCACACCTGGAGCAACAACCTGGCGGTGCTCGAGTGCCTGCAGGATGTGAGGGAGGTGAGGAGGTGGGACGAAGCCGGGAGGGCCAGGCCTGGTGCGGGCCCGAGGGTGTTGCCGGCCTTGGAAGCCGCTGACGCCGGTCGGCTGCTTTCCTTGCTTCCTCTGTGCTGCACTCGCTCCTTCCCTCTTTGCTCCTCACTCCCAGGCGCTTTCAGGGAAAAGGATACCACTCCCACTCCTTCTTTCCCCCGCCCTTATTTCCCTCCCTGTTGCCGGGGTCTGGGACGAAAACCTGGGCTCCTGGCCGCAATCCGCCGAGGCCCAGAGCGTGTCTGTTCGCTCCTGTCTTTTGTGTGATGCTCTATGCAGAGTGTCTCCTCGCCGAAGATCAGTTTAGGATTTTGCCATCAGTTTCGACTAGGACAATTTGTGGCAAGCCATTTAAACATAAAAAAATGCCTGGCGTACTTAGGCTGTAAAGAATGATCTGTTTATTAGCAGTAGATGTAATTCGCAAATCCATATTTTTGGTGCTGAAATTAATGTATGCTTTGTTTTCTTCACTTCCTTTGGTCAGTTGTATTGAACCCCATGTTTAAGCTGTTAACTCCCAGTGACTTGGCGCCCCAAAGCTTGAAAAGTTGGGGAAGCGTTTGAAGCTGTGTTTGTGACTGGGTTATGGGATCTTGCCTTTCTGAGGTCTGAATGTGATTTTAACAGTATCTCTTAATGAAATCTACATTTGTCGTTGCTTGGTGTGATTCAGTTGAGTGACATTGATAATTTATAATCAAGTGACATTGATAATTTATAATCTAGGTTTAATGCTGCAGACCATAATGACAATTCTCAAAGTTTGGGAGCAAATCTGACAGTAGTAACTTTTTCCAGAGGTGTAGGTATATAAAATTAGCCCTAAAGGTGGACAAATAGAATGAAGCTACCACTTGATACTGTTTTTGGTTTTTTTTTTAAATATCAGATTTGTTTAAGGCGTTCAAGCTATAGCAAGACCACTTGCTTGTAGAAATTTGCTTCTCTTGGCATTTCCCCCCTTCATCTCGTGTTCTAGTATTCTATACAAAAGCAATTCAGATAGAGGAAAAGACATACATAAGCAGGAGACAGAAAGAAAGGAAGTTTCCAGAGCCCCTAGAAATGTGAGGCCTTACCTGACTTCTCATCTTCAGCTTAACGACTAGAGGGATAGTCCTCTGGTAGATACAGCTAATATTCCTAACTCTGTCGAACTTTTTGGAATTTTCTTTTCGCTCTTTGAGGACACATAATAGATGTCGTTTCATCAAACTAGGATCCTAATACTGGTGACCAAACAATTAGTAGTAGTTTGTGGTAGAAACAGCACATTATTAGGGAAAGTGGCAAAAAGTGGCCTATTCAAGGAGTGTATATATCCTTCATGTGTATTCCGGACATTTGGAAACCTCCACTTAAAGGAGGCAGTTTTATGCTCCAGAGGAGGAAAGGCGTCATATAAATTGGAAATGGGGGTTTTGGGGGGTTGGGGGGAGGTGGAGGGACCAAATTTCCAATTTAATGTTTTTTCCTCCAGTTTTTACATACAGAAATAATGAAGGAAGAGTACTGTGAACACCTATGTGTATTCTTCAGGAGGTGGAGTTATTTTTAAACTTCTTTTCTTTTTTTTGAGATGGAGTCTCACTCTGTCGCCAGGCTGGAGTGCAGTGGCTTGAACTTGGCTCACTGCAACCTCCACCTCCCGGCTTTAAGCAATTCTGCCTCAGCCACCTGAGTACCTGGGACTACAGGCGAGCGCCACCACGCCCAGCTAATTTTTGTATTTTTAGTAGAGACAGGGTTTCACCATGTTGGCCAGGATGGTCTCGATCTCCTGACCTTGTGATCTGCCAGCCTCGGGCTCCCAAAGTGCTGAGATTAGTGGTGTGAGCCACCACCCCCACCCTATTTTCTTTTTCTTTAAAGACAGCGAAAGGAAATTTCATTCTGCTTAGTCTGGGAGTTAATTAAATCTGATCTATGTGTTTGAAAGAGCATAACTTAAAGAAGTAAACTAGTTAGGCACATTTGAAGAAACATGTATAGAATATGTTTTGTATTTGCTGTTCAGTAAGTAGAACTATTTGATAGTGAAATAGATATATGTACTTTTCTGTCCCTTTGCATGCAAATGCAGGGAACATTTTCCTATCCGTACCCATTATTGGAATTATGAAAAGGCAGAGCATATGAGTACAGTTGTTCCTTGGTATCACTGGAGGATGGTTCCAGGCCTCCTGCAGATATTGAAATCCAAGGACGCTCAAGTACCTTATACCGTATAAAATGGTGTCGTATTTCCATATCATCTGTGCACACCCTTCCGAATTCTTGTCTTCTCTAAAATACTTGTGATACCTAGTACAGTGCCTACATATCAGTTCATTCATGTGGATTCACTGTAGTACTTGGCATATGTCAAACTTAACTTTTGCTTTTTGGAACCTTATGGAACTTTTCTTTCTGAAAAAAAATTTTTTATTATGGAGACAGGGTCTCGCTCTGTCATCCAGGCTGGAGTGCAGTGGTGCAGTCATAGCTCACTGCAGCCTCAGTCTTCTGGGTTTGAGAGTTCACTGAAGCCTCCACATTCCGGGTTCAAGTGATCTTCCCAGCTGGGCTTTCCAAAGTGCTGGGATTAGAGTTGTGAGCCACTGTGCCTGGCCTTGGGATTCTTTTTTTTTTTTTTTAACGCTCTCGGATGAGTCATGCTTTTAAAAAGGCCAAGTATATCATGGGTCCACTATGAAATAATAGATGTAATAGCCAGTAATGGTGTGTTAGTAGTCCTAGTTGTGTGTGTATAATTATTAGTAGTTCAAGTTATTTAAATAAAAACAAAAAATTAGAAAGTGTAAGGCAGAAAAGAAAAAATATTCCCTGGGCTGTTCTAGTAGGTGGAGTAATAATACCAAAGAAAGAGAAGATACTGTTGCTTAGTATGTGATAAGGAAGGCATGCTTGATGTTGTCAGTCATTTTAAAATACTTTACTTATTCTTGGTTGAAATGGCCAGTAGCACTTTTTTTTTTTCCACTAGTGTCTTGTATTTCGAAGTTTCAGATGGAGACCTTGGTTCCTTAGAAGTTTGTGGTGTTCAGCCGGGCGCAGTGGCTCACACTTGAAATCCTAGCCCTTTGGGAGGCTGAGGCAGGAGGATTGCTTGAGCTAGGAGTTCAGTACCAGCCTGGCAACATAGTGAGACACCGTCTCTAATAAAAAGTTTGTGATGTTCATAGATTAGATTTTCTTTTTTTTTTTTTTTTGAGACGGAGTCTTATTCTGTTGCCAGGCTGGAGTGCAGTGGTGTGATCTCGGCTCACTGCAACCTCTGACTCCCTGGTTCAAGCAGTTCTTCTGCCTCAGCGTCCCAAGTAGCTGGGATTACAGGCACGCACCACCTCGCCCAGCTAATTTTTGTATTTTTAGTAGAGACAGAGTTTCACCATGTTGGCCAGGATAGTCTTGATCTCCTGACCTCATGATCTGCCCACCTTGGTCTCCCAAAGTGCTGGGATTACAGTCATGAGCTATTGCGCCTGGCTGCTGCTGCTGCTGCTGCTGTTGTTGTTGTTGTTGTTGTTTGAGACGAAGTCTTGCCCTGTTGCTCAGGCTGGAGTGCAGTGGCACAATCTTGGCTCACTGCAACCTCTGCCTTCTGGGTTCAAGTGATTCTCCTGTCTCAGCCTCTTCATCACCTTGGCCAGGCTGGTCTTGAACTCCTCACCTTAGGTGATCTGCCTGCGTCGGCCTCCCAAACTGCTGGATTACAGGCATGAGCCATTGTGCGTGCCCCATAGATTTTCTTACACAGAAGTAGAGAGAATAGGGTAATGAGTCCCTGGGTATACATCACCCAGCTTCAACTGTTCCCACCCTTTTTTTTTTTTGAGAGACAGAGTCTCACTCTGTCACCCAGGCTGGAGTGCAGGGGCACGATCTTGGCTCACTGCAACCTCAGCCTCCCGAGTTCAAGCGATTTTCCTGCTTCAGCCTCCCAAGTAGCTGGGACTACAGGCATCCGCCACCACACCCGGCTAATTTTTGTATTTTTTAGTAGAGACAGGGTTTCACTATATTGGCCAGGCTAGTCTCGAACTCCTGACCTCGTGATCTGCCCGCCTCGGCCTCCCAAAGTGCTGGGATTACAGGCGTGAGTCACCGCGCCCAGCCCCGCCCTTTTATTTTTAGGGCACAGGGTTGGGAGGCTGGCATATTTAAAAGCAAATCCCAGATACTGTCATTTCAAATACTTCAAGCATGTCTGTGATAAATACTTTTTAAAAACTAGAAGGTTTTTTTTGTTTGTTTTTGTATTTAAATGTATAATCTTTCTTTTGCAAGTAATTCTGACACTAAAAAGAAAAACATAAAAAAATTCTTTCTTGCCACCTTTTCTTGATATATCAGTCTCAGATTATAAATTTGTAGCCATGCTCTAAGCTTTGCACAGAGTGAATGCTTTGTAAATATTTAAATAAACTAATTTAGGTATTGAACAGGAATTAACATTTCAGTGTTGCAAACCATAAACCCCCTTTTAGACTCATAGGTAAATATTTTTATACTCTGCTTTTAACCTTTCACTTAACTGTATACTTGAGATAGTGGACTACACCATCTCTATTGTCTCACTGTTGATAATGACTATCATTATCAATGATAATGATAATGAGGTGCTAGTGCTAGTGCTAGTGTTATTCTTTTAGCAGAGAAATAGGCTCAAAGAGCTAAAGTAAGTTGTCTGATGTTATATCCTAAGTGGTAGAGCTGGTGTTCAGGAAGTCCTTTTTGACTTAAAAGACCATACTCTTTCTAATGTACCATGGGTGGTTGTAGCTAAGGACATTAGTCTGTGACTGTTGAGAATGCCATAGGTTTATAAATGTATGCTAAATGGGACACAAGAACAACTGAGTTGTAACAGTGCATTGAAGTATTTGTAGATTTCTCAGGCAAATGCGTTATCACCCAACGCTAATTTAATTAGTCTGAGTGCATCATAAACCGAATTTCTGCTTTATGAAAAGAGTTTCAAATCCCAACTCACCTTAAGCAGGATTTGTACTAGAACACTGGAAGCATTTAGTTGTATTTCCTTGATATTTATATTGAATCCATGGAACATCACAAAAAGTGAACTGAGACTAGAGCTGTCAGTGCCATTAACTAACAAATGACTGTAAGCATTTTCTCTCTCTGCTTCCTGATGTGTTAAATGAGTAGTTGGGGTATACTTTTTTTTTTTTTTAATTTTAAGAGAGACAAGGTCTTGCCGGGTTGCCCAGGTTGGTCTCTAACTCCTGAGCTCAACCGACCCACCCTCCTCTGCCTCCCGGATGCTGAGGTTACAGGCGGAGCCACCACACCCTGCCCCTACAGTACGGTTTCTAAGATCTCTGCTGTCTAACTTATATGAGTCGTTTCCTGTATATATTCTCTGGGTATGTATATATTGTAAAGTTTCTAGGATTATATATGTACCAGTTCCTGATTCCATATTCATTCATGGAGGGAATCAGTGACAATGAATAATTCAAACAGCAATTAATCCAAACATTGTTTGGCTTTAGGATATATTATGATTGTTTTGTTTGAGCCAATATGGAATTTCCTCCTATGCTGTCTGTCTGGTTGGAAGCAATCTAACCACATAATCAAGTCATTATTGATCTTCTATTATACACCTATCATTGTGGAAGGACACTAGTACTTTAAGACACCACCATTGCTTACAGTTGGTTTGATAAGTGAGATTGTTGTGATCGAGAAGCGATTATATAAGAGTGTTAATCACTTGATGTCATACAGATAGTAAATTATTTTAGGGCAGTGTAATAAGACAAAATTAGGATTTAGATTTGGGTGGAACACAGCTCTGCTATTCTTAGCTTGAAATTTCTGTCACTGTTTTTTTTTGTTTTTTTTTTTTTTTTTTTTTTTGAGGTGGAATCTTTCTCAGTCGCCCAGATTGGAGTGCAATGGCGTATTCTTGGCTCACTGCAACCTCTGCCTCCTGGGTTCAAGTGATTTTTCTGCCTCAGCCTCCCGAGTAGCTGGGACTGCAGACATGCGCTACCACACCCGGCTAATTTTTGTATTTTTAGTAAAACGGGGGTTTCGCCACACTGGCCAGGCTGGTCTTGAACCTCTGACCTCAAGTGATCTGCCTGTCTTGGCCTCCCAAAGTGCTAGGATTACAGGTGTAAACCAGTGCACCCGGCCTCTTTTCTTAAGCAAGGACTGTCTACTTTAGCTTTGTCCTTGTTCTTTTTTTTCTTTGAAAGTCTTACTCTATCTCCCAGGCTGGCTGGAGTGCAGTGGCATGATCATGGCTCACTGCAACCTCAAACTCCTGGGCTCAAGCTCTCCTCCCACTTCAGCCTCCCGAGTAGCTGGGACTATAGGTACACAACACCACTTAGCCTTGTTCTAAGCGGAAATATACGTGAACTCATGAATTTGATGTGGTAGGTATACTTCTCTAATATATATGAAACTAAATATATGACTATAAAATATAAGTACCAACACATACCACCTGAAATCATCTTGCATATTACCAATAGCACATGCTTCAGAAAGCACTAACACTGGATTATCTTTCTCTGTTGTTTTTTTGTTTTGTTTTGCTTTTGGTTAAGACGGAGTCTCGCACTGTCACCCAGGCTGGAGTGCAGTGGCGCGATCTCACCTCACTGCAACCTTTGTCTCCTGTATTCAAGCGATTCTCCTGGCTCCACCTCTCTAGTAGCAGGGATTACAGGCACCAGCCACCATGCCTGGCTAATTTTTTTTTTGTTTTTTTTTTGAGACAGAGTCTAGCTCTGTCACCCAGGCTGGAGTGCAGTGGCGCGATCTCGGCTCACTGCAAGCTCTACCTCCCGGGTTCACGCCATTCTCCTGCCTCAGCCTCCCGAGTAGCTGGGACTACAGGCGCCCACCACCATGCCCGGCTAATTTTTTGCATTTTTAGTAGAGACGGGGTTTCACCATGTTGGCCAGGATGGTCTCGATCTCCTGACCTCGTGATCTGCCCACCTCGGCCTCCGAAAGTGCTGAGATGACAGGCGTGAGCCACTGTGTCCGGCCGAGGCTTGGCTAATTTTTGTATTTTTAGTAGAGACGGGTTTTCACCATGTTGGCCAGGCTGGTCTTGAACTCCTGACCTCAGGTAATCCCACCCGCCTTGGCCTCCCAAAGTGGTGGGATTACAGGCGTGAGCCACCGCTCCTGGCCTTGGATTATCTCTTAAGATTCTTCCAGCTCCGGTGCTTTGTGATTTTGTGATCTGTGGGAATACAAAACGTGTGCAAGAGAGTCGTAGCACAGGTGGAAAGGGGAGATGCTTTGGGGAATTATTAAAGGGGCTGTATTGACCGAAATAGAGAACTTGAAAATGTTTTCAGTCCAGGTCATGAAGGGTCGTATATTCACCTCTAGCTGGTTCTCCAAGTAAAGTCCAGAAATGGGATGTTTTTATCCCTACCTCAGATAAAAATATTACAGCAGATAATTGAGAATTACCTGTAAAGTAGCATTGTCGTTTATGGCAAATACTTTTTAAGAAATCTCTTGATGAGAATGCTTTACAGTATATAGTTGCTTAATAATTCATTGTTCTGTAGAAGGAAATAAAATACTTGAACAGTCCAAAAGATGAAATGCTGTATTTCTCTTTTGTGCATTTCTCCTAATGTGTTCAAAACAAATTTACTCAGGAACAATAACAAAAATCTCCTCTTTATATAAGTTATATATATATATATTTATATATTTGTTGTTGTTGTTTTGAGGTGGAGTTTCGCTCTTGCTCAGGCTGGAGTGAAGTGGAATGATCTCGACTCACTGCAACCTCCACCTCTCGGGTTCAAGCCATTCTCCTGCCTCAGCCTCCCGAGTAGCTGGGATTATAGGCACTTGCCAGCACACCCGGCTAATTTTTGTAGAGACGAGGTTTCACCATGTTGACCAGGGTGGTCTCAAACTCCTGACCTCAGGCAATCCACCCACCTCAGTCTCCCAAAGTGTTGGGATTACAGACGTGAGCCACCGCGCCCGGCCTTATTTATATATTTTTAAAAGCAGCAGTTAAAATGGCTTATAGGCTATCATGTAAATTAATTTTTCTTCTTTCTTTTTTCTTTTTTTTTTTGAGATGGAGTCTCATTCTGTCACCAAGCTAGAGTGCAGTGGCGCGATCTCGGCTCACTGCAACCTCCACCTCCTGGGTTCAAGTGATTCTCCTTCCTCAGCCTCCCGAGTAGCTGGGACTACAGGCGCCCGCCACCACGCCCGGCTAATTTTTTGTATTTTTAGTAGAGACGGGGTTTCACCATGTTGGCCAGGATGGTCTTGATCTCTTGACCTCGTGATCCGCCCGCCTTGGCCTCCCAAAGTGCTGGGATTACAGGCGTGAGCCACCGCGCCCGACCAATTTTTCTTCTTTCAGCAAACATTTATTGAAACCTGTGTGCAAGACACTGCTCAGTGTTCAAGTATACTACTGCTACTTATAATGGTTAGCATTTACTGAGGGTTTTCTGTGTGCCCTGTTCTGAGGGACTGGATGCTTTCTAGGCGTTATCTCATTTAATCTTATGAGAGATGTTTTATTATTATCATTCTTATTGATTTTGTTTGTTTGATTTTGTTTTCGAGACAGAGTCTTGCTCTTGACGCCCAGGCTGGAGTGCAGTGGTGTGATCTCAGCTCACTGTAATCTCTGGCTCCCGGGTTCAAGCGATTCTCCTGCCTCAGCCTCATGAGTAGCTAGGACTACAGGTACACACCACCATGTCCAGCTTTTTTTTTTTTTTTTTTGAGGCAGTCTCACTTTGTCACCCAGGCTGGAGTGCAGTGGTGCGATCTCAGCTCACTGCAAGCTCCACCTCCCGGGTTCACGCCATTCTCCTGCTTCAGCCTCCCGAGTAGCTGGGACTACAGGCGCCCGCCACCATGCCCGGCTAATTTTTTGTATTTTTTAGTAGAGATGGGATTTCACTGTGTTAGTCAGGATGGTCTCAATCTCCTGACCTCGTTATCCGCCAGCTTCGGCCTCCCAAAGTGTTGGGATTACAGGCGTGAGCCACTGCGCCCGGCTAATTTTTGTTTTTTTAGTAGAGGCAGGATTTCGCCATGTTGGCTATGCTGGTCTTGAACTCCTGACCTCAGGTGATCTGCTTGCACCACCATCTATCACCGGAGCTTTTTTTTTCTTTTTTCTTTCTTTTTTTTTTTTTTTGAGATGGAGTCTCACTCTGTCATCCAGGCTGGAGGGCAGTGGCATGATGTCAGCTCACTGCAACCTCAGCCTCCCTGGTTCAAGCGATTCTCCTGCCTCAGCCTCCTGAGTAGCTGGGACTATAGGCGCACCCCACCACGCCCAGGTAATTTTTGTATTTTTACTAGAGACGGGGTTTCGCCATGTTGGACATGCTGGTCTTGATCTCTTGACCTGGTGATCCTCCCGCCTCGGCCTCCCAAAGTGCTGGGATTACAGGCGTGAGCCACTGTGCCTGGTGAGTTTTGTTTTGGGTTTTTTTTTTGTTTGTTTGAGACGAGGTCTCACTCTCTTGCCCAGGCTGCAGTGCAGTGGCATGATCATGATTCACTGCAGCCTCTGCCTCCCGAGCACGAGTGATCATCCCACCTCAGCCTCCTGAGTATCTCCTCCTTAGTAGTAACCATACTCGGTTAATTTTAAAAGTTGTTTTTTTTTGTAGAGATGAGGTCTCACTCTGTTGTCCAGGCTGGTCTCCAACTCCTGAGTTCAAGCAGTCCTCCTGCCTTGGCCTCCCAGAGTGCTGGAATTATAGGCATGTGCCACTGTACCCAGCCTATTACATCCTATTATTTTTAGTGAGAAAACTGATTCTAAATAGCTTGCCTCAGGGCTTGTAAGTAGTGGAATCAAGATTTGAAAACAAGTCAGTCCAGCTGTGTGATAGCTCATTTTCCCCCCTGTCCCTAAAGCATAAGTAACCTAGGACTGCACTGTCTACTGTGGTAGTCATCAGCCACGTGCAGCTAGTGAACAGTTGAAACATGGCCTGTTTGAATTGAGATGTGCTGTAAGTATAAAATACACATTTGATTTTGAAGATTTAGTACCAAAAGGATGCATAATATCACAATAATTTTTTTTTTGAGGTGGAGTCTCTTGTGGCCCAGGCTGGAGTGCAATGGCACGATCTTGGCTCACTGCAACCTCTGCCTCCCGAGTTCAAGCAATTCTCCTGCCTCAGCTTCCCGAGTAGCTGGGTTTACAGGCACACGCCACCACTTCTGGCTAATTTTTGTATTTTTAGTAGAGAAGGGGTTTGACCATGTTGGCCAGGCTTGTCTCGAACTGCTGACCTCAGGTGATCCACCTGCCTTAGCCCCCCAAAGTGCTGGGATTACAGGCATTAGCAACCACGCCCAGCCCACAATAAATTTTTTTTCTTTTTTTGAGACAGAGTCTCGCTCTGTTGCCCAGGCTGGAGGGCAGTGGCATGATCTCAAAATGTGTACACTTTGAAGGGGTAAATCCTCTGGGTAAAGGAATTAAGTTCTGCCAAATTTGGAATACTGCCTATCAAAGGAAAACTCCACTTTCACGTATAAGGGGCAACCTCTGCCTCTCAGGTTCGAGCAATTCTCCTGCCTCAGCCTCCCGAGTGGCTGCGACTATGGGCATGTGGCACCATGGCTGGCAAATTTTATATTTTTAATAGAGATGGGGTTTCGCCATGTTGGCCAGGCTGATCTCGAACTCCTGACCTCAGGTGATCCACCCGCCTTGGCCTCCCAAAGTGCTGGGATTACAAGCGTGAGCCACTGTACCTGGCCCAATAATTTTTATATTGTTTATGTCTTAAAAAAAATTTCGATATATTGGGTTAAATAATAAATTACAAAATCAATTTTACTTTTTAAAAATAAATGACTACTAGAAAACATAAAATTATGTATGTGTCTCACATACTTATGAATAGCACTGATCTAGAAGAAAAAGATATCTTTACTGAAAACCATAATACAAGTTTTAAAGTAATAAGTGTCATAAGAGAAGAATAAATTAAATGCTGTAGGCGTACAGTACAGGAAATGGTTGGGAGAATCAGAAAAAAAAGCCCTTCAGTACTTTCTTTTTTGAGACGGAGTCTTGCTCTGTCGCCCAGGCGGGAGTGCAGTGGCGCGATCTTGGCTCACTGCAAGCTCTGCCTCCTGGGTTCATGCCATTCTCCTGCCTCAGCCTCCAGAGTAGCTGGGACTACAGGCGCCCGCCACCACGACCGGCTAATTTTTTGTATGTTTAGTAGAGACCAGGTTTCAACGTGTTAGCCAGGATGGTCTCGATCTCCTGACCTTGTGATCTGCCTGCCTCGGCCTCCCAAAGTGCTGGGATTACAGGCGTGAGCCACCACACCCAGAGCCCTTCAGTACTTTTAATTCTTCTTAAATTGGTGGTTCATGTTAATTAAATTATTATTATTTTTTTTTGAGACGGATTCTTGCTCTGTTGCCCAGGCTAGATTGCAGTGGCGCGATCTCCGCTCACTGCAAGCTCCGCCTCCCGGGTTCATGCCGTTCTCCTGCCTCAGCCTCCTGAGTAGCTGGGACTACAGGCGTCTGCCACCACGCCGAGCTAATTTTTTGTATTTTTAGTAGAGACGAGGTTTCACTGTGTTAGCCAGGATGGTCTTGATCTCCTGACCTCGTGATCTGCCCACCTCTGCCTCCCAAAGTGTTGGGATTACAGGCGTGAGCCACCGCGCCGGCCTTAAATCAACATGGTTTGATTTGATAGGCAGTATTCCAAATTTGGCAGAACTTAATTCCTTTACCCAGAGGATTTACCCCTTCAAAGTGTACACATTTTGAGATCGTGCCACTGCCCTCCAGCCTGGGCAACAGAGTGAGAGTCTGTCTCAAAAACAAAACAAAACAAAAGCCTCCTAATCTTGTTCATGAGTAGATTTCATCTTCCGAATGCCTAATTTATGAGTTGTAAGGGGTGCTTTAGCTCCTTCCACTTGAGAACAATACTCTGATAAAACTGGAGGTCAGTTAGTGACTCATCTTATTTTGGTTGCCTTAGATAGATTTGAAACTTAAGAAAAGATCCTAAGTGATGGTCCTCAGAACTGTGCCAGTACTACCCTTTGTATCTGCATTAAAATAGAGTGTGAAGGAACAAGGAGTGTGGACTGGAATCTAAAAACAATGACTTAAGAGAACCAGGCATCTGTAGTCATTCAGCTTTAATAATTTTACTGAAATCAGAAAGTTTTGTTTGACTGAATGTGTGATATTTACAGGACCTGTACATTTTCCTATTAAAGGCTTGAATAACACCTATAATTCTTGATAGGGTGAATCATATTAAAAATGGGTGCTGACTTGAATCCTGGATCTATACACTTGTAAAATAAAACAAATTCTTAAAATAATTTTGTGTTTCTTTAAAAAATAAATGTGATAGGCTGGGCGCAGTGGCTCACACCTGTAATCCTAGCACTTTGGGAGGCTGAGGTGGGCAGATCACCTGAGGTCAGGGGTTCGAGACCAGCCTAGCTAACATGTCGAAATCCCGTCTCTCCTACCAATAAAAAAATTAGCCAGACATGGTGGCGCATGCCTGTAACCCCAGCTACTCAGGAGGGTGAGGCAGGAGAATTGCTTGAACCTGGGAGGCGGAGGTTGCAGTGAGCCAAGATCGTGCCATTGCACTCTAGCCTGGGCAACAGTGAGACTCTGTCTCAAAAAAATGACAACAAGAAAAAAATAAAAATGTTATACTTATTTAAAATCATAAGAATGATAAACAATGAAGTGAAATGGTAGATGAGTAAAATTAACCAGGAGAATAGGAATGTAAGTTCTACATCAATTGAAATACAAGTTTTAAACAAATGACAGCAAAAGAAATTATGTTAAAAATGCTCTGGTACCTGGCCAGGTGTGGTGGCTCACACCTGTAATCCCAGCACTTTGCGAGGCCGAGGCGGGCAGATCACCTGAGGTCAGGAGTTTGAGACCAGCCTGGCCAACGTGGTGAAACCCTGTCTCTACTAAAAATACAAAAATTAGCCAGGCATGGTCACACATGCCTGTAATCCCAGCTACTCAGGAGGCTGAGGCAGGAGAATCGCTTGAACCTGGGAGGTGGAGGTTGCAGTGAGCGGAGATCGCGTTATTGCACTCCAGCCTGGGTGACAAGAGTGAAATTCTGTCTCCAAAAAAAAAAAAAAAAAAAAGCTCTGGTACTTCACTTGTAATTTAGGTGTAAACTATAAAGACTGCCCTGCAAGTCATTTAACAGAACTCTCAAAATTCTTGCACTGGCCATATCAGCTCTGTAATGTGATAAATAGCATGAAGTGGACAGTAACTTCAACGATGCAGAAAGGGGTGTAATGGAGAATTTTAATCATTGACAAACGTAATGCCATCTGTTAATTAGTGCCATTGTCTGAGTCCATTTTGTGTTGCTATAACAGAATACCCAAGACTGGGTAATATATAAAGGAATATTTATTTGGCTCATGGTTCTGGAGGTTGGGAAGTCCAAGATTGAGAGGCCATATCTGGTGAGGGCCAGCTTGCTGCATCATCCCATGGCAGAATGTGGAAGGGCAAGAGAATGCAAGAGGGAGGGCGGGCTTGCACAAGGAATGTGCAGAACTCATCCTTTTATCAGAACCCCACTCCCAGGATCACGGAGATAAGGGCATTAATCCATTCATGAGACCAGTGCTCTCATGACCTAGTGAGCTCTTAAAGGTCCCATCTCTCAACACTTGTATTGGGGATTAAGTTTCCAACACATGAACTTTGGGGGACATATTCAAACGATAGCAGCCATTTGCTGAGGACACACCTATTATATATGAAATAAAATAAGAAGAGAGAAGGTCCTATAGTCATGTGAAGCTTGTGATGAGAGGAAAAGCATTGTGGTAAATGGAAAAATAGAATGGGCTTTGGAGCTGCAGTCCTGGATTCAAACCCTAGCTCACTTACCAGTTATTATGATGTTGGGCAAATTAATCTCTCAGACCTCCAGTTTTCTTATTTATAAATGGTCTTCCCTTTCCCCTTTGTTGTTATAGGTGAGATCATTCGAGATAATGCTTTTTGTTCGCTGCCTTAAGAGAAGTGTGAAATAAACTGGAATGCTTCACACCCTTTATATAATCCTTCCAGAGCTTCTTCCATAAAGCTTTGGAATAAGGTCAAGAACATTTATATAAACAGTCCGGGTGCAGTGGCTCTCAGCACTTGGGGAGGCCAAGGCGGGTGGATCACCTGATGTCAGGAATTCAAGAACAGCCTGGGCAACATGGGGGAAACCCTGTCTCTACTAAAAATACAAAAATCAGCAAGGTGTGGTGGCATGTGCCTATAATCCCAGCTACTCAGGAGGCTGAGGCAGGAGAATCGCTTGAACCCAGGAGGTGGAGTTTGCAGTGAGCCAAGATCGCTCTATTGCACTCCAACCTGGATGACAGAGCAAGACTCCATCTCAATCAATCAATCAATCAGTGAATAAATTACAGAAGGCCAGGCACAGTGGCCCACAGCCCAGCACTTTAGGCGGCCAAGGTGGCAGATTGCATAAGCCAGAGGTTTGAGACCAGTTTGGCAATACGGTGAGAGCCCAACTCTACATACATACATATATGCATGGTATTTAAATGTGTACACTATGAAGGGGTAAATCCTCTGGGTAAAGGAATTATGTTCTGCCAAATTTGGAATACTGCCTATCAAAGGAAAACTCTGCTCCCACGTATAAGGGGAAAAAGAATAGTTCAGAAGACTGCTTTTTTTCCCTGTATAAAACCAGATAAATTCAAAAATTACTGAAATTTTTCTGAAAGATGGTGACTTTTCAGAGGGAAAATAATATGTAAGGCCTTTTGCTCTCATATTTCCCAGGTTGGAACATTTCTCTGGCCTGTGAAACAGTCTGTGATACTAAGATATAAATACTAAACTTAGCCATACGTTAAGGACAGCGCAAAAAATTTTTGGTTTGTAAGTCTTCTTTTTTTTTCGAGACAGAGTCTTGCTCTGTCTCCCAGGCTGGAGTGCAGTGGTGCGATTTCGGCTCACTGCAAGCTCCGCCTCCCGGGTTCAGGCCATTCTCCTGCCTCAGCCTCCCACGTAGCTGGGACTACGGGCACCCGCCACCACGCAGAGCTATTTTTTTGTATTTTTAGTAGAGATGGGATTTCACCGTGTTAGCCAGGATGGTTTCGATCTCCTGACCTTGTGATCCACCTGCCTCAGCCTCCCAAAGTGCTGGGATTACAGGCGTGAGCCACCGTGCCAGGCCTTTATTTTTTTTTTTTGAGATGGAGTCTTGCTTTGTCACCCAGGCTGGAGTGCAGTGGCACGATGTTGGCTCACGGCAGCCTCCGCCTCCCGGGTTCAAGTGATTCTTCTGCGTCAGCCTCCTGAGTAGCTGGGACTACAGGTGCATGCCAAGACACCCAGCTAATTTTTGTATTTTTAGTAGAGACGGGGTTTCACCGTGTTGGCTAGGCTGGTCTCAAACTCCTGACCTCGTGATCCGCCCACCTTGGCCTCCCAAAGTGCTGGGATTACAGGTGTGAGCCACGGCATCCGGCCCTGTAAGTCTTCTTTCAGAAGTAACTAGGCAGCAGAGTTTTGAAATAGTTGAAAATCCACAACTTCATTTTCATATTTTTATATTTTAATTTTTTTTTTTTTTAACAAGAAAGGCCCTCCTTTGACACAATTTCATTTTAAAACTCTGAGTTTGGTAGGTTTGTTAGAACCTGACTTATGTGTATTGATAGCAGCTTTTAGTGTGTCTGGTGGTGGTGATGCTTTCCTTTTTTTTTTTCTTTTTTTTTTTTTTTTGAGACAGTTTCACTCTTGTTGCCCAGGCTGGAGTACAGTGGTGTGATCACGGCTCACTGCAGCCTCTGCCTCCCAGGTTCAAGTGATTCTCCTGCCTCAGCCTCCTGAGTAGCTGGGATTACAAGCATGTGGTGTCACCACGCCCGGCTAATTTCTTTTTTTTTTTTTTTTTTTGGAGACGGAGTCTCACTCAGTTGCCCAGGCTGGAGTGCAGTGGTGTAATCTCGGCTCACTGGAAGCTCCGCCTCCTGGATTCACGCCATTCTCCTGCCTCAGCCTTCTGAGTAGCTGGGACTACAGGCGCCCGCCACTACGCCTGGCTATTTTTTTTTGTATTTTTAGTAGAGACGGGGTTTCTCCATGTTGGTCAGGCTGGTCTCGAACTCCTGACTTCAGGTGATCCGCCTGCTTCGGCCTCCCAGAGTGCTGGGATTACAGGCGTGAGCCATGGCACCTGGCCTGAAACTTCTTATAATGGTAAAAAAAGAAAAATTATCGGCTAGGCACGGTGGCTCACGCTTGTAATCCCAGTATTTTGGGAGGCCGAGGTGGGCGGATCACGAGATCAGGAGATCAAGACCATCCTGGCTAACATGGTGAAATCCTGTCTCTACTAAAAAATACAAAAAACTTAGGTGGGTGTGGTGGCGTGCGCCTGTAGTCCCTACTACTTGGAAGGCTGAGGCAGGAGAATGGCATGAACCCTGGAGGCGGAGCTTGCAGAGATCGTGTCACTGCACTCCATCCAGCCTGGGCTACAGAGCTAGACTCCATCTCAAAAAAACAACAACAACAACAAAAGTGAAGTTTCAAGAATTTGTACTATCGGTATATTTTTATTATTTATTTATTTATTTATGAAACAGAATCTCACTCTGTCACCTAGGCTGGAGTGCATTGGCTGGATTTCAGCTCACTGCAACCTCTGCTTCCCGTGTTCAAGCAATTCTCCTGCCTCAGCCTCCTGAGCAGCTGGGACCACAGGCGTGTACCACCGTGCTCGGCCAAGAATTTTTACTATTGGTATACTTTCCTTTTCAACTTGAGAGTATATGTGAAATAGGAGAAATTAGAGCACTGAAAGCAGAAGTCAGAAGACATTGTTGTGTTTCCCTTCCTCTTGTGGAAATTCCCATTCTTTAGCCCAGATTCTCAGCCTGCTTGCCTCTGCTTCGCACTGGCTCCATACACATCTTGCTGCCCCACACCCGCAAATAAATAGTGTAGTGGTGTGGGCTTTTGGAGAGTACAGAGTTACAGCTTCAGAGTTTACAGGGCTTATATGTAAGTGTTATTTTTGGGAAAATATTTTATATCAGTGGTTTGGGAATTTGCTGCACCAAAATATTTCCCAGTGCCCTTCCCTCAGCACAGCCCGCTGCTTCTCTTCCCCTGCCAGCTAGGTCTGCTTTAGGCATTGTTTTCTTCCTTCATTTTTGTTAGATTGAATGAACTATAAGAAATTACCAATATTTCATCATATTTGACTTATAAAAACATTTTCATATGGTTTAACATAATTGTTCTTTTTTTTTTTTTGAGACAGAGAGTTTCACTCTTTCACCCAGGCTGGAGTGCAGTGGCGCAATCTTGGCTCACTGCAACCTCTGCCTCCTGGGTTCAAGTGATTCTCCTGCCTCAGCCTCTCGAGTAGCTGGGATTACAGGTGCACGCCACCACGCCCGTCTAATTTTTTGTTGTTGTTGTTGTTCTTTTTGTAGAGACGGGGTTTCACCATGTTGGCCAGGCTGGTCTCGAACTCCTGACTTGAAGTTATCCACCCCCCTCAGCCTCCCAAAGTGCTGGCATTACAAGCATGAGCCACCATGCCCGGCCACTCACCAAATACATTTGATTTAAAAAAAAAAAAGGATATTGGTCTAACAACCTTTTCCCTATTTGATTATTCTTAGTCAAGTTGCTATTTAGCTTTCAGTTTATGGAACCCTTTTAATCTTATTTGTAGCTCTTGATAACCATGTGTGGTAGATATGACAGATATGAGACTTATTTTACAGGTGAAAAACCACGAATCAGATAGATTTTTATTTGCCCAAGTCACATAATGTTAAGAACAGGCCAAGTGTGGTGGCTCATGTCTGTAATCCGAGCACTTTGGGAGGCTAAGGCGGGTGGATTTCCTGAGCCTAGGAGTTTGAGATCAGCCTGGGCAACATGGCGAAACCTCATCTCTACAAAACATACAAAAATTAGTCAGTGTGGTGGTGAGAGCCTGTAGTCCTGGCTACTTGTGAGGCTGAGGTGGGAGCATCACCTGAGCCTGGGAAGTCGAGGCTGCAGTGGCAACAGAATGGGTAACCTGGACATCAGAGTGAGACCCTGTCTCAAAAAAAAAGAAAGAAAGAAACAGAGCTTAAATTCAAATCCAAAAAGCTTAAATTCAAATCTTTTAAAATTCAAAGCCTCTGTCTTTCCATGTTACCACATTGCTTCTCTGTTATTTTTCACATTTACATAGATAACATATTTTCATGCTATTTTTTTTATATTTTTATGCCCCTACCATTTTTATTTAAATCCATCAACAAATATTTGATCACATACTATTTGCCCACTATTTCTTCAGACAGTTTTTTTGTCCCTCTTTCTCTCCTGGGCTCTAATCTTATGTAGGTTAAATTGATTGCTATTGTCCCACAAGTGGGCTCTGTTTTTAATCCCCCCACCAACGCTCCCCCTGTTTTTTTTCTCTCTGTGTTTCATTTTGGATAATTGCTATTGCTGATCTTCAGGTTCACTGATGTTTTCTTTTGTAGTTTTCAGTCAGCTATTAATACCATCCAGTGAATTTGTATTTTAAGTATATTTCACCTATAGACGTTTGATTTGGGTGTTTTATTTATATATTCGATTATCCATTATGTTCATGTTTTTCTTTACACCCTTTAGTGTACTTGCAATAGCTGTTTTTTTCTTTTTTGAAGCGGAGTCTCACTGTGTCGCCAGGCTGGAGTGCAGTGGTGTAGTCTCAGCTCACTGCAACCTCCGCCTCCCAGGTTCAAGTGATTCTCCTGCCTCAGCCTCCGGACTACAGGCACGTGCCACAATGCCCAGCTAATTTTTGTATTTTTAGTGGAGACGGGGTTTCACTGTGTTGGCCAGGATGGTCTTGATCTCTTGACCTCGTGATCGCCCACTTCGGCCTCCCGAAATGCTGGGATTACAGGCGTGAGCCACCGTGCCCAGCCGTAATAGCTGTTTGAGGTCCTCATGTGCTAATTCCATCATGTCTGTCATTTCTTGATCTTTTTCTATTGATTAAGTTTTGTTATTAGTCATATTCCTGCTTTACAAGTGTGGTAATTGTTTATTAGATTCAAGGGGATCCCTCCACAAATCTCCTGTGACCATTCTCAGTACAGAACTCTTTATTCTCACTCTTTCTTGGTTCCACTATTCAAATCTTTCAAATTCTAGCTGCTTTAGATACCCTAAAGTTTAATTTCTCTCCTCTTTTCAGCAAGACTATCCAATTCTGTTTGGGTTCCCTCTCCCTGTGTTGCAGCCGGGAAGCCACTTCCATACAGTAAGCTAGGTAATCATCGGCTCACCTGGTTTGTTGCCTTCTCTCAGGGATCATAGTTAATGCTGCCTGTTGTCCAGTGACTGAAGGTTACGTCATATATTGTGTCTCGTTCACAATGGGAGTAAGGGAGATAGTTTCCATAGTAGTTAATCCTCATGAGTGGAAGTAGAAATCATTACTTCTTGGATTTTAACTTCTGACATATTAAATGTGGGAAGGAATGGGGAGAATTTGTTAGAAAGAGAGATTAATGAGGCCAGGTGCGGTGGCTCACGCCTATAATCTCAGCACTTTGGTAGGCTGAGGCAGGCAGATCACCTGAGGTCAGGAGTTGAGACCAGACTGACGAACATGGTGAAACCCCATCTCTACTGATAATACAAAAATTAGCAGGGTGTGGTGGTGGGAGGCTGTAATCCCAGCTACTTGGTAGGCTGAGGCAGAATTGCTTGAACCCAGGAAGTGGAGGTTGCAGTTAGCTGAGATCACGCCACTGCACTCTAGCCTGGGCAACAATAGCGAGACTACATTTCAAAAAAAAAAAAATTAGAATTACAAATGTGTGTGTATTTTGATCCAAAGTTCTGACTTTATTAAAACAAAAAAATTAGCCAGGCGTGGTGGCAGGCTCCTGTAGTCCCAGCTGCTCTGGAGGCTGAGGTGAGAGGATTGTTTGAGCTGAGGAGATTGAGGCTGCAGTGAGTTATGATTGTGCCACTGCACTCCAGCTTGGGTGACAGAGCGAGACCCTGTCTCAAAAAAAAAATTATCTTTCCATTGCCCAATGGAAAAATATTTAAGCATGATATAATTTCATTGTGTGTCAAGGTGGTCAACTTGTCTTGTAATTGAGTTGAGCTAATAATAAGCCCTTTACCAGTGTACAAGATAAAAGATTTCCTTTCAGTTCATGTGCTAATTAGGACAAAACTAACTTCCATAAAAAACCCAAAAATATCAGTGGTTGAACACAAGAGAAGTTGTGGGGGACTGTGATGCAGTCATCTGGTGATCCAGAGACCCAGGTTCCTTTTATCTTGTGGTTCCATTCGTTTCCTAGGGCCTTGCCTTTGTTTTTGTTTTTGTTTTTTTCCTTATCAGCTCTTTCTAACTCATTGAGATGAAATTCACTTACCATAGGATTCACCCTGTTTACCACCTGTTCTTGTTTTTTTTTTTTTTTTCCGATACAGAGTCTTGCTCTGTTGTCCAGGCTAGAGTGCAGTGGTGTGATCTCGGCTCACTACAGCCTTTGCCTCCCGAGTTCAAGCAGTTCTCCTGCTTCGGCCCCCCAAGTAGCTGGGATTACAGGCACCCGCCACTACACCTGGCTAATTTTTGTATTTTCAGTAGGAACAGGGTTTTATCATAATGGCCAGGCTGGTCTTGAACTCCTGACCTCAAGTGGTCTACCCACCTTGGCCTCCCAAAGTGTTGAGATTACAGGCATGAGCCACCTCATCCGGCCAAATCTTACTTTAGATAACTAAACTTTATTTGTCATAATTTTACTTAGAGGCCTTTTTTTTTTTTTTTTTTGAGACGGAGTCTCAGGCTCTGTCACCCAGGCTGGAGTACAGTAGCGTGATCTTGGCTCACTGCAAGCTCTGCCTCCTGAGTTCACGCCATTCTCCTGCCTCAGCCTCCTGAGTAGCTGGGACTACAGGCGCACACTACCATGCCCGGCTAATTTTTTTTGTAGTTTTAGTACAGACGAGGTTTCACCCTGTTAGCCAGGATGGTCTCAATCTCATGACCTCATGATCCGCCCATCTCAGCTTCCCAAAGTGCTGGGATTATAGGCGTGAGCCACCAGGCCCGGCCTCTTTTTTGTTTTTTTGAGACAGAGTCTCGCTCTGTTGCCCAGGCTGCAGTGCACTGCTGTAATCTCAGATCACTGCAGCCTCCACCTCCTGGGTTCAAGTGATTCTCGTGCCTCAGTCTCCCGAGTAGCTGGGACTACAGGTGTGTGCCACCACGCCCAGGTAATTTTTTGTATTTTTAGTAGAGATGGGGTTTCACCATGTTGGCCAGACCAGTCTTGAACTCCTGAGCTCAGGTGATCTGCCTGCCTTGGCCTTCCACAGTGCTGGGATTACAGACATGAGTCACTCACTGTGCCTGGTCAATTTTACTTAGAGTTTTTGAATCTGCGATTTAAAGATAGGGTTTTAAAAATTTTTTTTATTTCAATAGATTTTTGGGGAACATGTGGTGTTTGGTTACATGAATAAGTTCTTTCTTTAGTGGTGATTTCTGAGATTTTGGTCCACCCATTACTCGAGCATTGTACACTGTACCCAGTGTGTAGGGGTTTTTTTGTTGTTTGTTTGTTTTTACAAGTCTCGCTCTGTCGCCAGGCTGGAGTGCAGTGGCACAATCTCAGCTCACTGCAACCTCTGCCTCCCAGATTCAATAGATTCTCCTGCCTCAGCCTCCCAAGTAGCTGGGACTACAGGCGCGCACCACCACACCCAGCTAATTTTTGTATTTTTAGTAGAGATGGGGTTTCATCATGTTGGCCAGGGTAGTCTCGATCTCTTGACCTTGTGACCACCCGCCTCAGCCTCCCGAAGTGCTGGGATTACAGGTGTGAGCCACCGTGCCCAGCCCCCAGTGTGTGGTTTTTTTATTCCTCAACCGCTTCCCACCCTCTACCCCAAGTCCCCAGAGTTCATTATATCATTCTTATGCCTTTGCCTCTTCATAGCTTACTTAGCTCCCTAGGATTTAAGGATAGGTTTCTAAAGTGAAACTGAAACTAATTGGTAAGAGTGTTATAAATAATATTAATCATGCTTTGTAAGAAAGATACCCTAAGAGATGGTTTATAAATGTATTGCTAACAAAACTTCGTTAATTAATGTTAGGCATTTATGATGCAATTAATAGTAACATTTCCAAGTTCATATTATTGTCTGCAAGGAGAATAAAGGAGAGTCAAAGAAAACAGTCAATGTTTTTCGAAGCCGTGCATGGCTAGTGGGAAGGGTCCTGAGCAGCTGGCATTACTGTTCTTGTCAAAGCTGGCTGTCTATTGAAATGTCTATATTAACTTAGTTTTGTTTTCGGGGGAACTAGGAGGTCTATAAACATTCTTGGGTAGGAGAATGTCATGATGAAATAGTTAAGGAAATTACTCGGGGCACTATGAATTGAAGTGAGGAAAATTGAAGGCGCTGAGAAAGCTGCTGTTACAATGAGACCTCAAAACAGACTTGGGCCAAAGGAGACTAGTAGCAAAGGAGATAGAAGTGGGATTGATGGGGACTTCTTACCTAGGAAAAATTTACAGTGCTTTTGTTCATTCGTTTGACAAATTTTGGGTAAATATTATTTACTGTGTGCCAGCACCTTAATTGTAGGTGCTGGGAATGTGGTGATGATGATACCCTCAGCTCCCCCTTCTAAAAGACATGGTCGAGTGGAGGACGTAGCCATGGTGAGAGCTTTGAAAGAGAGATGCTTGGACATTGGCTAATTGGAGTCTGGATATGTCTCCCTGAGAAGATGATGATTGAGCTGAAGGAATGATAGAATTTAACCAAGTGAAGAGAAGTCAAAGTTTAGGCTGGGTGCCGTGGCTTACTCCTGTAATCCCAGCACTTTGGGAGGCTGAGGCCGGTGGATCACTTGAGGTCAGGAGTTCAAGACCAGCCTGGCCAACATGGTGAAACCCTGCCTCTGCTAAAAATGTCATAATTAGCCAGGTGTGGTGGCGTGCGCCTGTAATCCCAGCTACTAGGGAGTTGAGGCATGAGAATTGCTTGAACCCGGGAGATGGAGGTTGCAGTGAGCCAAGATCACGCTATTGCACTCCAGCTTGGGGGACAAGAGCGAAACTCTGCGCCCAACCCCCCAAAAAAGTCAAAGTTTAACTGTTACACTACCTCCAAAAATATGTAATTTGTGCTGAATTTGAAATGACAGCTAGGCATTTCAGGCAGTTTCCAGTAAGAGGATATAAACTTGGAACTAACTCTTGAACTGAGTCTAAATTTTAGAGTCATCCTGCTTATAAGGCTATAGTTGGGGCTATGAAAATGGCCAAGCCCTCTTAAAGAATGTGTAAATAGAAGACTATGATTCCAAGGACTGAGCCCTGGGGACAGCTTGCGATGAAGGGTTGGAAAGAGGCTTGTGGAGGGAATTATAGGTAACAGGAGGAGTGGTTGGGAGTTACAAGAAGATTTACAGGAGTTTAGTTGTGGAAGCCAAGGAAAGGGAAATTTTAGTTGTGAGAGTCAAGAAAAGAGAAATTTAAAAGGTAGTAAACCCTTGGGTAACTAGAGTAGCACAGCTAAAGTTAATGACTGAGAAAAGAGCATGGTTTCTGGTAAAAGAGATAGAATACCTTCTATAGAACCCAGATTTTTATTTTATTTTATTTTATTTTATTTTATTTTATTTTATTTTATTTATTTTTTTGAGAAGGAGTCTCACTCTTGTCACCCAGGCTGGAGTGCAGTGGCGCGATCTCGGCTCACTGTCAAGCTCCACCTCCCGGGTTCACACCATTCTCCTGCCTCAGCCTCCCAAGTAGCTGGGACTATAGGCGCCCGCCACCACGCCCGGCTAATTTTTGTATTTTTAGTAGAGACAGGGTTTCACTGTGTTAGCCAGGATGGTCTTGATCTCCTGACCTCGTGATCCGCCTGCCTTGGCCTCCCAAAGTGCTGGGATTACAGGCGTGAGCCCCCACGCCCGGCAGAACCCAGATTTTGACCGAAAAGTTTGATAGTGAAGAGAAGGTGAGACTATCTAAAAGGGAGGACATTCCTGTTAACAAAGATCTTTCAGGATTAAGGAAATCCCAGCACCTTGGGATGTTGAGGCAGGCAGATCACCTGAGGTCAGGAGTTCAAGACCAGCCTGACCAACGTGATGAAACCCCATCTCTACTAAAAATACAAAATTAGCTGGGCATGGTGGCGCATGCCTAAAATCCCAGCTACTTGGGAGGCTGAGGCAGGAGAATCACTTGAACCTGGGAGGCAGAGGTTGCAGTGAGCTGAGATTGCCCCATTGCACTCCACCCTGGGCAATAAGAGCGGAAGTCTGTCTCAAAAAACAAACAAAAAAACAGATTATGGAGATCTATTTTTTTATTTATTAAAATATTTTTCACCCCAATCTTACTATCTAGGAAAATCTGTTTTAAAGGCAAAGAAACAGGGAACCAGTAGAGAGGGTGAGAGATTGGAAATGCTGGAGAGGAAGAGGGTGCATGTAAAATGCTACGCAAGAGAGGAAGGAGGAGAGGGTTCAAGCCAATGTGGTGTCACAGAACATGATTTGTACTTTGAATTTGTTTTTGTTTTGTTTTGTTTTGTTTTTTTGAGACGGAGTCTCACCGTCGCCTGGGCTGGAGTGCAGTAACGCTATCTCGACTCACTGTGACCTCTGCCTCCCAGGTTCAAGCGATTGTCCTGCCTCAGCCTCCCGAGTAGCTGGGATTACAGGCGCCCGCCACCAAGCCCAGCTAATTTTTTGTATTTTTAGTACAGACGGGGTTTCACCATGTTGGCCAGGCTGGTCTCGAACTCCTGACCTCAGGTGATCTGCCTGCCTCAACATCCCGAGGTGCTGGGGTTTCCTTAATCTTGAAAGATCTTTGTTAACAGGAGTGTCCTCCCTTTTAGATAGTCTCAGCCTCCCAAAGTGCTGGTATTACAGGCATGAAGCACCTCCTGGCCTTTTTTTTTTTTTTTTTTAAATCTTACATTGAATCTCCATAATCATTAAATAACAACTTCCCATTCCAGAGTCCCTGGCAACCACCATTCTATTTTTTATCTCTGTGAATTTGACTACTCTAGGTATTCCATGTAAGTGGAATCGTGATATTTGTCCTTTTATGTCTGGCTTATTTCACTTTTAATGTCTTGAAGGTTCATCCATGTTGCGGCATGTGTATCAGAATTTCCTTCCTTTTTAAAGGTGAATAACATTCCATTATACGTATACACTGCATTTTGTTTATCTGTTCATCTGTTAATGGACACTTGAATTGCTTCTACCTTTTGGCTTTTGTGAATAATGCTGCTGTGAATGTGGGTATACAAATATCTCTTTGAGACCCTGTGTTCACTTTTTTTTGGTATATACCCAGTAGTGGAATTACTAGGTCATATGGCAATTCTATTTTTAAGTTTTTGAGGTTAGGGCATACTGTTTTTCACAGCAGCTGCATCATATTATATTCCCACCAACAGTTCAGAGAGTTCTAATTTCTTCACATCCTCACCAACACTTATTTTCTGTTTGTTTGTTTTTGAGACGTAGTCTCGCTCTGTTGCCCAGGCTGGAGTGCAACGGTGCACTAATTTTTTGTATTTTTAGTAGAGATGGAGTTTCACCATGTTGGTCAGGCTGGTCTCAAATTCCTGACCTCAGGTGATCCTTGCCCACTTATTAATCAGGCTGTTTGTATTTTGTTGTTGAGTTGTAAGAGTTTATTATATATTCTGAATATTAACCTCTCATCAGATAGATGACCTGCAAATATTTTCTTCCTTTTCATAGGTTGCCTTTTCACTCTATTGATTTGGTCGTCTTCAACTTTGATGTAGTTTACTTTATCATTTTCTTTTGTTGTCTGTGCTTTTAGTGTCATAGCCAATAAATTATTGCAAATTCAATGTCATGAAGCTTTTCTCCTATGCTTGCTTCACAGTATATTGTAGTTTTAGATCTTACATTTAGGCCTTTGATCCATTTTGAGTTAATTTAAAAAAAATTTTTCTTTTTGAAATAGGGTCTCTCTCTGTTTCCTATGCTGGAGTGTAATGGCGTGAATATGGCTTACTGCAGCCTTGACCTCCTGGGCCCAAGCACTCTTCCCATCTTGGTCTCCTGAGTAGCAGGGACGACAGGCAGATGCTACCAGGCTTGGTTTTTTTGTTTGGTTTTTTTTTAGTTTTTTTTGTAGAGATGGGGGTTGTGCCATGTTGCTCAGGCTGGTCTCAAACTCCTGGGCTCAAGCAATCCTCCCACCTCAGCCTCCCAAAGTGCTGGGATTACAGGTATAAACCACTGCACAGGCGTAAAATTTGGTTTTTTGATTTAGCATCTTTTATACCTGATAAATAGCCTTTAGGATTTAGGCCTGTGTTTTAAAAAATGGTGCAACATGAGATTCAGCTCTTCTGGAAAAGTTATCCTAAGGTTTTTTGTTTGTTTTTTTGAGACGGAGTCTCACTCTGTCACCCAGCCTGGAGTGCAGTGGCAGGATCTTGGCTCACTGCAACCTCTGCCTCCCAGGTTCAAGCGATTCTCCTGCCTCAGCCTCCAGAGTAGCTGGGACTACAGGCACGTGCCACCACGCCCAGCTAATTTTTGTATTTTTAGTAGAGACGGGGTTTCACCATGTTGGCCAGGATGGTCTCTATCTCTTGACCTTGTGATCCACCTGCCTTCGCCTCCCAAAGTGCTGGGATTACAGGCGTGAGCCACTGTGCGTGGCCATGCTAAGGTCTTCATATGAAGATCTCTTGAGGGTTTTTTGTTTTGTTTTGTTTTTTGTTTTTGAGACTGAGTCTTGCTGTCACCCATGCTGGAGTGCAGTGGCCCAATCTCAGCTCATTGCAACCTCCGCCTCCCTGGTTCAAGCCATTCTCCTGCCTCAGCCTCCCTAGTAGCTGGGACTACAGGTGTGTGCCACTACACCTGGCTAACTTTTGTATTTTTAGTAGTGATGGGGTTTTGCCATGTTGGCCAGGCTGGTCTCGAACTCCTGACCTCAGGTGATCCACCCACTTCGGCCTCCCAAAGTGCTGGGATTACAGACGTGAGCCACTGCGCCTGGCCAAGGGTTTTTTGTTTGTTTGTTTTGAGACAAGTTCTCATTTTGTCACCCAGCCTGGAGTGCACTGGCACAATCACGGCTCACTGCAGCCTTTACCTCCCAAGGCTCAGGTGATCCTCCTGTCTCAGCCTCCACCACCCCAGGAGCTGGGACTACAGGCGCATGCCACCACACCTGGCTAATTTTTGTGTTTTTAGTAGAGATGGGGTCTCACCATGTTGCCCAGGCTGTTTTTTTTGTTGTTGTTGTTTGTATTTTTAAGAGACAGGGTCTTGCTGTGTCTCCCAGGCTGGAGTGCAGTGGCGCGATCATAGCTCACTACAGCCTGGAACTCCTGGGTTGAGTTTTAAAAACAACTTATGAATTTAACTTCTCAGCTTGTGTACGTTATTGCAACTCAGCATTCCTAGGGCAAACCTGAACCTTGTTGTTCAGGATTCCAACCCATTCATATGGATCAATAAGAGCTGGCTCTTAATAAATGCAGACATAAATGCAGAATTCTCAGGACACATTTACCTATTTTCATCTTGTTAAAGATTACTTAAATGCCTTGTGAGACCATGTCATTTTGGAGAAAAAGTTATTTCAAAAACCTTATCCTAAATCTTGTTTTCACAGAATGACTTATGATACTGCATGTTAATTGTATTGGGGAAGATTTTAAAAAACCACAGAATCAATATATCTACATCAGATAGCTTTTTTTGTGTGTGCATTCAGCCTTCAGAACATACTCCTATACTCTAAGGAGGCCTGTGTTCTGGCAGGCACATGGATTTAATCTCTTCGTCTCCCTTTAAACCAAGTAATGCATCTTCATAGTTTTAAGTCAGAGCGCTATCAGGTTGATAATGAAGGACTACAGTCAGTCTTAGTTCTCTGCAATTTCAACTGTTTTAGCTCTTTACTCTTATTTACCTAATTTTTAAATAGAATGTGTAAGCTGTTCTCTTGATTTTTTTAAAAAAATTAGACATTATCCGTTGACTTATTACAAGCAACATTTAGTCTTCATAAAACACACTTGACAGAGTTTACTCTGAAATTGAACTTCATAAAGTAAGACATCCTACAAAGCTAGAGGATAAAATGGACTGTGCGGTGCCACAAAGAGTATTTGGACAAGGCAGTAGCTGCAGGAGATGGCATTAGTTGGCTGAGTTCTACAAAAAGCTTTTATCTACTTTAATGAGATCAATTTTCGTCCATTTCCTTCTTGTTTCAGTCTTATTCATCAGTCATGAGTCATCACATACTCATAATAAACAGTTTTTCAAAAAGAGATCAAATGTATTGCAACTTAGGTCTAATTAAACAAAAACAAACAAAATACCTCAGACAACCAAAATTGTGTCTTACTCATTCTTTTAGTTTTAACAGAGAACAAGGAGCAAATCCAAATGATTGCTGTTAGAATGGGTTTTGTTTTTGAGAGACAAGGTCTTTCTCTACTGTCCAGGCTGGTCTTGAACTCCTGGCCTCAAGTAATCCTCCTACCTTGGCCTCCCAGAGTGCTGGGATTACAGGCATGAGCCACTGCACACTTTTAATCCCAGCACTTTGGGAGGCCAAGGTGGAAGAATCACTTGAGCTCAGGAATTTGAGATCAGCCCAAGTAACATACTGAAACCTCATCTCTACAAAAAATAAAAATAAAATTAACCGGTCATGGTGGCTGGTAGTGCCTGTGGTCCCAGTTACTCAGGAGGCTGAAGCAGGATTGCTTGAGCTCAAGAGATCAAGCTTGCAGTGAACCATGATGATGCCACTACCCTCCATCCTGGGTGACAGAATGAGACAATGTCTCCAAAAAAATAAAAATAAAAAGAATGTTTTCGTGTGAAGTCAGAATACTTACCCCTTCCTGTTTTATAGTTTTTCATTATTGTATTTGGGATTCTTTTTTTTTTTTTTTTGAGATGGAGTTTCACTCTTGTTTCTCAGGGTGGAGTGCAATGGTGCCATTGCTGTTCACTGCACTTTCTGCCTCCTGAGTTCAAGCGATTCTCCTGTCTCAGCCTCCCGAGTAGCTGGGATTACAGGTGCCTGCCACCACACCTGGCTTATTATTGTATTTTTAGTAGAGATGGGGTTTCACCATGTTGACCAGCCTGATCTCGAACTCCTGACCTTGGGTGATCCACCCGCCGTGGCCTCCCAAAGTGCTGGGATTACAGGCAGGAGCCACCACACCCAGTCCTCAATGTCTATTTTTTAAAATAAGTGGGCTTACACCTGTATTTGCAGCACTTTGGGAGGCCAAGGTGGGAGGATCTCTTGAGCCCAGGAGTTTGAGACCAGCCTAGGCAACATGGAGAGACTCCTGTTTCTACCAGAAAATTAAAAACAATTAGCCAGGCATGGTGGCATGCACCTATGGTGCTAGTTGCCTGGAAGGCTGAGGCAAGAGGATTGTTTGAGCCCAAGAAGTTGAGGCTGCAGTGAGCTATGTTCATGCCACTGGGAGACTGACAGAGTGACATTCACCCTGCCTCTAAAAAAAAAAAAAAAAAATTAGGAGTGGTTAGAATTTATATGCAGGGTACATGGTTTCTTCCAAGAGGTAAAAATAAAAATATTTCTTCAGCTACTCAATTCAGTATCTCATTCATGAGTAAAGAAAGTATACTCAAAGATTATATTTAAAATGAAAACAATAAAAATTTTTTCTTCAGCAGGCTTCATTATTTTTTTGTTTAGCAATTTTTGTACCTTAAAAAAGAATAGATTTGTTCTCTAATTTCTCCAGCAACCTTATTTTATGAAGCACTCATTTATGCCCCATTTATATCTCAGACCAGAGGTGGGCAAACTGTAGTCCAAGGGACAGATCCAGCCCCACAACCTGTTTTAGTATGGCTCTGGAGTTAAGAATGGTTTTTATAATTTTAAAAGGTTATTAAGGGGATGCCATAGAGACCACAAGAGATTGTATGTGTTCTGCAAAGCCTAAAATAAGTATGGTATGCCTCTTTACTGAAAAAATTTGCTGACACGTGTCTTAGACTATAATATATAATGTACATGCAACTCATTTAAAATGGTCTATGATCCATCCAAATCATGGTGTCATTTTAAGTTAGAAAAATGTTTGGCTGTATTCTCTTTATATGTCTTGCATTTTTATAGAAATTCACGGAATTTGTCAGTCTTTAATAGTTGGTGTGGAGTTTTATTAACCAGGGCCAAATGTGTATGTATGACACCACAGACTTAAAATAGTTTGAACTTTTTTTTTTTTTGAGAAGGAGTCTCGCTCTGTCGCGCAGACTGGAGTGCAGTGGTGCTATCTCAGCTCACCGCCGCCTTCACCTCCCGGGTTCAAGCAGTTCTGCCTCAGCCTCCTGAGTAGCTGGGATTACAGGCAACCTCTACCATGCCTGGCTAATTTTTGTATGTTTAGTAGAGACAGGGTTTCACCACATTGGCCAGACTGGTGTCAAACTCTTGACCTCAGGTGATCTGCCACCTTGGCCTCCCAAAGTGCTGGGATTACTGGCGTGAACCACCGCGCCTGGCTAGTTTGGAATTTTGAGAGAGAGAGAGAGAGCATGAGAGCACACTGTGCTTGTATGCTTACTGTTGGTTGTATATGGTTTCGTGATACTGCTTTTTTGTTGGTGATGAATTTGAATATATTGCCACTTCTCTATGAAATCAATATTTTCTCATTGATATCTATATTTACAGCATAAAAATAAAGAGCGAGCTACTGCGGAAGCTGAGGCAGGAGAATTGCTTGAATCCGGGAGGCAGAGGTTGCAGTGAGCTGAGATTGTGCCACTGCACTCCAGCCTGGGCGACAGAGGGAGACTCTGTCTCAAAAAAACAAACAAACAAAAACAGAGCGAGAGATCTTTGAGGCTGTATTTTGGTGTTACAGTTGGTTGTATGTTTGGTTTGGTTGAGTTCTAATATTGGTAGTTAGCTTCCAGCAAAAGTCCTCTGGTTACCTGGTCATAATATTTTGTTATTTGTGATGTCTTATTGATTCTAAAACATGCTGTTAATTTTTCATCTTAACATCTTTGAAATCAGAATGCATCTTAAATTTTATGACATCATATGATTGGTAGAATATTTCTCCCCTAGTGGTACGTAAAGTAATGGTGCATCTCAAAATCAGTGTGTGATTCAGACAGTTTACTCATTTGTATTAACTGTTAGGTGCAGTGTTTTTTTGTTCTTTTTTTCAGATGGAGTCTCGCTCTGTGGCCTAGGCTGGAGTGCAGTGGTGTGATCTCAGCTCACTACAGCCTCTGCCTCCCAGGTTCAAGTAATTCCCTGCCTCAGCCTCCTGAGTAGCTGGGATTACAGGCACCCACCATCATGCCCAGCTAATTTTTGTATTTTTAATAGAGGTGAGATTTCACCATCTTGAGCAGGCTGGTCTTGAACTCTTGACCTCGTGATCCGCCCCCCCCCCCCCCCCGGCCTCCCAAAGTGCTAGGATTACAGGCGTGATCCACTGCACCCGGCTTCTTGTTCTTTATATGGATTCCTCCTGTCTCTCTCTCTCTCTGTCTTTTTTTTTTTTTTTTTTTTTTTTTTTTTTGAGACAGAGTCTTGCTCTCTTACCCAGGCTGGAGTGCAGTGGTGCAATCTAGGCTCACTGCAACCTCCACCTCCCGAGTTCAAGAGATTCTTGTGTCTCAGCCTTTCAAGCAACTGGGACTACAGGTGTGCACCACCATGCTCAGCTAATTTTTTGTGTTTTTAGTAGAAATGGCATTTTACCGTGTTGGCCAGGTTGGTCTCAAACTCCTGGCCTCAAATGATCCTCCCTCCTCAGCCTCCCGAAGTGCTGGGGTTACAGGCGTGAGCCACTGCACTGACCTAGATTCTACCTCTTTTTTATTTTGATTTTGTTGCCAAAATTTATTATTTTGGAAATCTTTCATCATTCAAAGGCTTGCTTTGGGGGTTAATTCTGATATTTGCATTTTGAGTTAGATGATAAGCACCATCCTTCATAGCTAGTCAACAGAGCAGTTTAGGAAAATGAACAGTTAACATAGTCAGTTTTGAGTAATGCAGTATCCCTATCTGTTACTGTTAACAGATGGCCTGCAGTCTGGTCTTTTATATTAGATAATATTTTGCTGAATATACCGTAGAAGAACATTAACCAGAAAACCTGTTTAGCGTTAGCTTTAGCTGAGATTTTCTTGGATGCTTGCAACTGTGAACACCCTCTGAATTTAAATAGTCATATCCTGTTGATGGGAAATAATTAGAAATTACATAGTAATTGTTTTTTCCACTTCATCTTCACCAAAGGCTGAGAAGCTTAGTGTTCTTTAGACCTTTAGTATCTTTAGGCTGAGCTACTTTGTATTACAGAGATAATAAGTGTATGTGTGTATGTGTGCGCGTGCACACGCATGTTGCTTACTTCCGTGGAGAATCATGAGTCAGTAGCTTAAAAAGAGGCAAGACAGCCTGGGCAACATGGAGAAGTCATGCCTCTACAAAAAATTAGTGGGGTGTAGTGGTGTGCGCCTGTAATCCCAGCTACTTGGGAGGCTGAGCTGGGAGAATCACTTTCGCCTGGGAGGCAGAGGTTGCAGTGAGCCGAGATTGCGTCACTGCACTCCAGTCTGGGTGACAGAGTGAGACCCCGTTTAAAAAAAAAAAAAAGACGCTAGATAGGCTGGGCCAGGTGGCTCACACATGTAATCCCAGCTCTTTGGGAGGCCAGGGTGGGAAAATCACTTGAACCCAGGAGGGCTAATTAGCCAGGCTCAGTAGTGTGCGACTGTAGTCCCAGCTACTGGGGAAGCTGAGCCCAGGAGGTCGAGCCTGGGCAACAGGGTGAGACCCTGTCTCTATTTAAAAAAAAAAAAAAAAAAAAAAAGGCAAGATAAATAAAAGGGGAAGGAAGATGAGGATTCATGCCAGCTTTAGATATATAAGTATAAGTTTTAAAATTTAAGTCAGTGGTTCCTAACCCTAGTTATATCTAGGGTGATTTTTAATATAGTAATACCCAGATGTTTCAGGCAAATTAAATCAGAATGTCTGAGAGTGGATACTGGCATCAAATTTTCAGAATCCTTTAAGATACGATTATTATTGTACTTAAAAAGCAATTTTTAAAAAAAATATATTTACCCAGATATTTAGCACTTTCTTTTCTCCCTGTATCTTCTTGCATCTCTCATCTGCCTACAATACATTCTTCAGAACTTCTTGTAGTAAAGATCTTCTGAGGGCCAACTGTCAGGGTTTTTTTGTCTAGAAATATCTTCATTCTACCCTATTCTTAAAAGATATTTTTGCTGGGCTTATGTGTCAATTATCTATTTCTGGGTCTGAGGATATGTGAAAAACCAAAGAGTTTTTCCTACTATCTACTCTCAATATAGTCACTCAACACTTCTGGCACCAGATGTATGGATTTTTTTACCCCCACCAACAACCAATTCTGCAGATAATTCTGCAGTGTATACCCACTGAGTGTCCTCTAATTCAGCTCAATCCTTGACACTATATACCTGGAAATAGCATCAGATCCCACAGGTTGAGAGCTCATTCCCATAAGACAGCCCGTCACTTCAGATGCCAGTTTCAAACACAGGTTTGACCTGTGCTTCTGACCAACCTGCTATAAATTGGGCTTCCCACAGGCACCACCCCCTCCCACCCCTCACTATCCTTGGGTTCAGTGAATTTGCTAGAGCAGGTCACAGAACTCAAGGGAACACTTCTATTTACAAGTATTTTAAGGAATATTATGAAGGACACAGATGAACAGCCAGTTGGAAGAGGTGCATAGGGCGAGGTATGGGAGAAGGGGCAAGGAGCTTCTATGCCCTCTCCAGGCAGGCCACTCTCCAGGAACCTGTGTCCAGTTATCTGGAAGACCTCAGAACCCAGTCCTTTGGGGTGTTTTGTGTTTTTTTTTTTTTGTTTGTTTTTTTTTTGAGACAGAGTCTCACTCTGTTTCCCAGGCTGGAGGGCAGTGGTGCGATCTCGGCTCACACTGCAACCTCCGCCTCCCAAGTTCAAGTGACTCTCCTGCCTCAGCCTTGCGAGTAGCTGGGATTACAGGTGGGTGTCACCATGCCCAGCTAAATTTTATATCTTTGGTAGAGACGGGGTTTCACTGTGTTGGCCAGGCTTGTCTTGAACTCCTGACCTCAGGTGATCCACCCATTTCGGCCTCCCCAAGTGCTGGGATTACAGGTGCGAGCCACCGTGCCCAGCCCCTTTGGGGTTTTTATGGAGTCTTCATTACTTAGGCATCATTGCCCTTTGGTGATCAACTTAACCTTCAGCCCCTTTCCCCTCCCTGGAGATTGGGGGTGGGCCTGAAAGTCCCAACCCTCCAATCATGCCTTGGTTTTTCCAGTGACTAGCCCCATCCTAAATTAGCTTTTTAAGCGCCACCACCACCCCCAACACCACCATTCAATTCATTCAGTAGCATGCAAAAGACAGTTATCTCTTCTGAGACTCCAAGGCTTTTAGTTAGATCTGTGCGTCAGGAAACAGGCACAGAGACCAAGTATCTATTCCACAGTATCACATGCTGGGAACACACCACCCCAAACTTCTTTTGCATTTTATTGTTAGTTACTTTCATTTTGTTTTCTAATCTTTTTAGTATTTTTATTTTTATTTTTTGAGACAGGGTCTCTGTCACCCAGGCTTCAGTGCAGTGGTGCAGTCACACCTCGATCTTCTGGGCTTAGGCTATCTTCCCACATCAGCCTCCCAAATAGCTGGGACCACAGGCGTGCACCACTGTGCCCGGCTAATTTTTTTTTTTTTTTCCTTTTTGAGATGGAGCCTTGCTCTGTTGCCCAGGCTGGAGTGCGGTGGCTGTATCTCAGCTCTCTGCAGCCTCTGCCTCCTGGGTACGAGCGATTCTCTTGCCTCAGTCTCCTGAAAGTAGCTGGCACCTGGCTAATTTTATTATTATTTATAAAGACAAGGTCTCTGAATGTTGCCCAGTCTGGTCTCTAGCTTCTGGGCTCAAGTGATCTTCCCACCTCAGTTGCCCAAAACATGGATTACTTGCGTGAGCCTCTGTACCCGGTCCCAAACTTAATGACTCAAGAACAACAACTACATATTTGCCCCTGAATCTGTGGGTCAGATTTTTGGGCAGTACTCAATGGGATCCCTTATCTCTCTGGTATACATGGTTATAGTTGGGCTCATTCATGTATCTGTAGTCACTTGGCAGGTCAGCTGTGGGTTGGACAGACCCAGATGGCCTCACTTACATGTCTGGTAGTTTGTTGGGTGAAAAAAGCAACTGGGCTCCATGTCTCATCATCTAGCTTGCTGTCTCACTCCTTCACATGGCTGGGTCCAAAAATCAATACGGAAAGGACAAGCTCCAGTGTACAAGCACTTTTCAGTCCTCTGATGTCACATTTGCTAATGTTTTACTGACCAAAGCAGGTCAGGTAGCCATGCCCAGATTCAAAAGGTTAAAGTGCCAAGTGAGGTGTGGTTAAAAAAAAAAAAAGACCAAAAAAACACAAAGAGTGAAGGAATTATAATCCATCTGTTTTTTGAGGGGCCAGCGGGTGGTAGGCGGACAGGGTCTTATGCTGTCATCCAAGCTGGAATGCAGTGGCATGATTGTAGCTTGCTGTAGCCTCAAACTCCTGGGCTCAACCCATTCTCCCACTTCAGCCTTCCAAGTGGCTGTGTCTGTAGGCGTGTGCCACCACACCTGGCTGATTTTTTATAGAGACAGGGTCCCACTATGTTGACCAAGCTGGTCTCAAACTCCTGATCTCAAGTGATGCTCCTGCCCTGGCGTCCCAAAGTGTTGTGATTACAGATGAGAGCCACTGTGCCTGGCCTGACTCCATCTGTTGATGGCATGAGCAACAATGTCACATTCAAAGGGCTGTGCTTTCAGAAAGGGGGGCAGGTGGGATTTGTGGCCTTGAAAAAATCCATCACAGTATAGAATTTTAGGTTGGAATATATTTTTCTTTCAGTGCATTTTTTTTTATTCCACTGTCTTTTGGCTTTCATTTTTGCTATTGAGCAGTTTATTCCTATAGCTTCTTTTAAGATTTTCTGAGGCTGAGAAATGCTTCACAATTATTATGTGAATTAAAAGATAAATGTAAAGAGACAAATACCTGGTAGTTTGCTGGTACCAGTAGAGAGACAAATAGCTGGTGGTTTTATGATGTTTTTGCACCAAAGTTTATTAGACAGCTGGAGAAATGGTGAAGTCAGGTGTGTGTACAAAAGCACCTAGAAGGAAATAGGTGATGTAGAAGTGAAAATATTCATTGGATTTATTATTCTGATTGATTTTTATTAATATAAAAATGAAAATATTTTGTAATTATGGAGCAAAAACCATTTGTCTTTTCAATAAAATTATGAGCCATCAAAAAATTTCAAAACTATTGTTTTTTTTTTTTCTTTCCTTTTCTTTTTTTTGAGACGGGGTTTGCTGTGTTGCCCAAACTGGTCTCAAACTCCTGGGCTCAAGCGATCCACTGGCCTCAGCCTCCCAAAATGCTGGAATTACAGGTGTGAGCCATTGCGCCCGGCCAAAACCGTTGCTTTTTTTTTTTTTTCTTTTTTTTTTTTTGAGTTGGAGTTTCAATCTGTCGCCCAGGCTAGGGTGCAGTGGCGTGATCTTGGCTCGCTGGAACTCTGTTCCCCAGGTTCAAGTGATTCTCCTGCTTCAGCCTCCCATGTAGCTGGAATTACAGGTGAGCCCCACCATGCCCAGCTAATTTTTTGTATTTTTAGTAGAGATGCGGTTTCACCATGTTGGCCAGGCTGGTCTTGAGCTCCTGACCTCAGGTGATCCACCCATCTCGGCCTCCCAAAGTGCTGGGATTACAAGTGTGAGCCACTGTGCATGGCACTATTGCATTTTGATGATACAAGTGCAAATATGAGAACTAGAAATAATGATAAGCTAGACTCTGTTAGAGATGTATTTGAAACTGGAATCAGTATTTACGAGGTGGATGTGTTCCAGGTTTGTGAATGACAGTTGATAAGCAGCTGGCATTGTTCAGTTCAGGTATATATACCTTCAAACCCAAGGAAACATAGAATAAATACTTGGGTTTACTGTGTTTAAATGTCTATTAAAGTTTCTTTGCCTTTCTGCTGATTATCGTTTATGATGTCTTGTTTCAGAAAGGATTTTTATTTGCTTATGCTAGGGAATTCTGACCACTCCATTCTAAGACCATCTTACATCATTCTCACAGTTCGAGGTTTTCTGAAACACCCATACAGTACAAATCTGTGCTCAGATCTGTGGAAAGGCTGGTTTACTTCTGATTCACCCTTGTCTTAAGGGTGTAGCCTTTTGAGATGCCAGCTTTAAGTGAGGACTATCTCATTAGATTTCCTACCTTGGGCAGGCCTTGGGCTTGGTTTCTGCCCACACGGCCCTTCAGTCATTTTGATGGGTTTAGCAAGTGCCTTCAAGGCAGAAGTGAGCTTTTGAGCTCTCCTGTGTTCTTGGGTATGTACCCCCTTTTCCTTCAGTTCTGGCTTGACAGTAATTTACGGTATTTTTAGCTCTTTATTGCTTTTAAGAAGATTTTTGTTTTCCAACACTTTTAGTTGTTTATAGTTAAAGGGTTGTTCTAAATAACCACTTCCAGAAGCAGATAACTGCACTTATTTTTAAGCTTTTCTGTTACTTTGCATGTGCACCTGATTTAAGATACTATTGGTTAAGCACTTTGCAAATAGAAAATATACGTACAGGCCAGGCGCAGTGGCTCATGCCTGTAATCCCAGCACTTTGGGAGGCCGAGGTGGGCGGATCACCTGATATCAGGAGTTCTAGACCAGCCTGGCCAACATGGTGAAACCCCGTCTCTACTAAAAACATAAAAATTAGCCAGGCGTGGTGGTGTGCAACTGTAATCACAGCTACTCAGGAGGCTGAGGCAGGAGAATCGCTTGAACCCGGGAGGCGGAGGTTCCAGTGAGCCGAGATCATGCCATTGCACTCCAGCCTGGGCGAAAGAGCAAGAGTCCGTCTCAAAAAAAAAAAAAAAAAGCAGTAAAATTATTCTGATACTTCTTTCTGCTTTATCAGAGTGAGATTTAAGTAAAAAGTTCATGTTCCTCACTATATCAGTTAGGAGTTATGATTCTTTTATAGTAATAGGAAGTCCTTTCCAAACTAGCTTCAGGTAAAAAGAGAATTTGCCTCATATAACTGTAAAGACAAGGTTTAGCACAGGCTTCAGGCTTAGATAGGTATTGATACTTGGCATCTTAGCAGGACTGACTTCTCTTACCATCTGCTTCTGGGCTGGCTTCTTTCACAGTCTCCACGTTGTGGCAAGGTGGCCAAAGTAGCTTTTATTCCTGTTCCTCCATGTGTCCCAGCATTATTGCAAATGTTGTATTGTTTGTCATTGTCTGAGTCCCTGAACCAGTTAGGAATGTTATGTGCATAGTCTTGGATTATGTGGACTCATTTGCTCTATCTGTGTCAGGAATGAGGCCCGACCTGGAGCACTCAGACTGAGATTGACAGAGTTGGGTGAATCCCCAAAAGAAAGCCAGGAGGCTAGAGAAGCAGACAATGAAAGTGCACCATATGGCCGGGCGCGGTGGCTCACGCCTGTAATCCCAGCACTTTGGGAGGCCGAGGCGGGTGGATCATGAGGTCAGGAGATCGAGACCATCCTGGCTAACAAGGTGAAACCCCGTCTCTACTAAAAATACAAAAAATTAGCCGGGCGCGGTGGCGGGCGCCTGTAGTCCCAGCTACTCGGGAGGCTGAGGCAGGAGAATGGCGTGAACCCGGGAAGCGGAGCTTGCAGTGAGCCGAGATTGCGCCACTGCAGTCCGCAGTCCGACCTGGGCGACAGAGCGAGACTCCGTCTCAAAAAAAAAAAAAAAAAAAAAAAAAGAAAGTGCACCATATATAGTAAGGTTTCAGCACAGGAAGCAGTGATTTTTATCTTTTGGAGTTTTACTTCTGACGTGACCCAAATGAAGAATAGTCCTGTGTCCTAGGAAACCCCAATGTTTTGTATTTGCTTCTATCATTAGAATAAAGAGATACCTGTCAATTTCTCATTTCAAATTCTAAAGCGCTGGCATTACAAATTTCAGTGAAACTATTGTGAGCCAGGCCAGAGCTGAGGGACGTGTTACAACATTGGTAATTGAACTTAACTCTGTTCCTCCTACCAACAAAACAAAAGAAACAGCTAACTCCTCTCTCTGTCTGTCTCTCTCTCTCTCTCTCTGTCTCTCTCTCCCCGCTCCCTACACCCCCCACACACAACACACACACACACAATTACATGTAATCATGTAATTTTATTCAAGATTTTCTCCTATAGAAAATTCAAAAATGCTAGATTTTAGGAGACCCATTAAGCGGCCTGAAAGGTTTTCTTAGATTCTTTTTCTGGGCAAAGACAATTTTCTTTTTCTTAGCTTCCTATAGTTTTGCAACATCTTAAACATTTTCTCCTCTGATATCTATATTCTTTGCGTGACTATATATACTTTTCATTCACATCTTAGCAATATGTGTTAGGTTTAAAATAATTAATGTTTAAATATTTCTGTTGTTTATTTAAAGTTTCCTGCAGGGTATTATTTTCCTGGTGTGGAGAATAAATTGTGGTGGAAAAAAATTTGTTGTATCTTCTACTTCCCATCAGATATTTATTATGCACTTTCTCCATTCTGAGTTCTAGGGTTGGGAATGGTCTTGACTCTGTAATGCTACTAAAATTATACTTTTGAAAGTATAAGAATAATAATCTAATAGTATGACTAAAGGATATAAAAGGCAAATTACAACAGAATAGGCATGGAGGGGAAAAAAAGAGACCTGCTCAGAGGTTAACTCTTCGAGAGAATGAAGACGGTAGTCTGGATTAAAGTCATGACAGAAGGAAAAGAGATTGACTAAATCTAAACAACATTGGAAAAAGATGACAATGGAGAGCTCTTTAAAGGATTAAAATATGAGACATACAGGAGAAAAATTAAAGATAAACCAAAAGTTTCACTGGGTATGTGGGGGTTACTCCCTGTGGGAACGATGAAGCCGTGGTAGAAAGAACTGGCTTGGGGACAAAAATAAATTCTGTTAAATAAATAAATAGAAAAGACAAATGTCCTGTAGAGAAGAATCACAAATAATTTATGTAGATACTTTCCCTGTCCAGGAGGTGGGCCTCTGCATTTCTTTCTTGATGATGGGCTGAGCTTGGTGAATTGCTTCCAAAGAGTAGCCTATGGGAAGGTGGAAAGGGAATCATTTTACAGTGGAGAAACCTTGGCCAAGTGATCAAAGTTGACGTTATGAGTGAGGTGGTGTTTGTAGCATGTATGCCTTTGATGCGATTGTTGAGAATGGCACTTTACCTATATGGTCTTTCTCCAAAAAGCCTATAACCCATGAGGAAAACGTCACACAAACCCAAATTGAGGGACGTTCTACAAAATACCTGACGAGGTTTCCTCAAAACAGTCAAGATCATCAGAACAAGGAGCCTAAGAAGGCATGGTGACTAAATCCTGGATGGGATCCTGTAACAAAGACGGAACGTTAGAAAACACTGCTTTAAGCAAAACCAAACCTAAACCAAACTTTTTAGTTTGGTTTGTATTAGGCAGTGTTCTCCAGAGACATAGAACCAATAAGGTGTGTTAAAAGAAAAACTTCAGACAAATTTAACAGAATTTAATTGTGCAAAGAATAATTTGCGAATCAGGCAGCCTCTCGAACCAGGAAAGGTTGAGAACTACTCTGGTGCTGGTGTATGGTTGGAGAGGATTTATGGACAGAAAAAGGAAAGTGACATACAGGAAAGGAAGTGAGGTACAGAAACTGCAGGATTGGTTACAGCTGGGCCTTTGGCTTATCTGAACACAGTTTAAGCAGTTGGCGGTCTATGAGTGAAGTATGGCTGCTGTGATTGGCGGAGACTGAGTTACTTGTTACAGGAGTAGGTTGCAGTTTGTTTTCTCTTCTAGTCAGGTTACAGTTCCCTATGTACTGAGAAATCTTTAGGCCCGAACTTAAAATATGTAAGAAGGCAGCTTTAGGCTAACTTTAACAATTCCCCTCTTTGGTCAACCTCTCAGTTTTGTTTTGTTATTGTTGTTGTTTTTGAGATGGAGTGGCTCTGTTGCCTAGACTGGGGTGTAGTCATAAAATCTCGGTTCACTGCAACTTCTGCCCCCTGGGTTCAAGTGATTCTCATGTCTCAGCCTCCCAAGTACCTGGGATTATAGGCGTGTGCTACTGCACCTGTCTAATTTTTATATTTTTAGTAGAGACAGATTTCACCATGTTGGTCTTGAACTCCTGACATCCAGTGATTTGCTCATCTCAGCCTCCCAAAGTGTTGGGATTACAGGCATGAGCCACCCCATCTGGCCTCAATTTTGTATTGTTTGTCAATTTTGAGAGGTTGACAAAACTTTAGGCATCCATAAATGTACTTATTTGATCTCAAATCCAACTGGGAGGTAACAAAACTGGCTTTTGCAAGGTGGGGAACAAGGACTTCAGGTTAGTTTTCTGTAGGGATTAGAGCAGGGGCAACCTCCTTATGCTGGGATCTCTTGTTTTTAGGAAAGGAATAAAAAACCTGGGCTGTTTGGGATCTTTCTGCTTCCTTAAAGTTTCAATTTGATGATGTTGCATTTAGCATGAGTGACTTCATTTAGGTTTGATCTGGTCTAGCCTATTGATGCCTAGTGAATAAGCTTAATCCAAAACAGTGGGCTCTCACAATTTTGTTTAACAGCTTCGCCTTTTTGGTCAGGTTCTCACTTGGGTGTGAGTGTTACTGAAACTTAGGGCTTTAGTGCTACTCAGTTACCATCCTTTTGGGTTTCCAGTCCTAGCACTTTATTCATAGGTTTTGGTGTCCTCATGATCATGCATGTCTTTGAGTGTTTATCATTCCTGCTGAAGAGAGACCATTTGAACTTACATAGATGGCTGCATGCAAACATTTATAACTTTTGAGAGAATATAATGCAGCAGGGAGACTGCTATTATGACTGTTAGGAGGATAATACTAAGAGTTTGGAGTATGCTCCTTAGCCAGAGTTCGCATGAACCAAACCAACTAAAATCAAATAGATCAAAGAATGAGCAAGATAAACAATCTACTCATTTCAACCAAGCAGCCAGTTCATTAATCCCCTACAACTGAATCTCTGTAATATCCAGTATATTCATCCACGTGCAACAAGAGGTGTCAGCAAGGCCTGGTATGATGGCTCACACCTGTTAATCCCAGCATTTTGGAAGGCCGAAGCGGGAGGATCCCTGAGGCCAGGAGTTCAAGACAGCGTAGGCAACATAGCAAGACCCTGTCTCTACAGAAAATACAAAAATTAGCCGGGCCTCGTGGCACATGCTGGTAGTTCCACTACTCAGGAGGCTGGGTGGGAGGATCACTTGAGCCCAGAAGGTTGAGGCTAAATGAGTCATGATTGAGCCACTGCAGTCCGGCCTGGGTGACAGAGCAAAAACCTGTCTCAAAGAATAAAAATAAAAGTGTCAGCAACTTCACAGATACTTCCCTGATTAGCCAGTAGGCAACCTTGAGCAATTCTGTTATCCAGTAGACCTTTAGCAAGATAATTTAAAGAAGTCTGTTTTGTAACCATAGCCTTTGCAGTAGAATCTGCTATGGAGCATATCATGAGGAACAAATTTCTTTTTTTTTTCTTTTTCTTTCTTTTTTTTTTTTTTGAGACAGGGTCTCACTCTGTTGCGCAGGCTGGAGAATAGTGGCGTGATCTCGGCTCCCTGCAACCTCTGCCTCCTGGGTTCAAGCAGTTCTCCCACCTCAGCCTCGCAAATAGCTGGGACTACAGGCACACGCCACCACGCCCCGCTAATTTTTGTGTTTCTGCTAGAGACAGAGTTCCCATTTTGACCAGGCTGGTCTTGAACTCCTGACCTCAAGTGATCTGCCCACCTCAGCCTCCCAAAGTGCTTGGATTACAGGCATGAGCCACTGCGTCCAGCCCATGAGGGACAAATTTCTAGACACTGTATCGTTTACTCCAAACTCTGGAAAAAGTGACCTAACAATGAAGGCCATTCAGAATGATGAAGGCTTCCAAGCACTAGTGTTCTTTTTCACCTCTGATGTAGGTTAAAAGGAGTGGACCAGTGTTCTCTTTCTGACAGAACCATTAAAATTCCTAACCCACATTGGACTGTCATCTTTCATCCATTAAGACATAATGCTGCCTATGGATAAGGTTGGCTGTAAAAGTTTTCACAAATAAAAGTGTGCCCCATTGGTGCACCATAAGACCCCTTTTCTGTTGTTCATAGAGGCATAAACAAGGAAAACATTGAGAGGTAAGAGTCTCATGATGACAGAGAAGTTTTGATCCATGCTTTTGGGAAAGCTGTCCATGTCTAGGGTGCCATCTGCTTCTGGGGGAAAACCTTTTCTAACTGGTTAGCTTTACGTTAAGATTTCCAATGGGTGTACAATTCCAAGTCTGGAGGGGCCCTCCTGCATTGTGATATCAATTGACCCAGTGTTTGAGGCCCCAGAGTTTTGCTTCATTGTGGGTAACAAGGGCAGTGTTTTCCTGACGTCATTTCCAGAAGAACCAACCTCCAGGTTCTAGATTGTGAAGGATTTGAATGTCCTCAGTGGGTGGGTCATGAAAAGCTTCCTTTACTGCCAGCACGGTAGCTCATGCCTGTAATCTCTACACTTTGGGAGGCCGAGGTGGGCGAATCACTGGAGGTCAGGTCTCTGGAACCCAGGAGTTCAAGACCAGCCTGACCAACATGGTGAAACCCCATCTCTACTAAAAATACAAAAATTAGCTGGGTGTGGTGGCGCATGCCTGTAATCCCAGCTGCTTGGGAGGCTGAGGCACAAGAATTGCTTGAACCCGGGAGGTGGAGGTTGCAGAGAGCTGAGATCACACCACTGCTCTCCAGCCTGG